>NC_000001.11:45614441-45917471 GCF_000001405.40 Homo sapiens
CGAACTTGATCTTTAAAAAGATAGGTCTGTGTTCCCTGTAGACCCTGGAACAATGAACAGTCTCTTCCAAGTGGCACTCAGTCTTCCAGTAGGTTTGTTTTGTTTTGTTTTTTTTGAGATGGGGTCTTGCTGTGTCGCCTAGGCTGGAGTGCAATGGCGTAATCTCGGCTCACTGCAACCTCCGCCACCCGGGTTCAAGCGATTCTCCTGCCTCAGGCTCTCGAGTAGCTGGGATTACAGGCACCCACCACCACGCCCGGTTAATTTTTGTATTTTTAGTAGAGACGGGGTTTCACCATATTGGCCAGGCTGGTCTTGAACTCCTGACCTTGTGATCTGCCCGCCTCAGCCTCCCAAAGTGCTGGGATTACAGGTGTGAGCCACCACGCCCAGCCTCAGTAGGTTTTTAAAAGTCATTTTGACTTTCTTTATAGCCAAGGGTCCTGGAAATAACTATAAACAAAAATGGAATGTTAAATATGGGTGCATTCCCATAGGATGGGTCTGAATTCTGGAAGTATTTTATGTTGAATGCTGTCCATTTACTTGCTCTTCTTTTTCTCTTTGTTAGAAAACTATGTGCAAGCTGTGGAGGAGTTCCAGTCCTGCCTTAACCTGCAGGAACAGTACCTGGAAGCCCACGACCGTCTCCTTGCAGAGACCCACTACCAGCTGGGCTTGGCTTATGGGTACAACTCTCAGTATGATGAGGCAGTGGCACAGTTCAGCAAATCTATTGAAGTCATTGAGAACAGAATGGGTGAGTGAAGACGAGCTGCTTCATGGTGATGTTGGATCCAGCAATTAACAAGGAAGAAAACAGTTCTTTTTTGAGCCATTACTAATCACTTTATTCTTTTTAGCTGTACTAAACGAGCAGGTGAAGGAGGCTGAAGGATCGTCTGCTGAATACAAGAAAGAAATTGAGGAACTAAAGGAACTGCTACCCGAAATTAGAGAGAAGATAGAAGATGCAAAGGAGTCTCAGCGTAGTGGGAATGTAGCTGAACTGGCTCTGAAAGCTACTCTGGTTGGTTCCGTTAACATTTTGATAATAGCATGTTTGGTACCATTTATGTTAATGTTCTATTTGCCAGGAACTTTTCATCATGACTTGGTTTCCAGGGAGTTGGTGGGCTCATCTAATTATTCCTATCAAGTAATGCAGTGGTTAAGAGGAAATACCCTGGAGCCCCAGACTATCTGGGTTTTAATTCCATACTTACGTGTGGCCATGGGCCTTTCTCTCCCTCAGTTGACCGATTTGTAAAATGGGGATAATACAGGTTGAGTATCCTTACCTGAATGCTTGAGACCAGAAGTGTTTTGCATTTCAAATGCTTTTGGATTTTGGAATATTTGCATCATACTCAACAGTTGGATACCCTTAATCTAAAATCTGAAATGCTCCAGAGAGCATTTCCTTTGAGTGTCAGTCAGTCCTCAAAAAGTTTCAGATTGTTGGATTAAGGGATGGGATGCCCGACCTGTAGTACATATGTGTAAAATATACTTCTGACAGTACTGGAAAAATAGACATTTCTTAAAAAATGTAAGTTGCTATTTCCATCTCCAAGAACTCATTTGCATAAATTAATGAGGCATTGAGAGGCATTCACCACAAATTGCCTGGTTCTGTTTTTGGCACAGACCTTTTTACCCTGCAGGTAGGATATAGAAGATTTAGTTTATTATGTACACTCTATGTATAGACTATGCTCTGGGTGGCTGCTAGACAGGCATAGGTGGGCCAGGGGTAGAACTGGATACTATATGGAGGCCACTAGCATTTCAGGTCTTAGTCAGTTGTTTGGATGGTGATGGGTTCCTGTTACAAGGCTGTGGGCGGCCTGGGTTCTATCTTCAAACTAATTTGGATTTGTCATTTCTCGCAGGTGGAGAGTTCTACTTCAGGTTTCACTCCTGGTGGAGGAGGCTCTTCAGTCTCCATGGTGCGTATTCAGGTGGTTTTTTGGTCACTTACATTAAGTCTCAGTGTTGGCTCATGCCTGTAATCCCAGCATTTTGGGAGGCCAAGGCAGGAAGATTGCCTGAGGCTTGGAATTCAACACTAGCTTGGGCAACATAGTGAGACCTTGTCTCTGAAAAACTAAAAAATTATAAAAGCCTCAGCATTGATCTCATATAGCTTGTACAATTGCTAATAAGGGCTTATTTTGCCAGATTGCCAGTAGAAAGCCAACAGACGGTGCTTCCTCATCAAATTGTGTGACTGATATTTCCCACCTTGTCAGAAAGAAGGTAAGTCTACATGTGGTGTTTCTTTTCTACCGTTTCCTCAGACTCCATTTTTAATCCCTTTCCTATAAACCCCTCCCTATAGTTGGTGCATATAAGACACTTATTTTCCAAAGGTGGTAAGGATTTGTGAGTGGAGACTGTTGTGTTTTGTTTTGTTTTGAGACGGAGTCTTGCTCTGTCACCCAGGCTGGAGTGCAGTGGCGCAGTCTCGGCTCACTGAAACCTCTGCCCCCCGGGTTCAAGTGATTCTCCTGCCTCAGCTTCCCAAGTAGCTGGGATTACAGGCGCCCGCCACCACGCCTGGCTAGTTTTTGTATTTTTAGTAGAGACTGGGTTTTGCCATACTGACCAGGCTGGTCTTGAACTGCTGACCTCGTGATCCACCCACCTCGGCATCCCAAAGTGCTGGGATTATAAGCGTGAGCCACTGCCCTCAGCCAGGGAACTCTGAACTCCTGTTCTGTTTCCTGACTCAAACACAGGAATTCAAACTTGTACAGTGATTACCATTCACATCTCCTCACCCCAACCCTATCTCCCTGTGCTTCCGGTAGAGGGGCCTGAAGTGATATGGTGGGACAGATTAATACATTCTGAGAGTACAGGTTGGCATCTGCCTGTGGCTAGGGAGAGAGACCCTTAGAGCTGTGAATCCTGATGTTCAGGATCTTTGCACCACAAGGGTTAAGGAAATGTTTTGCAGTTGTCTTTTTAAAAACATTAAGCACATTTGTGAAGCCTTCACAATTATATCTTTAGAGGAAACCAGAGGAAGAGAGTCCCCGGAAAGATGATGCAAAGAAAGCCAAACAAGAGCCGGAGGTGAACGGAGGCAGTGGGGATGCTGTCCCCAGTGGAAATGAAGTTTCGGAAAACATGGAGGAGGAGGTGGGCAGTTAAGCAGGGCTTAGCCTCTTGCCTCATTCCTTGTTCTCAGGACCTGGGGAAATCAGTCCTCTCAAGTGCATGCTCCCCACCTTGAGCCTGCTAACGATTGTTGAGTGCAGTCCTCACAGAAAACGGTACTTGTGCAGGAAAACAGTTTGGTTATGGGAGTATAGGATGACTCACTGACAAATGGAACCTGTATATTATAGGTCCCTCGATGAATATATGAGAAGGCACTTGATGGGCAAAACCATTAGGTCACTTCCTTCCACGTGATGATTATTGGCTCTGTCAGCCCCATTATCACAGAGTATTCAAGAAATACTTTGTGGTCACTGCCCTCTTAATATAGGGAGCAAAGCAGAGTTTGGGTGACTTGTATATGCTTCCTATGACTGAGGCCTCAGTTATATAAGACAGAATGGCTTAAACTAGGCTCACTCATGCCCAGGTTCTGTTTGTCTTCCAGGCTGAGAATCAGGCTGAAAGCCGGGCAGCAGTGGAGGGGACAGTGGAGGCTGGAGCTACAGTTGAAAGCACTGCATGTTAAGAGGGGGCACAGCCCTCCTCCCAAGGGAAAGTGTTTTTGTATATAATGTATTTTTTCACTTTTGGAGGATTCTTTTTGTATAACTTCAATAAAGATTGTAAGCAAAGGTTGAGGCTTTGATGGTTTTTTTCTTAATTATTGGCTGAATCTGCCTTGGAGCACTGCTGGTTTTATATATTAGCCAAAGGTTTTGTTCTGGCCTTCTGTACTGATCTGTGTTCCTGATCCTAATTCCTATCTGTCTAACGTGGAGGTGATCAAGTGTGGCTGTAGGCCTTTGTTTTCCAATGGTGCTATATTCTGTTTTCAAACACTTCACTGAACCCAGCTGTCTTGCAAACTTTCAGTGGTGCTGTCCCTGGATGGGGGCTACAAAAACAAGAATTGGTGAAGATCTTGCTCTTCAGTGCTGAAAATGGATGATGGACTTTGGCTGTGAGCCAGGCCTAGGATGGTTCTTGTCCTATATCCACCTAGTCTTCACCTGGGGCTATAATTCTGTCCTGGAAAAAGAACTCTGAAAACCTGGGTCAGGGGAATGATTCCTAAGGAAAACGGTCTGCATTTGAGCTCTGGTTTGAAAGTAGCCAAGGGGACTGATGGTGGACACTCCAGATGTGGTTGGAAGCATATGTGGGGAGGCTGGCTGGTTGAGTTTTGTTATTTTCTGTATAGAAAGGTTGAGATATATCAACACTTGGAATTGTTACCCATCTGCAGAATTGACTTCTCAAATAAAGATGCTAAAAATCTCCTTGTCTGGAATTATGTTTAAAGATCTTAAGTGGGGTCTTAGGCTGCTTTTTTGAGATGGGATCTTGCTCTTGTCGCCCAGGCTGGAGTGCAGTGGCGTGATCTCGGCTCACTGCAACCTCTGTCTCCTGGGTTCAAGAGATTATCCTGCCTCAGGAGGCTCCCAAGTAGCCAGCACTACAGGCTAATTTTTGTATTTTTGGTGGAGACGAGGTTTCACCATGTTGGCCAGGCTGGTCTCGAACTCCTGACCTAAAGTGATCTGCCCACTTTGGCCTCAGGAAGTGTTAGGATTACAGGCGTGAGCCACTTCACCTGACTGCCTGGAGCATTTCTGTGTGCGATAGAGGGTTTCAAAGGCAGAAACGAGCCCACCAGTCCAAGGATGCTGGTGGTGAGGGCACTAGTATTAATGTTAGACCTGTTGTGCTCTCACTGGTGTCTAGGGGTCAGGGCTCACTTGAGACTGAACTGCCTCTGACCTGACTCTAAGTACCAGTTAGGATCTGAATTCCAAACAATGCCTGCCCTATATCACCACCTCAATTTAGTAGTCATGACACCCATAGGGCTGCTTTTGTTGCACTGGAGGCAGAGGAAGCGATGGCCGGCCCCTAAATTCAACCCAATTTTTCAGACTAAGTAAGTTTTTCTGGGCTGGTCACAGTAACTCATGGTTGCAGGATCTCTGGCTTATCCTGGCTGTGGAGTTTCTTCCTGATGTTGCCCTTGCAGTATATGTTCCAGGTCCTGAGGCGCTTTGCCCCCTTTTCTTGGTCAGGACAGTCACGATGTAGTTTACTCCCAGGCACTTGACCTTCTCTGGTTGGCACTGGGATCTAGGGCTAGGCACAGTATCTAAGCTAGATCTCACATGTGACCCCTGGTTGGGGGAACAACCTTGGGCTGGGGACCTATCCCAGAATCAAAGTACATAAGGCCTCAGGAGCTTCCTGTTTATGGGTACATTGAGAACCTGAAAGGTTTCCTGGCAGAAATACTGAGGAAACGGATTTAAGTTTGGCAATAAAACTGGCTTTACCAAAAAAAGCAGTGGGAACTAGTGGGAATTTAAAGTTGCTTTAGTGGGAATTAATGCCCCCTAGTCACCTTTCGGAGAACTTCATAAGTGCCAGACAATATCACAAATACCTGACAAACTCATTTAATCCTTAATCTGTTTTACAAAAACAGAAGAGGTACAGAAAAGTTAAGGACTTAACGGGAGGTGGTAAAGCTGTGGTTGGAACTGGTTTTCTGTACTCAACTGCTAGATGCTTCTAGACCCAATGTCAGAACATGGAGTAGTAAACCTGTAGGTCTGGAAATAGGCCCCAGTCCTGTGCATGTTCAGATGCTCATCTCCACATTCACTTGGGTTCAGAAACTCACTGGGGGCAAGTCAGAACTGTGGTGAGGGCCCAAACCCTCATCTCTATCCTTGACTCCACTGAGGGGCTCTTCTGTACGAGGTGGGGGATCAGCAAAGCCAACTGCGGGGGTGAGGAAGCTGGCTTCCAGTGAAGATGTGCTGGACACCTGTGGAACAGGAGAAGGCAGGTTTTGAGCAAAAATGTAAAGGTTAAGCACACAGGTTTTGGAGTTAGTTAGGCTTCCTTAGAGTCTCACTTACTGTGAACCAAGTTAACCTGCTCCTGCTTTGATTTCCTTATCTGTTACATAGTAGGACTTCATAGAGATGTGAGGATCAAACAAGAAAGCATTGGTAATGACTGGCACACAGTGGTCAATAAAGGCTGGCCGTTAGCCATACCAGCCACACCGGTATGTGTAGCTGTGGTGTCCCTAGCTGCAGCTGGGCCCTCACCGGAGGTGGGTACTGGTACTCATGGACACTTGCTGGATTGATCTCTGCCAGTGTCTGTACAGCTGCATCTCTTGCATTCACCAGCCGCAGAAAGAGCTCAGCCTGACCTGCCTGGGGAGAGATGAAATGGTATTGCACTTGTACTTTGCTGTATGCCCAATCCCTGCGCACCACACTCACCTGAGGAATCCCATTCAGCTGCCCAAGGCTAAGGCTGGGGTCCAGAGGAAGGGCCCGAAGTGGGAGGCGCCAGCGGCCACTTAGCACCCGCTGATCTTGGTCAAATAGTCCAAGTGAGACCCAAGCCTTTGGCTGTGGTGCCCTAGCCCATGCTAGCCCCTGCCAGACCTGCAGCTCACAGACCAAAGATACTGATGATGAGGGTGGTAGTCTGTAGAATAACCAAAAAGCAGTGTCGGAAGCCAGAGCTACAGTCCCTTTCTAGGACTTAGCCCTTTAGAGCCAGCGGCCTCTGTATACAGATGAGAAAACTTAGCAGAATGGTGGATAAGCCTCAACTGTGGCAGAGTACCAGAGTCATGATCCCCACCTACTGACCTGGGCACAGGCTGCCTGCTGGCAAGGATGGCACAGTTGCCCATGGGCCCGGGAGCAGGAGGTGGGGGCAGGCAAAGGGCTGGGGGCAACGCTGTGGTCCTTCCTGTATCCCGTCCATCGCGTGCCAAGCCAGTCCTTAGTTGCACCCAAATCCAGGAAGCCTCAAGGCCCCGCAGGAAATCATAGAAAATGACCAGGCCAGCCCTGGGGAACACAAGTCTTAGCACAGAAATACCCAACTCCTTTCAACCTCCCTCCTCTCAGGCAGGTCCCTAACCCTATCTGGTCCTAGTGGGCTCCCTTAACCAGCAGTGCTGGCCAAGTCACAGAGGCTGTCGAAGGTGGCACGGGCCTCACCCAGGATCATAGGGTGCAGGGCCCAGCATGTCCGATGTGGGCAGGAGGAAGTGTGAGTCCAGGCCCAGGTTTCTGGTCATTGTTCCAGGAAGCTGTGGCTGTGGGGAAGAGAGCTGACTCCTCCAGAAAGCCTTGTAGCTGCTCATGTTCCCCCAACTGCTCAGAGCAGAGCTGCCTCCAACCTGTTCCCCCAACCCACCCCGTGTCCTCACAGCCTTTGCCCCACCCAAGAACTGAACCTCCGAGAAGCCTGGAAGTGGTGGCAGCGGTGGTGCCACCGGTGGCGGGAGGAGTGGGGGATCTCTCCTCCCCTTCGGTTGTAGGCTGGCATCCCCCAGGAGTCGCAGATCCTGGGGCCCTAGGAGCAGAAGAGTTAGGGTGCCCCTAAGTTGGACAAAGCAGGTAATTAGCTGAGATACCCCTCCCCCAAGAGTTGGGCCCACAAATGGGTTGGCGGAGCCCTGTGGATACAGGGATACACACGTGCAGACATGAACTAGGGGAGTCACAAACACGGGTCTTGTTCCCCATGCACTGTCTGCCTGAGCCAGGCCTGCTGGGGAGAGATAAGTGGGATGGGATAGGGTTGGGGTGCTCACTGACCCAAGGGTGCCCGACCCCTCTGCATTTGCAAGGCCAAGATTTCTGCCTCCAAGCGCCGGTTTTCAGCCTCCACTACTGGAAGCTCCCCTGAGGTGGCACCTGCCCTTCCTGCGATGAACAAGTGTGACCTGTCACCTTTGACCTCTGGTGACTGGCCGCGTCCGGCTGTGAGCAGCTCTCCAGCGCTAAGGCTCTTCGGATAAGGCTGGACTTGTCAGCTCACATGCCATCCACAGCCACAGGCCCTCCCTCGAGTTCTTTTCTCCTCCCAGGACTGACCACCGCTGGCGAGAGGCCCTCCTGTTCACCTCTGCGGGTCTGCGACCGCTGCAGCTCCAGTGCAGACGCCTCCACCTGCAACTGCCATATCTGGCCCAGCACGCCGGGGTCCCGGCCCCCGTCTCGAATGTAGGCCTCCCGCAGCGCCCTAGGGAGTGGGGAACAGGAAGGCCGTCTTTCCAGAACTGCTCAGCGCTTCGCCCTATGCCCATCTCCGGCCCCGGCTCTCACCGGATTTCGGCAGCCAGAGTTCCCGGGTTGGCCTTTTGCACTGGAGAATAAAGTTCTGCCTCTCGCCGGGAGCTCAGCGGGTTCCTGGGGTGGCAGGCGACGCGCAGGGAGACGGTAACGCATCAGAGGCCCCGGGGCTGCAGCCAGCCCGCCCCTCCCACCCCGGAGCCGCATGTTCCGGGGATCCGCTTAGTCGGGTCTCACCCTGGCTCCGCCTGCAGCTCCTGAATGCGGGCCCCCAACACCTCTAGAGCTCCCCGCGTCCTCCCGGCCTCAGCTTGTAGTTCTCGAATCTCCTGCTCCAGGCCGAAGAGGCGGGACATCCCGCCCCGCGTACAGGCCACAACTTGGAGGCGTCGGCTCAGTTCTGAGGGAATGCGGGCCGAGTCAGAACCGGCCCGAGCAAGCTTAAGCCAAACGGCGAGGGCAGAGGAGGTCCTTGGTCCCCGTCCCCCATCTCCTTCACCCTCGCCGCGTAGCTGCAGGGCCCGGCTCTGCGCTTCCATCTCCGCCACGCGCCTCGCGCGAGTCCTGAACAGCGCCCGCAGCCGCTCGCTGGGGCTTCCCACCGCCTCGGACATGGGACTCTGAGGCCGCGCCTCGGAACGTGTCCAGGGCCCCGCGAACACCCTGGGGACCTCTGTTATCCAGGGCCGCATTTCCTGTAGGGATAGCCGCAGCCACTGCACCTGGAGGTAACAGCGATCCGCGATCTCTGCGTGGGCAGAATCTGTCCCAAGTATGATCTACAGGTTTGGGGAAGACGCTCAACGTTTTGAGCCCTGGGGGAAGGTAGGTAGCTCTACCTCCTCTGTTAACCTCTTTAGAGCAGATCTACTGGCCTGCTGGTCTGGGAGGCCCTGGGGTTCTTGTGGCACGCCCTGGTGTTCTTGTGGCACAACCTGGGGATAGGGTGTAGTAGGATGAGGAATCATAAAGGTCCTGGCTCCTTTGAATCCCCACCCATGGCCATGGAGGCCCTTACCGCGGCCCGCTGGGGTTCAGTGGCAACTGATGCCTGTGCTCCAAATGTCATCTCTTGGGTCGGGTGGCCAATGCAGAAGCGCTGAGTATGGGTGGCTAACAGAGCTGAGGAGCGGAAAACCATGTCACAGGTCCCACAGGGCAGGAGCGCAGGCTCCCCAGAGTGGGAGTCCATGGGATGGGACCCGTTTCCTGAAACCAGCCAAGACCTGCAGAAGGGATCAAGGGCAGGGGAAAGGCAGAGGAGGATGAAAGAGACATAAAGCCAGAGGCAGAGAGGAAAGGCCGTGTCTATTAGGTCTGTGAGATCTTCAAGTTTGTTTGGGGAGAGCCTTAGCTCCCTGGACAGCAACCACAGGGCTGGGCAGGTCAGGAGAATGGGTGGGGAAACCTCGGCCGTTTGGGAGGAGCCACTGGCTTGAAAAAGTGTTACAAAGTCTGAACGTGGGCAAGTCTCTAATTGTAGCTTGGTTTCCCTGACTATTAATAAAGAGGAAAAAGCAGCTGCCTCCTAGACTAGGCTGGGCCCTTATCACTTACTACATCATTGGTCATTTAATAGCCTCTAAAAGGCAAGTGTCATCTTTTTCATTGCTGTACTCCCAAGTGGATGTAACAGTTTGTACCATTCTCCAATCCAGAGAACTACCTGGCAAAGGAGGCACTCTGACCTTTCCAGCATTCTGCCTGGAAACCATGTCGCACCAGGGATAGCAGTCTCCCTAACTCCCATTCCCTGATTCCTCATTTTTCAGCTGTAGACGAAGATAATCAGCACAGCCCAAGAAATGAAAGCTGTGGGCGAACAGAATGAATCTATCAGATGAGGGAATCAAGTCCAGAAAAAAACCCCTTCTCTCTCCCAAGATTGGCCAGAAGCCAGAAAGACCCTGAACTGTTGGTGAAATTCTTCACTCCACTCCCACTCCCAAAATATATGGAGGAGCTCTGAGGTGACCGCATATTTCTTAAGAAACCCTCTTTACTTTTTTTTTTTTCTTTTTGAGATGGAGTCTCGCTGTCGCCCAGGCCGAAGTGCAGTGGCGCGATCTCAGCTCACTGCAATGAGCTCTGCCTCCTGGGTTCACGCCATTCTCCTGCCTCAGCCTCCCAAGTAGCTGAGACTACAGGTGCCCACCACCACGCTTGGCTCATTTTTTGTATTTTTTAGTAGAGACGGGGTTTCACCATGTTAGCCAGGATGGTCTTGATCTCCTGACCTCGTGATCTGCCCGCCTTGGCCTCCCAAAGTGCTGGGATTACAGGCGTAAGGCACTGCGCCCGGCCAAGAAACACCCTTTTCTCTTCTTTTTTTGAGACAGTCTCGCTCTGTTGCCCAGGCTACAGTGCAATGGCACGATCTCGGCTCACTGCAAGCTCTGCCTCCCAGGTTGACACCATTCTCCTGCCTCAGCCTCCCCAGTAGCTGGGACTACAGGCACCTGCCACCACACCCGGCTTTTTTTTTTTTTTTTTTTTAGACGGAGTCTCGCTCTTTCGCCCAGGCCGAAGTGCAGTGGCACTATCTGGGCTCACTGCAAGCTCCGCCTTCCGGGTTCAAGCCATTCTCCTGCCTCAGCCTCCCGAGTAGCTGAGACTACAGGTGCCCACCACTGTGCCCGGCTAATTTTTTTTGTATTTTTAGTAGAGATGGGGTTTCACCGTGTCAGCCAGGATGGTCTTGATCTCCTGACCTTGTGATCCGCCCGCCTCGGCGTGCCAAAGTGCTGAGATTACAGGCGTGAGCCACTGCGCCCAGCCTTATGCCTGGCTAATTTTTTGTATTTTTAGTAGAGACGGGGTTTCACAGTGTTAGCCAGGATGGTCTCGATCTCCTGACCTCGTGATTCCCCCGCCTCGGCCTCCCAAAGTGCTGGGATTACAGGTGTGAGCCACCATGCCTGGCCGAAACTCCCTTTTCTAAACAAGACAGGGACTTAAGACATTTCCCTACTCAGTACCTAAAGCCAAGGTATGACCCACCAGCAGCAAGTTACAAAGTGTTCAAAGTATGTCATCTCAGTTCAGCTTAATTCCAACTGACATAAAGAGTACATTTTTAGAAATATGTTCTCAGAAAACAAGTAAATGGCAAAGCCCAAATCAAAACCTCCTTTTCAACAACTAAGTTTGTCCCAATTTTCAATGGTTAAGACTTTTGACTGGTTGACTTTACAATGGTGCAACAGTGATAGGCATTCAGTAGAAATACTACTACCATTTTTTTTTTTTTTCCCTCAAGAGACAGCTTGTAGTTCTCTAATCTCCTGCTCTAGGCCGAAGAGGCGGGAGCAGGACTGTCATCCAGGCTGGATTGTAGTGGTGCCATCATGGCTCACTGTAGCCCTGAACTGCCTTGGAATCAAGCAATCCTCCTGCCTTAGCCTCCCAAGAAGCTGGGACTACAAGTGTGTGCTACCACGTGGACCTGTCTATTTTGTTTCTGTTTTTGAGACAGAGTCTTGCTCTGTTGCCCAGGCTGGAGTGCAATGGTGCAGTATGGGCTCACTGCAACCTCTGCCTCCTGGGCTCAAGCAATTCTCCTGCCTCAGCCTCCTAAATAGTTAGGATTACAGGTGCTTGCTGCCATGCCTGGTTGTTTTTTTTTTTTTTTTTTTTTGAGACAGAGTCTCACTCTTTCTCCCAGGCTGGAGTGCAGTGGCGCTATCTCAGCTCACTGCAAGCTCTGCCTCCTGGGTTCACGCCAATCTCCTGCCTCAGCCTCCCGAGTAGCTGGGACTACAGGCGCCCGCCACCATGCCTGGCTAATTTTTTGTATTTTCAGTGGAGATGGGGTTTCACCATGTTAGCCAGGCTGGTCTCGAACTCCTGACCTCAGGTGATTCACCCGCTTCAGCCTCCCAAAGTGCTGGGATTACAGGCGTGAGCCACGCCTGGCTGGACCTGACCATTTTAATGTTTTTGTTTTTTATAGAGACAGGTCACTGTGTTGCCCAGGCTGGTCTTGAACCCCTGTCCTTTTCTTACATCACTGTCTATTCTCTCCCCTACTGGGCTGGGCACTCCTTGCATCCTCAGAGCCTTGCATAATGCCTGGGACATACAACACGGGCTTAGAAAGTATTTGTTGAATGGGCCGGGTGCGGTGGCTCACGCCTGTAATCCCAGAACTTTGGGAGGCCGAGGTGGGTGGATCACAAGATCAGGAGATCGAGACCATCCTGGCAAACACGGTGAAACCCCATCTCTACTAAAAATACAAAAAATGAGCCAGGCGTGGTGGCAGGCGCCTGTAGTCCCAGCTACTCAGGAGGCTGAGGCAGGAGAATGGTGGGAACCCGGGAGGCGGAGCTTACAGTGAGCTGAGATCGCTACTGCACTCCAGCCTGGGTGACACAGTGAGACTCCGTCTCAAAAAAAAAAAAAAAGTATTTGTTGAATGAAAAAACCTGCTTCCTTCACTAGCCATTCAGCTACCATCGTCCAACTCTCCCCCAACCCCCACTCCAAGTTCTTATTTAGTAGGAAAACAGAACAGACTTCCCTTAAAATACGTACACTGGTAAATACATGGGCACTAAAAAACAGTTTCAGGAAAAAAAAAAAACTTGGTTTCTGACTTTATTACTGGTAATTTATTGCACAGGTTTTTCTGCATCAAAAAAGTATCTGCTAAAATAGAGAAACAGTTGTGTCTGAATTCACATTTCCCCCCAACTTCTAAAAATATTTCCCCTAAAAAAGAATCCACTCATCTAATTTTAAAGAAAATATACTTCTTACACAAGACAATCCAAACTGATGCAAAATATTTATTCCAAGTTAGTTATTTTATGCAGTAGTTTCCCCCTCGAGACTTGTGATAACCACATCTTTTAAATCTGTAAATAATGTTATCAAAATAATCTTAATCTTTGAAATCTCACAAAAATTTATATTTTACAATCCACCCTGAATATCAAGGCTGCAAGAATAACACAACATTTCCTATATCCAAATATTTTACAGCTGTACCCAAAAAGGAAAAAGAAAAAAAAAACAAAAAAAAACAACCAAAAAAACCCACATATGCTTGGTTAAGGGCTAAAGTTACCCGAGCAGCCAAAAATAAAATAAAATATCCAAATTATTAGCATTAATTTAATACAATTATAACTTCAATAGTCACTTTGTCATTGACAATGATTGCTTGATCACAGGGGTGAGTGCCCCAAGGGCTGGTAGTAGAAGCTGTTGCTGCAGACCAGTGTCTCCTCTTCCCTGCACTGCCAGCTCCTACCTGTGCATCGCCCCATATATACTGGGTGTGTATGTGTGTGTGTGTGTGAGTGTGTTTAAAAAATCTGTCCCACCACACAAACTTCTCTCTATAAAGCAGATAACAGGGAAGAACAATAACAAAAGCAAAACAAGCCAATTGCTCTCTCTTTGGGATATGATTATTTCCCTTGTGAATGAAGTATTCAACAACATAAGAAAAGGAAAAGAACGATTTCTTTTGTATACTCCCTAAACACACAGAGTTTACTGGGTCAGATTTAACTGTGAGCATTTATATGCCTACTTCCAGGCATCGTCATCTGATGTTTCACTGCTACTGGTTTCGGTGTCTGAGTCCTCAAACTCTGCTTTGCAAGTGCTTCTCCAAGGGGAGAACAGACTGGAACTGCGGCTCTGCAAGAAGCCATTCTTTCCAAAGCCATTTCTTCTCAGCTATGGTTAGCATGGGAGAGAAAGAAAAAAGAAAAAAATATCAATGACTGTACTGACCCATAAGCCCTGGGAAAGGCCAGGCCTCAATTCAATTCTAGGTAGAATGTGGGGCGGGGGGTGCTTCTAAGAGACCCTCTGAGATCTCTTATACCAGTACTTTTCAAATTTTAATTTACGAGTCATCTACGCATCTTTCAAAAATGCAGATTCAGATTCAGAATGTCTGGGATGGGGCTTGAAAGTCCTTATTTCTTTTTATTTATTTATTTTTTTGAGACGGAATCTCGCTCTGTCACCCAGGCTAGAGTGCAATGGCACAATCTTGGCTCACTGCATCCTCCGCCTCCTGGGTTCAAGCGATTCTCCTGCCTCAGCCTCCCAAGTAGCTTGGATTACAGGCGCACACCACCACGCCTAGTTAATTTTTGTATTTTTAGTAGAGATGGGGCTTCACCATATTGGCCAGTATGCTCTTGAGCTCCTGACCTCGTCATCTGCCTGCCTCGGCCTCCCAAAGTGTTGGGATTACAGGCGTGAGCCACTGTGCCCAGCCATAAGTCCTTATTTCTAACAGAGTTCTAAGTGGCAAGGTCTCACATCAGCTTGTGCCATGCCCCTTTTAAGGACTTGGCCAATTGTGCTGTAAATACAGGCCACCAGAAGTTCAAGGATTTTTATAGAAACCCCATTTGTCTTGTTCACCCTAAGATCTAGCAGTGTTTTATTCAGAGAAAGAATCCAAGCAACTGCTGGATAAACTGACACAAGCTATTTAGCTTCTTAGCTCTGGCCAGAGGACCAGGAAACTACAGTGCAGATCAGGAAGCAGAGGAAGGTGAACCTGCTTCCTTAAAGACCAAGAGCTCAGACCATAGCTCTGGAACACAGCCTTGTGGTTCTGATAAGGAGTTAGAGCTGTTAGGATGAAAGAGCATACTATTTTTTGGAATCTGCTAATCACTGACACTTGGTTTTTGTATATAACACTGGGGATCCTTATTTCCCAGGCAGATTTAGGGGCCCCACTACATTTCTACTAAGGTAATCCCCCCCCCCCCCACCCGATCTTTCTCTCACATTAAACTTGCTCCCTCAGGGCAAGAACTGTCTTGACTCCTTATTCTCCTGGTTACTAACTGGTCTCTAGGAAGAAGGTTTACAACATACCTGCTCTGTCTTCATGTGGAACTCTTTGAGCTCATCCTCTGTGAGGGGAAGGCAATTCTCATCATTTTCAGGATATTCCTGCCAACCCATAGCTTTCAATAACCTGGTGGACGCAGAAGGACAGGTAAAGAGAATACAACATCACTAAGCCTAAGTGAACAGCCCACCACTTTTCACAGAAAAGTTTTCTGCCCAGGGGCAATGGATGTTAAAGAAGGAATTTTGTTTTCCTCCCTGTGGGACAAGCTTTAATTGTGGCTACCTGGGTGCTGTAAATAAATGGAGGCTCTTCACAGTTGAGAGAGGAAGAGCTAAAGAAGAGACAGTAGAAGCAAAACCAAGACAGTGTAAGGAAGAAAGAGAGCACTTGCAGTCTGGCTTTTTTTTTTTTTTGGGATGGAGTCTCACTCTGTCACCCAGGCTGAAGTGCAGTGGTACAATCTCAGCTCACTGCAACCTCCGCCTCCCGGGTTCAAGCCATTCTCCCGTCCCAGCCTCCCTAGTAGCTGGAATTACAGGCGCACACTACCATGCCCAGCTACTTTTTGTATTTTTGGTAGAGACAGGGTTTCGCCATGTTGGCCAAGCTGGTCTCAAACTCTTGACCTTGACTGATCCACCCACCTCAGCCTCCCAAAGTGCTGGGATTACAGGCATGAGCCACTGCGCCCGGCCTGAAGTTAAAAGTATTAAAGTATTGGAGAGTAGATTGTGGAAAAGATGGCTGAGTTTGAGAGAGAATGCTTGATGAGCAACAGGCCAACCTGGGGCATACACAGAGAACAAGTTATGACTGGGCCACTTCTCTCTGCATGTGGGACCTATCTATCTGAGATATCTTCTCCAGTATGTTCAAGGTCCTTAAAGGTCAGACACTGCATGCCCTGTGATGTCCTCCTCACTTACCTGTGCTCTGCTTCTAGAGAGTGTGAGAGAACCTCCCCTTCTTCCACTACAGGGAGGGCAAGACCATTTTGATGACAGCCTTCCTCCCCATTTTCCTTTGGTTCAGGTGTGCTGTTGTCCTCCAACTGCAATAAGGAAAAGGAAGGACACAGTTGGTTTAAGGTTCCTTTGTAGTAATATAAGCAACCTATGAAATCAAGGACTCACGACCCAGGAAGTGTTTTCCAAAAGACAGCCTCAGCCCACAGATTTTTTTCCCCATTTACAAATGAGGACCTGCTGCATCAACAAAACTGATTCTAAAGTTTTAATGAAAAGGCAAAAGATCCAGAACAGCCAACACAATACTGAAGAATAAAACCAGAGTACTGATATTACCTGACATCAAGACTTACCACAAAAGCTGGAGTAATTAAAACAGTATGGTAACAGTGCTCATAAGAGGTGTGGGGGGAAAAAGTGTGGTACTGGCAGAAGATGACACAAATAGTCCAATGGGACAGAACAGAGAGCCCACAAATAGACAACTGATCTTTGACAAAGGAAATACAATGGAGAAAAGATAGTCTTTTCAACAAATGGTGAGGGAACAATTGGACAGCCACACTAAAAAAAAAAAAATCAATCTAAACAAAGACCTTACAGCCGTCACAAAAATAAAGTCAAAATGGGTCACAGACCTAAATGTAAAACACAAAACTATAAAACTCCTATAAGGATAACATAAAAGAAAACTTAGATTACCTTGGGTATGACATTTATTTATTTATTTATTTGTTTATTTACTTACTTATTTTTGGAGATCAAGTCTCACTCTGTTGCTCAGGCTGGAGTGCAGTGGCGCGATCTCGGCTCACTGCAACCCCCGCCTCCCATGTTCAAGTGATTCTCATGCCTCAGCCTCCCATGTAGCTGTGACTATGGGTGCATGCTACCATGCCCGGCTAATTTTTCTGTTTTTAGTAGGAACGGGGTTTCGCCAGGTTGGCCAGGCTGGTCTCAAACTCCTGACCTCAGGTGATCCGCCCACCTCAGCCAACCAAAGTGTTGGGATTATAGGTTTGAGCCACCGTGACTGGCCTACAATTAATTAGGCTGGATTTCATTAAAATAAAAAAAATTTCTGCTTTGCAAAACACTCTGTCAAGAGAATTAAAAGACAGTGTAGTTGCTCACACCTGTAATCCTAGCACTTTCGGAGGCCAAAGGTGGGAGGACTGCTTGAGTCTAGGAGTTTAACACCAGCCTGAGCAACATAGCAAGAAGCTATCTCTGTACCAAACAAAATATTAGCCAGGCATGGTGGCACAAGCCTATAGTCCCAGCTACTCGGGAGGCTGAGGCTGAGGCATAGCTTGAGGAGGGGAGGTCGAGGCTGCAGTGAACTGTGATCATTAATGCCACTGCATTCAGCCTGGGCGACAGAGTGAGACACTGTCTCAAAAACAAATATGGCCGGCTGGGCATGGCAGCTCATGCCTGTAATCCCAGCATTTTGGGAGGCTGAGGTGGGTGGATTACCTGAGGTCTGGAATCCGAGACCAGCCTGACCAACATGGTGAAACCTTGTCTCTACTACATACAAAAAAAATTCCAGAAAATAGTATACTCTTTCATCCTCACAGGTCTAATTCCTTATCAGAACCACAAGGCTGTGTTCCAGAGTTATGGTCTGAGCTCTTGGTCTTCAAGGAAGCAGGTTGGCCTTCCTCTGCCTCTTGTTCTGCACTGTAGTTTCCTGGTCCTCTGGCCAGAGCTAAGAAGCTAAATAACGTGTGTCATGTGGTGGCACATGCCTGTAATCCCAGCTACTTGGGAGGCTGAGGCAGGAGAACTGCTTGAACCTGGAAGGCGGTGGTTGCAGTAAGCTGAGATTGCTCCATTGCACTCCAGCCTGGGCAACAGAGTGAAACTCCATCTCAAAAAATAAAGTAATACAAATAAATAAATATGGCCACATGTGGTGGCTTATGCCTTTAATCCTAGCACTTTGGGAGGCTGAGACAGGCAGAACACTTGAGGCCAGGAGTTCAAGACCAGCCTGGCCAACATGACGAAACTCCATCTCTACTAAGAATACAAAAATTAGCTGGGCGTGGTGGCGGGTGCCTGTAATCCCAGCTACTCAGGAAGCTGAGGCAGGAGAATCGCTTGAACCCGGGAAGCGGAGGTTGCAATGAGCCCAGATCGTGCCACTGCACTCCAGTCTGGGTGATAAGAGCCAGACTCTGTCTCAAAATAAATAAATAAGAAAGAATGAAGAGTCAAATCACAGACTTGGAGAAACTGTAGTCAAAGACACATCTAATAAAGGACTATTAACTAAGATATACAAAGAACTCTAAGAACTCTTAAAACTTAGCAATAAGAAAACAGACAACCTCATTAAAAAATGGGTAAGGGACCTGAACAAACACATCAACAAAGAAGATACATAGATGGATGCTCCACATGATATGTCATCATGGAAGTGCAAATTAAAACTACACACCTATCAGGAGGGCCAAAATCCAGAACACTGATAATATCGAATACTGGTGAGGAGGTGTAGCAACAGAAATTCTCATTTATTGCTGGTGGGAATGCAAAATGGCACAACCACTTTGGAAGACAGTTTGGTGGTTTCCTGACAAGCTAAACATGCTCTTACCATATGATCCAGCAATTGCGCTCCTTGGTATTTACCCAAAGGAGTTGAACTTATGCCAGCACAAAAACCTGCACATGGATGTTTACTGCAGTTTTATTCATAGTTGCCAACACTTGGAAGCAACCAAGATGTACTTCAATAGGTGAGTGATTACTAAAATAAACCCGAATTTAACATTTTTGCTGAAAAAAGGATTAAACTCACTTTACTATGTGGTCTAGAAGGCAGTTACACCTACAGACAGTATCTCTGTACATTTAAAAATCTTGCCACATCTTTATCCTTTAAGAAGAAGAAATCACGTATGTATCAAAGGAAAATTCCTAGGCTACCCCCAGAAAAGGCGGATGCTCTTACATCTTCCAGCTTGTCACAGTCTCTATTCTCTGAGAAGTCTCCATTCCGGTCATCCTTCAGAGTTTTCAGGAACTCACTCTTCCTGTCGGTGGTTCGGCGGGTCAACTTGGTCAGACGAGAGGAGCTGATCTCAATTGGAGGGGTGGTGCTGGAGGGACTCTGGGCAAATACCACAAACAGGTTGCTCCTGACAGCAAAGAGCAAGAACTGGGGTTCTCTTCTACTAAGTGCTGACTTCAAGAATCTGGTAGCCTATTTATCACTCTGTCTTAAACCAAACAATCCTTTTATTTAAGCAGTTCAAACTTCAGTTTTGCAGGGTTTATATAGTTAAGAGCAGCTGGCTTACATGGCACCTCTTTGATCTTTCTACAGACATCAGCAGAATGCCAGTCTAACATAGGATGACCTTGGTCCACCACAGAGCATCTATCCCATTTAGCCACTGCCCACTTTTGGATGCTAACAGAAAACATCAATAAAGAAACTATTCTCAGCTAAATATAGCTACAAAACAAGTGTCACAGCTATACATATTACACTTGTTATCTAAGTGAACGGGAAATGGCAATTTCAGAAAAGACTGTCCTGCTTCATCCTCACTCACCTCTTTGGGAGAACTCAGAGCTGCACCACTAGCCAGTACCACTGGTTTGGTAACAGAGATTGGACTGGTAAAAGCAGACTCCCGGCTAGAGGAAAGGGATCCTGACTTGTGCTCCATCCTGTTAGCTTTCCATGCATTAGGCTACACAGGGTGAAAGAACAAATCAGTCAGAACAAGCACACAAACAGAAGCTCAGCTTATAAAATCATAAAGCAAAGAGTGAAATGTTACATGAGAACATAAGTTTCCAGGGCTTACCTGTCTTAACATGTTTGGGAAGTATGCAACCTCTTTCGGAGGTTAGGCACTTCAAGGAAAATGGTAGATGGGATACAGAAGAGCCATTGGACATTAATAGTGACTTCCCAAAAACAGGGCTCTAGTTCAATAGTTCAATGAGTTTGGGAGGTGCCGGGGTGAAAAAAGTTCAACAAGGTTCTTCACTGTGCAATTTCTCAAAGCACTTAACTGCACATAAGAATTTGAGAGGCAGTTATGCAGCATTTTCCTAATTTATTGAATCCCAAAACTTTTTTTAGTAGTGTTTGTTAACTTTGGATGTAATCCTGATAGCCCACAAAGTGCATCACAAAATTGCTGCTTTCCAGGAACTCTGATGGCAAAAGGCTAGTTCCAGGCCAGGGTGGCTATTGTAAATGGTTGAACAATCCTGATTTATTTAGTCTGGAGGCCCGTCTACTCAACTCTGCAGGGTCTGGGCCCATTCTGTCACTCTGGCCATAACCCCAAGTATGATAGAAAGCTGGAATACTGAGTTACCACACTGTCCAAGGAGACCAAGGAAGATGTGGCAAGCCAGTGGAGTGGTGCTGAAGCAAATGAAAAACTTCCAACTTATTTTTCCAGAATGAAACACTTAGAACAGAGGACCTCCAGGACAAAGGGGCCTGAGTGAAATGGATTCCCTTCCTGGTTGCTTTCTTGATTGATGGGTATTAAAAGAAGACACAATAATAGCTTTAGGAAAGGAATTAACTTTACTATCTACCATGTACCAGGTGATGGTCAGTCTGTTTTATTTAATTCTTAAACCAATCAGGAATAATAATTGTTACGCTGACTTTTAATAGAGGATGACACTGACAATAAGGAAGTTCCACAATTTGTTCAAGGTTATTCAGCTAGTAAATGAAACCACCTTTCCACTATCCCAAAATGCCTCCACAAAGAACAAGCAAGCAGATAAGAGAAACGATGACCCAACCAGAATGAAGATTAATTTTTTTCTTGCATTGATAAAAATCTAAAGATGGTTGCTTGTGTCAGGTTAACTCTCAAAGATGATTTGTGGCTTCCCCTGAGTTGTAGTCACCAGATGTCCTGTCTTTAAAACAATGTCACTCCAGAGCACAGAAACACTTGGGTTTCTGCCACAGTAGTACAAAAGATTTACTCTGTTACATAAAACAGAATATCTATGTCTGTGCCAATTTTATTTCAACTTAATTTTCAGTAACTTAAACCCTATGAGATAGCTAGACTACCCCCTGGAAAAATCATTATGCCCCACACCTGTTTTTATTAGATGATTATACATGTAAAAGTCCATTAAAGTGAATTGTATAACCAGTTTTTTTTGTTGTTGTTTTTTAAATGTTCTCTCCTTTTCCTCTAAATTCTGAATCAACCCTAGCTTGCTCCACTTCAGAATCTTCTTCTACTGGACTAAAAATTCTAAAATCACTGGGCTCAAACTTTCTCCCACCTCCTCTGCCGTTTGCCCCTCAAGTTCAAAGGAATGTCCTCCTCCCTTTCTAGCACTTTCTTCTCTTTCCTTTTGGGTTTATCAAATATGCTAATCCACCTTATTGAAATTAGGAGAAAAAGGCCAGACTTCTTATTTTCCCTCAATCTTATATACCACCTTCTTATTGCCAAACTTCTGAGTAAGTCAGTATACATTATCTTTCACTCGTTCATTAACTATTTACTGCTTAGTTCCCTGCAATACTCACCTCTATCCCCAATTTTAGTAAAACTCTTTCATAAATAACCAAAACTTTCATCCTTATATTACAAAGGCCAGCTCTAAAAAACCTGTCTTCTTTGGGAAATGCGATATTGCTCATTATGAATATTTTCTGAACCTGTCCCTTTTTCCCTTCTTGATTTCCTGATGCTTCACTCTCTCAGTTCTCTCTTTACCTCTTGAATTCCCTTCTTTTCAATGGATGTAAGTATACTAGCATTCCAGACTCAGTACTCTTCTTCTTCTGTAGTCTGTTGAACTAGGTGAATTTCATTAGAAAAAGCAATTACTTATAACTGTTTCAGTTTAAAATGTTAAAATTGTGTAGATAATATGTAAAATTGCATCTCTACCTACTTTAACTTCTCTCCTGTTCTTTTTATACAGGCCTCCATCAAGTCTGACTTCCCCATTCACTTTCACATACCAGCCATACCGAACCAATATGGTTCCTTTACTCCAAACATACCATATTCTGCATCCATTTTCTGGTTAACAACAGGTTCCCTCTGCCGAGAATGCCCTACCTACTTGCTTTCTAATGAACTACTGTACTACTGTTTTTAAACGTCCACTTACTGGGTAATTAGGATGTTTCAAAAACTATATTCCAAGTACTTGCTCCAATTTACTGTCAAGAAGAGTTTAGCAAAATCTAATAACTTGCTTAAGATCACAACCCTAGAAAGTGTCACAAAGATTTCAACTTAGTTAAGTTTGAGTCAAAAGATTAATTTCTCAACTTCCTCTTCTATTCTTCATCCTTCAAGACAGGAGGCATTCTGGAACAGTAGAAAGAGCCCTGGTTTTGAAGTCAGACCTGAGTTAAAAGCCTGACTCTATCACTTATTAGCTATGTAACCCCACAGTGTGTATTCTCTATATCCCAGGATTAAAAGAGTAAATGCTTTAATATGTGTAAAAGCCCTAACCAAGCAACATAGTAAGATGTCAACAAATGGCAGTTCTCTTTCCTTTATCATGTATTTGAATCCCAGTTATCCGTAAAGACTTTGATGACCCTCCCCAGGCAGAGAAGCACAATTTTTTTCAAATAACTCTTTCTTCACTAGACAGTAAACTCTTTGCGATTACAGGCCAAGTATTATTTTGTGTCTCTAGTGACACAGTGTTTACTACTCAGATACTCAATAATTATTGCTAATGTTTAGATAAAATGAATGGATAAATCAACATCTGCTTATTAGTTATCTTACCTCTTCCTCCCTCTAACATCTCATATCCTACGTACCCAGAACCACAATCACATTTCCTGAAACCTGACCTTCCATATTTACCCCAATTTTCCCAGGAAGAATGTCTTCTGTTTTCTTTTGCTGCCTAATTTGCCTCCCACTATCTGCCATTACCACCTCTGCCAACTGTTACCATCTCTGCCATTCTCTGCCAACTGTTACCATCCTCTTCAAGCTTCAAGAGCAGCAGCCTTTATATTAGTTTTCCAATCTTCATTCTACCCCTGACTCACAACAGGGCTAAAGTGATCTTAAGTTTTGTATCATAATTTTTATCCTTGTAAAAATTTTTTTACCTTTTGATTTATGAGATCCTTGAGGACACAATGACATTTTCTTACTCATTTTTATATTTTCTGTAGTCCTGCAGAATGCTTGCAGACATCTTAAAGTAACACTTAAGAAAGTCTTTATAAACTCTCAAGAAATGGGACAAACATAAGTTGTGCTGGCAGGTTGGTAACAATAGCTACCATTTATTGGCACTTATTATATGCCAGTTTTAGGTATTTCATAAAATTTTCTCATTTACTCCTCACAAAAAAAAGGGGGGCATTGTTATGTCTATTTTATAGAAGAAGAAACTGAGACTGGGAAGTGAAGAAACTTGCTCAAGGACGTAAGATGAAGAAGGTGTAAGGTGAAATCTGTCTATTCCATAGCCCGGCAGTTAACTTCCATGCTCAGCTGTTTCTTTGTAATAGTTGCTCTCTTCACTTGAATTCACATTCTTTCCCTTCTACATCAGAGGAAAATAAACCCTAAGTATCCTAAACCCTTTTCAAAGATAACTGTACTTGTCAATTAGTTTTATTCCCACATATTTCTTCTTGGCCCATAATCCTTTAATGATCTCTTCCAAGTACAGTTCAAGTTGCTTCCAGTGGCTTCTTCCAACAGACTTCCTCATCCATTCACTTATCTTTTCCACTGCCTATATTCTATCTAGTTCCTTTTACTGTCAAGGTTAAAAGGTGCCACTACCTCCACATATTTCCAAAAGCCCTTGAAATACTGTTTCAGCCCTACTTTATTCCCTAAAAACATCAACTCAAAAGTCTCCTAAGATAATCACTAAGGTTTTTTCTCAGTTATTTTCCTCAACTTGTTACCCCTGTTGCTATTGCAAACTCACCCACTTGTATTTCTGTGAGAGTTTACCATTTTTTTCTGAACTAGTTTCTCAGTACTATCCCATTCTTTACTCCTCTTCTATCCTCTTCTCTTCTTCCATCCTCTTCTCTTGTATATCTAATCTACCTTGAAAACTCCAATCATTATCACTAGGATAGTAACTCCCAGTGAATTTATTCAGAGGGTGAGCACGGTGGCTCACGTCTGTAATCCTAGCACTTTGTGAGGTCAAGGTGGGAGGATGGCTTGAGCCCAGAAGTTCGAGACCAGCCTGGGCAATATAGTGAGACCCCAATCACTATTTTAAATAAATAGATGAAAGAAAAGAAAGAAAATTATTCACAGAGAGGATGGCATGCGCCAGAAGAATAATTTCTTCCCGGGTAAGAGAAAAAAGGGGCAATAAGATGCAAAAGATGGATTAGAGTTTGGCTATGAGAAACTTCACAGACCTCTGCTTACTCTGCACACTGACTATAGGACTAGCACACTATGACCCATGGGCCAAATCTTGACCAAGGCATTTCTGTATGATTCATGAGCTCATACTTATTTTTACATTTTTAAAGAGCTGGAAAAAAAAAAGGCAATGTGTAACAAAAATCATATATATCAAGCAAAGCCTAAAATATTTATTATCTGGCCCTTCATAGAAAAAAATTACCAATCCCTGCCATACATTGTTTGGAGCCACTGAAGGAATTCAGGAAGGCATGTGATATATTCAATTGTTTTTGGAATGATCATTCTGGCAGTTCTGTAGGACACAGAGACATGAGAAAATAGAAAGGTATACTAGAACAGTAAATGTGAGAAGACAAAGTCCTGAACAAGGACAGCATAGAGAGAATAACAGGGACTTTGTAATTCCTTGGCTGAGGAGAATGACTAAGGAGGAAGAGAAGAGAAGTAGCCAAGATAGTCAAGCTGAGTGATTAGGATGTTGTTGCTATTACAGAAAACCAGAGGGGCCAGGTGTGGTGGCTCACGCCCATAATCTCAGCGCTCTGGGAGGCTGAGGCAGGAGGATTCCTTGAGGCCAGGAGATAGAGACCAGCCTGGGCAACAAAATGAGATTCTGTCTCTACAAAAAATAATTAAAAAAAAAAAAAAAAAAATGGCTGGGCGTGGCGGCTCACGCCTGTAATCCCAGCACCTTGGGAGGCCGAGGCGGGCGGATCACGAGGTCAGGAGATTGAGACCATCCTGGCTAACAACGGTGAAACCCCGTCTCTACTAAAAATACAAAAAAACACCGAGCCGGGTGTGGTGGCGGGCGCCTGTAGTCCCAGCTACTCGGGAGGCTGAGGAAGAATGGTGTGAACCCAGGAGGTGGAGCTTGCAGTGAGCTGAGATCGTGCCACTGCACTCCAGCCTGGGTGACAGAGCGAGGCTCCATCTCAAAAAAACAAAACAAAACAAAAAATAAAATAAATAAAAAAAATAGCCGGGCATAATGGCGTGCCCCTGTAGTTTCAGCTACTTGGGAGGCTGAGGTCACACTGAGCCATGATTGTGCCACTGCATTCCAGCCTGGGTGACAGAGTGAGACCTTGTCTCAAAAAAATAAAGAAAAAGAAAAAAAAAAAAGCAAAGAAAGCTGTATACATATAACAGGTACTGAAAGAATATCTGGTGACTGATGCGGCAAGAAAAAACAAATTTATTAATTTTTTCCTGATTTATTCCCAAACCTCTCTTGTATAAGGTTCTTGCCCTGATTCTAAATCATACCTTGGAAGGAGGTGGTACAGGCTTAGGAACCAGGTTCTTATAGACACTTGGAACCACGGATGACAATTTGTTCCCATTTGCATGGTGAGATCCTGGTGAGGTGAATGCAGCAGAGAAGGCAGCAGCAGGATCCTCTTTGGAAACTTTTTTGATAACTAGCATCTTGGAGGGTTGCTTGGCACTAGGCGGGTTTTCTGTGAAGTACAAGAGTGGAGAGACAACAGAATGTCAAACCTGTTGTGTAACATGAAGCATAGTTTATACAAAGGCCTTAGT
The DNA here is from genome assembly GCF_000001405.40 of Homo sapiens. NCBI lineage: Eukaryota > Metazoa > Chordata > Mammalia > Primates > Hominidae > Homo > Homo sapiens. The sequence continues at coordinate 45,640,486 of NC_000001.11, forward strand.
CAACAAAACAGCTGACAGTTGAGACAGAGGGATTAAACATTCCCTGGTATGCACTTAATAGATACTCTCAAAAGTGAGACTACTCAGGAACTGTACAAAAAAATGCAGCATATGAGGAACTGGATACTAAATTTATAAATCAGCCAGGAAGTCCAAAGATGTTAGCAGTCCTTCAGGGGCACAATATGTCTGATGGACAGTGTGATCAGTTAAGCATGAACCCAACAAGAATAAATCCAAGCGCCAGGCACTGTGGCTCATGCCTGTAATCTCAGCACTTGGAGGTGCTGAGGTGGGCAGATCACTTGAGTCCCAAGAGTTCGAGACCAGCCTGGGCTGGCAAACCCTGTGGCAAATCCCCATCTTTACAAAAAATACAAACATTAGCCAGGCATGGTGGTGCACACCTGTGGTCCCAGCTACTTAGGAGGCTGAGGCGGGAGAATCACTTGAGCCCAGGTCGAGGCTGCAGCGAGCCATGACTGTGCCACTGCACTCCAGCATGGATGACAAAGTCAGACCCTAACTCAAAAAAACAAAAACAAAACAAAAAAAAACACCTAAAAGTAGCAGCTCCTGTCAGCATGAGAATAGAGAGATGAGGTAATCAGGGATTGGAGTCTGCCATGAAACCCTCTGATGAGGCAAACTGGAGCAAAGGTATACACCATTAGCAAAGAGGAGAAGGTACATCGATCAATCTTAATCCTACAATACTGGATTCTAAACCCATCATTTAGATATGTTAAAGACTTCCCATGTTCTTGGCTATCAACATGTCTAATGAAGAAACCAGGAGAGTCCAATTTGTAAATGCCAAAGATCCCAATGCCACAGATGAGGTTTGGTTTGAAATACAGATTCCTATCGCACCACTGCACTCTAGCCTGGGCGACAGAGTGAGATTCTGTCTCAAAAAACAAAACAAAACAAAACAAAAAACCACAAACATATATATACACACACATACACATAAACACACACACACACACACACACACACGAATATTTAAACATACATATATATGAATGTTTAAGAATATATTGTTATGGGCTGGGTATGGTGGCTCACGCCTGTAATCTCAGCACTTTGAGAGGCCGAGGCAGGCGGATGATGAGGTCAAGAGATCGAGACCATCGTGGCCAACATGGTGAAACCCCATCTCTACTAAATAACAAAAATTAGCCGGGCGTGGTGGCATAGGCCTGTATTCCCAGCTACTTAGGAGGCTGAGGCAGGAGAAAAGCTTGAATCCGGGAGGCTGAGGTTGCAGTGAGCTGAGATCTCGCCACCGCACTCCAGCCTGGCAACAGAGTGAGACTCCATCTCAAAAAAAAAAAAAAAAAAAAGTAAGTGAAGTAGCAATGTTAATTAAGTTACTTTTCATGAACTTTTTCTACTTAAAATCTGCTTCCATGTTGGCTACGGTGGCTCATGCCTGTAATCCCAGCACTTTGGGAGGCCAAGATGGGTGGATCACTTGAGGCCAAGAATTCAAGACAAGCCTGATCAACATGGTAAAACCCTGTCTGGACTAAAAATACAAACATTAGCCAGGCATGGTGTAGTCCCAGCTAGGGAGGTGGAGGCTGCAGTGAGCTGAGATTGCGCCACTGCACTACAGCCTGGGCAACAGAATGAGACTGTCTCAAACAAACAGACTAACAAACACCACCAAAACAACTGCTTCCAAATTCACGGTTCTATAAGTTCTCAGTTGTCTGTATTTTGACTCTACTACCATGGTAACATTTCAGTGGTGTTTGGGGGTTGGGCGGTGGGGTAGGGGGCAGAATAACCCGCTACAGTCAGATGTTAGTTACCATGGGCAAATGCATGAGATGAGAAACAAGAGATAAAAAGAGATAAGGAATCTTTGCTCCCCTCCCTGCTAAGAAAAAATTTTAAAGTTGTGCCTTTAAAATGGCAAAATCTACCTACCCCATACTCCAGAAGGTGTCCCAATAGGTCTGCATGGCTGATGCTGTTTGCCAGCTTCTGGATTCAAGGAAGGCTAGGAAAAAAGGGATATGAATGGTTGATACAGAAAGCTGATCATTTTGGCACTTTTCACAAAGTAGCCATCACCATGGAACCTATCAAATAATTACATATTTTACATATTAGCAACACTTACTAATTTGACACTGTATTCAGAAACGTAACAAACAGAAAATATCAAAACACAAAATCAATAGGTATTATGTTAATATTAGGTTCTCCTGAGTTTCATTTCCTTTGATATAAGGGATTTCATTTATTTTAAATAAACAGACTAAATGTGCGAATTCCCACTTTCCTATAGGATATGTATGCCAAATAAGGAGGCACTGAAAGTTAGATGAACAAGAATGTGGATCATTTTCCTCAGATTAAAGGAGGACAATGTGGTCAGTGAAATGTATAGTATTCACTGCATTTCTAAGATGGGTGTAGGGCAGGGGCAGACCATATGCCAAGGACTGTGCTAGAAATACAATAAAGAGCCCCTGTCTTCACACGGGTCACAGTTTTGCTATAAAAACTTCTAGACAAGTTAAGTACAATAAAAGGTTACAAGGACGATGAAAAAAATTCATATTAGGGAAGAAGGAGTACTCAGTAAGAAACATCAATTCTACTTGAAAGAGAAGTGCTATCAGAAAAGGCTTTACTAACAGGTGATTTAAGAATCCTTAAAGATGAATTCCAAAGCTGGAAAAACGGTAATTCCAGGAACAGAAAGCATTAAAAAGAACAGAATATTCAGGTCTGCAAATAGTTCAGCATGAGTAGTGCTAGGGAAGGAGGGGACCCTTCTGTGGGGAAAGAGGTATCTGGCAAAGCAGGCAAGAGCCAGCTTGTGGAGGATTTCTTAGGGGAGATTAAGTTTTATTCTACAGGTAATGAGGATCCATCTTTCATGCAGTTAACATTATCTAATTATCAACTTACAACCGTCACTCTAGTAGCAGCTTAAAGGATGGATCTGAGGTATTTAAACATCAACTAAGAGACCATTAGGAGATCAATTCCATAGTCCGGGAGGGTAATAAAGGTAACAGAAGTAGAGAACGAGATAAGGGAAAGGGCAGGGAAGAGTTAAGAGCAATAGACTAGACTTAATAACTAATCGTATGACACTGCTGTCCTAGCCCAAACTTTACGATCTGGTAACAGGGTAGGAGAATGGCTTTTTTTTTTTTTTTTTTTTTTTTTTTTTGTGACAGAGTGTCACTCTGTTGCCCAGGTTGGAGTACAGTGGCACAATCCTGGCTCATTGCAACCTCCACTTTCCAGGTTCAAGCAATTCTCCTGTCTCAGCTTCCTGAGTAACTGGGATTACAGGTGCGCACCACCACACCCAGCTAATTTTTGTATTTTTAGTACAGACAGGGTTTCACCATGCTGGCCAGGCTGGTCTCGAACTGACCTCAAGTGATCCACTCACCTTGGCCTCCCAAAGTGCTGAGATTACAGGCATGAGCCACTGTGCCCAGCAGGAAAATGGCTTTTCAGCACAATTGCCTGTGAACATTATACAAACAACAAAAAGACACCCAGGCTCCACTACAGAGCTTCAGAATCAGAATCTCCAGGGGCAGGGCCTCTAGCAGGTATGTATTTTCCAAGCAATCAAGGTGAGAACCACTACAATAGGAGAACAAGCACAAATGCAAATGAAACTACCAACTCTCTATATAAGTGGACAAATCAGTGACAGATTTTCAAGGACAGGTAAATACATTCCTCTAGATGGAGTGGTAGAGGCAGAAGGAGTGCCCAGCCATAAAAGCTGTGGTTGTTTCCTTGTTTCATTTTAATAGGCATGTTGTACCCAGGGTTCTCAGAGACAATGCTCCTATTTATACAGTATCTTTGATCTCTTTCTACTGTTTTAAAAAATACAGTTTTAAAACTTGTAAAATATAAACAGGAAAAATATAAAACAAATGAATAAGTTAATGGGTAAAAGTTCTTTTAAACACTACATGGTTTAAGCAACATAACATTACCAGACAAACCAGAAAGACATTACAAATCTCATTAGAAAAAAACCCCAAAACTACTCATACTTATGGTGATCACTGCATTTTTTTTTTTTACTAACCCATTGTGTCTCCCTTGACACTATAGTTTTGTCTCCAAAAACAATCTCAGCTTTTAATCTACTAGTTTTTAGAAAATCTTAAGCCTCTTTCTATAAATTGGTAGTTGGTTCTAGAGGTTACAGAATCCTTAGTGGTTTTGTATTCTTCCATTAGGAGACACACACAAATAACATGTGGTTGTGCTTCTTTTAGTGATGCTGGCAGACACTGGTGCTCATAGCCTAAAACTGTCAGCTCAATACAAGATGCAAAAACAATGATCTAATTTTACAATTCTTTATAAAGTAGTATACTTCCATAAATAGGAACTTCCCCTATTTGGCAATTCAACAGTACAGTTCATATAGAAAAAATATGATACATGCTTGTTCCTAAGGTGAGGTAGGTATCATTGTGAATTCACAGATTTAAATCCAATTTGATGTGATTCAACCCTCGTCGTTATTATTATTAATTGATGCATAAAACTGTCCCATGTTTGGCCTATGGAACCCTCTTCAATTTGGCTTCTAAATCCTTTTGCTACAACCCTAAGTAGTTCTTTACTTCTTTGTTATCTAGTTTGAAAAAATATTCCAAGCTCTTCTTTTAAGTATGCTGTCTGGATAAACTATTTCAAGATCACAATCCAGGCAGTAGAGCCACTCATTGCTATGGGGTTGTTCACTGTTTTTATGTCTTTTCAGTGGACAGAACCGCCTAGAAGTATGTATTTTTCACTCCAAAGCTAAAACACCTCATAACTTATTACTGATATTCCCAATTCAAACTGAGTACCCTTGTGGATTTTACGGAACATCTATTTTACGTTTTTATTTCCTCCTACAAGAATCCTGATTCTCAAGCATACAAAGTATAGAATATCATATTTAATTGCTTTATTCCATATTATGCACAAGTTTCAGAATAGCAATGTCAGTATTTCACCAGTGACCAAAATGTTTTGTTTTTTTTGGACATGTTCTCCCCATCTTCCCACTTTAAAAAAGTTATACTATGTCCAGATTGTGAGATCATATAACTATCACATGCTAACTCTCTTTTAACCCTCATTTCTTCTTAGCTCTACAATTAACCATACATTTAGTATTTACCACCATTCCTTTTGTAATCTTTCTGGTTAGTTTGTCAGAAGCTTGTTCTTCAGTAGTTCTCAGGAAAAGTCTTGGGAACGATATTCCGAAGTTTTTTGTTTTTTTTTTTTTTGAGGCATTTTATTTGTAAATATGTATTGCATCCCTAGAAACAAAATCCAAGGATTTTCCCTCCTGTGTGTTTTCGTCTTGCTTCTTCATGGTCCATGATACCAGCTAAGGCTGTCAATATGACGAAGTCAAATGGTTGGGATAGAAGCAGATTGTTCTGCCGTTTTTCTAGATCTTTGAGTTGCAAATCAAAGCTGGGGCTCTACACTTGTTTAGCCTGCCTGTGAGGTTCACAATTTTCCCAGCTCTGTTATCATCAATGATTTCAAATTTGCCAATGTAACGATGCTTCATCATCACAGCTAGAAGTTGGACAATGACTTTGGAGCATGGCCTAGTAAGAACCGGCGTTTCCCTCTCTTTTCGGCATTGGTGATACTCTTGAGAGCAACAGGTAGGATGTTCACACACACCATTGTGGCAGCGCGAAACAATGCCGGAAAGAGCAATATTCCAAGTACTTACACATTGATGTTTGTCTGTGATCTTTATAACTGAACATTAGCTTGACAAAGCACAAAATCTTTGGCTCACATTTTCTTTATTGTAATTGTTACTCCATTTACTTGTTATAAAGCTTTGCTGTCACAGTCTATCTGGTTTTCTTTCTCTTAACAACTCAGTCTTTATGCCTGAATGGCCAAAGGATATCTTTCTTTTTTTGTTCAAGTCTAGTATTTTGTAAGAGTATGTCTTAGTCATCCTGGCTATCCTTTCAATTTGTAGATTCAAATCTAAATGTATTTCAGAAAAATGTTCCTGAATTATACTTTTCAGTATTTTTTTTTTTTTTGAGACGGAGTCTCACTCTGTCCCCAGGCTGGAGTGCAGTGGCGCGATCTCAGCTCACTGCAAGCTCCACCTCCCGGGTTCACGCCATTCTCCTGCCTCACAGCCTCCCGAGTAGCTAGGACTACAGGCGCCCGCCACCATGCCTGGCTAATTTTTTGTATTTTTAGTAGAGACAGGGTTTCAACATGTTAGTCAGGATGGTCTCGATCTCCTGACCTCGTGATCTGCCCCCCTCGGCCTCCCAAACTGCTGGGATTACAGGTGTGAGCCACCGTACCCGGCCACTTGTCAGTATTTAAGCTATTCCTTTATTTTGGTTTTCTTTCTGGGGGCGGGGTGGGAAGATCCTATTATATATCTATATTAGATCTTTTCTGCCAAACTTTTTTTTCCCAGTTTTAATTTTTTACCTATGTATTTCTCCTTCATTTAAAAAATTTTCCTTCGCTGTCTAATTCTTGAAAAATATTATTTATTCTCTTTATTCTTCAGTATTTTTCTGAAATTTTTTATTATTACTTCTTTTCAAGAGTTCTAGCCCCTTATTTTGAGTTTTCCCAGATGATTTTTTTTTTTAAACCAACTTCTTAGGATTTTTTTTTTTTTTTTTCTGAGACCAAGTTTCATACTCTTGTTGCCCAGGCCGGAGTGCAATGGTGCGATCTTGGCTCACTGCAACCTCTGCCTCCCGGGTTTACGTTCTTTAATGTCCTGGTTATCTTCTCCCTACCGCTTTTATCTGAACCTTTCCTTTCGTCTCTACTAACTTGTCTCTCTGCAGCTCAATCTGGATTATATTTCCAACAGTTTGTCCTCAGTGACGGGCTTTGTTCTGGAAGGGTATAGTGGCCAGCTAGCATGAACAACGATAGAACCCTGTGCTGGTTACCGCTTCTTAGTCACAAAGTCATCCCTTCTGCCTGTTGAGCAAAAATGTGCCTGGACACTTTAAAACTTTTCCTTTGACAGCTGGCATGTTAACTTCTGCCAGCGGAGAACAATGGAGAGATTTTTACTTCCTGTTCCTGTGTGTTTTTCAGCAGGCTCCCACAGCACCCAGTTCCTCAAAGCCAGGTTCTGACATATAAGTGAGCTCAGAGACCAGCAGCTTCCCTCAGCACCTCATCTGAGTAGTTTTGTAGCAGAGTGACACCTCTCATGAAAAGCCTTTCAGCACGCTTCCCCAGAGAAGCACATCAGCAATTACTCTGCCATTCAGTGAGCCACAACTGAGCCCTTTCTAACCAGGTATGAATCTCAGCCCTGGGGTGGTGGTAGGGAAATGGGGGACTCATTCTTGGACACACTGTCTTAGCCCTAAGGGTAGTGGCTGCTCCTTGTATGTATGCATATATGTCTGTGTGTATGTTTTTTTCTTTTTTTTTGAGACAGGGTCTCACTCTGTTACCCAGGGTGGAATGAAGTGGTGCCATCTGGGCTCACTGCAGCTACGACCTGCCAGACTCAAGCAATCCTCCCACCTCAGCCCCCTGAGTAGCTGGGACTACCAGGTACCCACCACGTCCAGCTAATTTTTAAATTTTTTGTAGAGACAAAAGTTTCACCACGTTGCCCAGGCTGGTCTCAAACTCCTGGACTCAAGCAATCGCCCTGCCTCGACCTCCCAAAGTGCTGCAATCACAGGCGTGAGCCACTGAACTGTGACTACGTGCTATTTCTATTTTCTTTAAAGATCTTTTTACTTTGTACTAGTCAATCCTTCATTACTCCAATCTTGCTATAGTTAAATTCCTTATATTAACTTTCTCTATTCAAACTACTGTGTGGTTTGAACTCTTGACTGGTCCAGTCAGATCCTTCATACCTTATCCCAGAGCCCCTGTATTTACTTGTTATTCCATTACGGAAAACTACTCCCGATTAACTGCTGCTCTTCTCAAATATGCCCTACGAGCTTTCCAGAAAAACGGTTGGCTCTGTTAGCATTCTTTATGCTGTCAGGTGCTCTGCTGCTTCCCTTCAGTTCCCCCTGCACAAATGCTAGTATTAACCAAGCCTCTTATATAGATTTTGGTGGTTTGTCCCTATCCCTTTACGGGTATGTGGGGAAATATCATTTTGCTTTGACGTAGATGGCATCTGTAGATTTTGTTGGTTCCTCAACTCTACTTGCTTTGTCTTATTTTTAACTTTACTTTAAAATAATTTCAGGGCTGAGCACAGTGGCTCACGCCTGTAATCCCAGCACTTTGGGAGGCTGAGGCAGGCGGATCACTTGAGGTCAGGAGTTTGAGACCAGCCTGACCAACATGGCGAAATCCCGCCTCTACTAAAAATACAAAAATTAGCTGGGCGTAGGGGTGCGCATGCCTGTAATCCCAGCTACTTGGGAGGCTGAGGCAGGAGAATGGCTTGAACCCACGAGGCGCAGGTTGCAGTGAGCCAAGATCGCGCCATTGCACTCCAGCCTGAGACACAAGAGTGAATCTCTGTCTCAAATAATTTTGTGCAGGAAACAAAAGTTTTCACTGCGACCTGCTGCATGAGATCAGGTATGGAATTTTCTACTTGTGGCATGACATCCACACTCAAAAAGTTTTAGACTGCAGATGCTCAACCTGTATTAATATTTCACATTTGCTTCCCCATTCTTTCTCCTGAACCATGTGCAAGTTGCAGGACTTGATGCCACTTACCCTTAAATATGTATTTCCTTAAAAGGATATCTTTTACATAATCAGAGTAATTATTAACACTTATACATACTATTATCTAATCTACAACACTTATTCAAATTGTCCCACTGATGTTTTAGCAAAAGAAAATTTTTGCAAAATGGTTTTGCCTCACCCAGTAGTTATTTAATCTAGGTTTACATGTTGTTTTTAGTTGTCATATCTCTAGTTCTTTAATCTGGAGCTTTTTTTTTTTTCATGGCCTTAACATTTTTGAAGACTACAGGCCAGTTATTTTGCAATTCTTTTGTAGAATCCTCAATTTGGGCTTGTCTGAGGTCTCCTATGATTAGATCCAGGCAATGCATTTCTGGAAGGAATGTTACAGAGGTGATGGTGCATATTTCTCAGTGCCATCATATCAGGAGGTTTAAATCTGTTTCACTACTGGTAATTTTAATATTTTTTAATACTAAAATTTTCATACAGTAAAATGTACACATATAAAATATACTCAATTCTATGAGTTTTTAAAATGCTAATACCTCCCTAACTTCTTTGAAGATTATTAACACTTCCATCAACCAGAAAGTTCCCTTCATACCCTTTCCCAGTTAATCCCCACTGTGCACAGGCAACCATAAAACCATTCTGATTTTCTTTCCCATCATAGATTATTTGGCTGTTCTGGAATTTCATATATAGTTTTTCTACAGAGTCCTTAGGATTTTCATTTCACCTGCAAACACAAAGTTTTATTTCCTCTTGTTAAACTGTATACATTTCTTTTTCTTGCCTTATTGTACTTGTTAGGACCTCTAATACAATGATAAATACAAGTGATAAGAGTAAACATATTAATATTGCTCCCAATATTAAAGGGAGCTCTGCTTTTACTGGATAATTGGGGAAGATGAAAAAGCTGTAGCCAATACTGCTGGCATCCTCTCAGAGTCCCTTCTCTCCACCAATTTCTTACTCCTCAGGTTTCAAACACATCCAAGTCTCCTAATCCTAGAACACTCTACCCTCACACCTGGCTCTTTATTCTCCAAAGAGTAGTGTATCATTCATCACCAACTTACTCTCTAACCCTTACAACCACACTTGTCAATTTTGAAAGGCCATCCCAAACTGCCAGAGTCAAAGCTCTCTCCCACACTTAGTAACAGCTACCATTTAAAAATCTGTGTTCCTGTCTATATCATGTACTTCAAAAAAGCAAAAAACAAAAACCTATCTGTCAAGGTCTGTGCTGAGTGGTTCACAAACATTCTCTAACAACTCAGGGACAATTAGGACTATTTAACTTGCCCAGGTAACAATATAGGACTGTTAATTACACGAAACCAATACGATTTTAAAATAATTTTCTAATTATACATACATATGGTATAGAAAAAAATAATACAGAAAATCTACTGCAAACAATCAGGTCCCAAAACATCTTCAATTTGTGATTTTTATCTACCTACTTTTTCTTGGTATACTTGTTCCTTCTTCAGCTAACCACTTCTCAGTCTCCCTTACTGCTAATCCACAGGTTCTGCTCTACACCTCCCTTCTTTCCAATGTATTACTCTCCTTGAGCGATTTTATTTATCCACAAACCTCAACTATTATCTCTATTTTCAAGTGCACTTCTCTAGACCTAACCCATCTCTTTGGCATCAAGAATTTGTTTTCTCCAACCAATTCTGCTCCTTCTGCTTTCTCTCTTCAAGTTAATTACATATTATTCATCAAGTCACTTTGGATAGAAATCTTTAGGAAAATTTGCATTACCTTTTTATGTAAAGAAAGCTCAACAGTGTACATTTAATCCAATTGGTGGCAAGTTCTTTAGCCTTTGCCTTTTTGAGCTTGGCAATGCGAGTCACAGACTTGGGACCCAGGACATTGCCTCCCCAGTGATGGCAGATCTCATCGTATCTGTCATTGTAATTGATCCTGATAGCTTCCACCAGCTTAGACAAACCTCCTTTGTCTTCCAAGTTAACCTGTGTGAAGGCAACCAGTGGTGCAGGTCTTTCTGTGGAGTAGACATCCCACTCTTGACTTCCCCTTGATAATGCAGTAAGGGACCCCCATTTTACGACACAGGGCAGGTAGGAAGACAACCAGCTTGATGGGATCCATGTCATATGCAATCACCACTAGCTGAGTCTTCGTGTTCTCCACCAAGGTGGTGAAGTGCTGACTCCTGCTTGAAAGACAGGTGGTCTCTTACTGGGGACATCCCCTTTGCTGGCAGCTTTCTTCTCAGCCTGGGCCAATAGCCTCTGCTTCTTTCTCTTGCTTTGCCTCTGATCTGTACTTGTGGGCCAGCTTAAGTAGCTGAGTAGCTGTTTGGCAGCGCAAGGCCTGGATGAACTGGTTAATCGCAGGAGGCATTTTCAGCTGCATATAGAGGATGGCTCTCTGCTGCTGCAACCTGATATAGCAGGGCCATTTCACAAAGCAGGTGAGGTCTCTTTTGGGCTGGGTGTCCTGTCCAATGCCAAAATTCTTAGGCCTTTTCTTAAATAGCGGATTCACCACTTTCTTGGCTCTGCTTCTTGACGACAGCAGGGGCCAGAGCCAACTTCTTCCCCTTGCCCTTCTTTCCTTTCGGCATCTTGGGTGGCGGGAGGAGAAGAAATCTTATTTTTGACTCTTCCTTCTCTAATTAACAATACCTCAGTTCCAATCCTTTAAGTTTAGTCTCCAAAACAAGGTCTTTTACAAACTGAATTTCCATTAACAGAAAAATGGATAAATAAATCAAGTGTATTCACACAATATAATATTTGCTATAGAGTAGTAAAAAAGATCTAGAGCAAGGTTTGTCAGCCATGACACTACTAACATTTTAGCCTGGTTAATTCTGTTATGAGGCTGTCCAGTGCGTTTTAAGTGTTTAGCAACATCCCTGATCTCTACATGTTAGGTGATATTAACACTAACCCCAGTTGTGACAACAAAGATGTCTCCATATAATGCCAAATATCCCCCAGCGGGCAAACTTGCCCCTAGTTGAGAACCACTAAGCTAGAGCCTCATGATTCAACACATGTAAACTTCAAACAATTTTACATAAATAAGAGAATTACAGTATGAATTATTCATATGAAGGTAAAAAAATGCACAAATTGATAAAATAGAATGTTTGTATCATTCCCACTGGGAATGTCACAGGACTGATAATGAAGTTTCTAATCAAACTATGCTAATCAGTAGCATACTACCCAGTTTAAAAGGTACAATTACTTCTACTTTACTCCACACTATTTCTTGTTTGCTACAATCTTCTCTTTTTCTTAATGAAGTACGTAAGAAATCAAAACTATTGGGGATTCAAATAAATTAGTCTTCTATATGCACAGTTGGCTATGGTTATAATATTAGATATACTCTAAATATTTCATTTCAGATACAAATTATGTTAAAATCATTATGGGTTTATTTAATCATAGAATAAAAGTATTAAAGGAAAGTTGTTTTTTAATAAGAATATACTGTGATTGCTGCATTTTTTTTTTTTTAAGAGATAGAGTCTTGCTTCCACCTCCGCCTCCCAAGTAGCTGGGGCTATAGGTGCACGCCACCCATGTCCACCAGCTCTGTTGCTAATGCTTTCATTGCTAGTTTGATATGAATTTCATCAAGTTCCTTAAGTGTAATGAGCAACATACATTGTTTTCAAATCATTCCCACTGGTCTTTCTTGGATTTGCTTGTAATACAAGTTTGCTGTATAAATAATAAAGATTACATTTGAAATTGTAGTAATTTCTGGACTATTTGTTATCTAGAACATTCTGGACAAATATTCAATATGTAAGGGCAGTATAGACCTTCCTGAGGATAAAGTTTTGAAGAACACTCACCTGGGAATAGGAATTCACATTAATATATAATTTACAGCAAGGACCCCAGGTCACTTCCTAGACTTGAGGGTAGAGGAGCTAATGCCTAAATTTCACTCCTCTTTAGGTGACTCTACTAACTGATGAAATGGCTATAACAGAAGCGACTGATCGATGTGCTACTTAAAAACAGCTAGAGGCTGGGTGTGGTGGCTGTCTGTAATCCTAGCACTTTGGGAGGCCGAGGTGGGAAGATCACTTGAGGTCAGGCATTTGAGACTGGCCTGGGCAACATAGTGATAGCTAGTCTGTATAAGAAACAAAAAAATTAGCTGGGCGTGGTGGCATGAATGCAGTGGGGCAATCATAGCTCACTGCAGCCTCAAACTCCTGGGCTCAAGTAATCCTCCTGCCTCAGTCTCCCTAGTGGCTGGGACCGCAGACATGTGCCATCATGCCCAGCTAATTTTTCAAAAATTTTTTATAGAGACAAGGATCTTGCTGTGCTGCCCAGGCTGGTCTCAAACTCCTGGCATCAAGCAATCCTCCTGCCTTGGTCTCTGAAAGTGCTGGGATTACAGGCATGAGCCACTATGCCTGGCCAACTTAAAGATACTGATTTGTTAAAATGATAATCTTTTTTTTCTTTTTTTTTTTTTTGAGACAGAGTCTCACTCTATTGCCCAGACTGGAGTGTAATGGCGCAATCTCAGCCCACTGCAACCTCTGCCACCTGGGTTCACGTGATTCTCCTGCCTCAGCCTCCTGAGTAGCTGGAATTATAGGCACTTGCCACCAAGCCCAGCTAATTTTTGTGTTTTTAGTAGATATGGGGTTTCACCATGTTGGTCAGGCTGATCTTGAACTCCTGCCCTCAGGTGATCCACCCGCCTCGGCTTCCCAAAGTGCTCAGATTACAAGCATGAGCCACCGAGCCCAGCCTGATAATCTTTTCTTAAATAAAATATATTTAAAACATTTTAAAGATACTCTGAAAATGCTACCTTTGATTTAAGAGGCCAAAAGGCATGTAATTTAACACACAATAACATCAAGTGTTACTGAACGCATAGGCAACAGCTGAAATACTCCCAATTACATGTTCATGTCACAGTAATTTTATGTGATAGAGAACAAAATCAAGAGAAAAAATGTTTTATCATAGTTGGAAAAAAGACAATTTAACATGCAAGAGTACATTTTAACATAATTATATTTGAGTAAACTTTATAAGACTTAAGAGAAATTAAATATTTTTCTAAATTCCAAAGACACAAAGATGAAAAATTTGCTACAAGTTACATAGGAGTTTTGGTCACCATTTTCAAATATTATCAACTTAACTTCTTTCCTCTAAAACAATAAAAACCTCAACTTACAAATTCCTTTTTCTGTAATTTCTGAAATGTTCTCATTACTAACAGGGTCTCATATTTCAGACATTATTTGTTGGCTTCTAACCACACATCTAAAGATTCATACTTACAAAGTCCTCCTCTTCAAACTGCAACTTTTCCACCTTGTCTTCTTTCTTTTCTTCCCTAATCTCCATAGGTGGCTTTTCCTGAAAAGCACACCCTTTCCGGGAGTGGAAGCTGCCATTCCAATGGCGATGGTTCCCTGTGCCACCTCCACTACGTTGGCTCATGCCATCATGACCTCGGGAAGAGCTATGCCAACCAGATGGGTTCCCTGTGATTCCAGCATATGCTCCCTTAGAGACACCAGAGTCCACAGAATCATGGCGGAACAGGGAGGGCTGGTGCCAAGAATCTAGAATAGTAAAGAAAAGGACTAATTAGATTGTTTGCTTCCTGATTTGGTTTACGGTATTGGCCAAAGGCCTTCAGGAGACCTCGTTAATAAAAAGTCCACACAAAAAAAATAAAAAAATGTATCTTTTCTTTGTGAGGTAATTTCTGAAATCAGTTCAACTGAACAGATGATTCATGAGAATCATAATCATAGTTAGACCTAGAAAGCCAATGTAGTTGCGTAATGACTACTAGAGAATCTAAATGAAAACTATGTTCAGAAAAGATCCTATTTCAAGATTACAGACATGTACCCACAGCCTGGGCTTGTCCTAAATGAGTAGCTTAAATATAGTCATGAAAGTTGGACATGGCTCACCTCCTGCAGTTCGTAGGGGACCATTGTTAAAAAAACCATCAGAGGAATTATGTCGACGGCGGCTTACTCCAAATCTACCTTCTCCTCTGGGTAGGTGCTCTCCGTGTTTTTCGAAGGTGGCAGTAGGTGACTAAGATGATGAAGTATGGAGAGGCAAATGGATAAATAGCTATTAGTCCTTTTCAATATCTTAATAGGCTTTGCATCAGGCCTTCAAAAAACAAGTAATAATGGTGATAGAAACTCATATTGTAAGCATATGGACCCTAAGGGTACCCACAGGTGCCTAATTTAGAGAAGTCCTAGGTTATATATTCAATTGCTAATTCACTTCCTTTATTCCAGGAGAGGAGAAAAGCTAGCCACTTCAATTGTTTGCATGAAAGGAGGCGGAGGGGAAAAAAGCCTTGCAAATATTCATAAATATAAGCTCCAAAACTTTACACTTAAAAATATTTACCTTGTAGGAGAGGAAAATCAAGATGATTGCCTCAAAAATAATTCTAAAGTTTTAGTATTTCTGGAATAAGGGTGAAGGCAACGGTTGAAATATCACCTTGGGAGGTCAGTAGTAATTACAGAACTTTTAAAAAAAAAAAAGAGATGAAGTCTCACGGTCGCCCAGGCTGGAGTGCAGTGGCACAATCAAAGCTCACTACAGCTGCTTACCCTTGAGCTTAAAGGATCCTCCTGCCTCGGCCTATGGAGTAGCTAGAACTATTGGCCCATGCCACTAAGACTGGCTAATTTTCTAAATTTTTTGTAGAGATGGGGGTCTCACTATGTTGCCCAGGCTGATCTCTCAGTCCTGGCCTCAAGCAATCCTCCTGCCTTGGCCTCTCAAAGCTCTGGGATTACAGGTATAAGCCACAGCTCCCAACTACTAGAGTTTTTACAGTTTTATAAAACATTTATTTCCAGATATAATACCTGTAACAATACTAAACTTTTGGCATCATACCCATTTTACTCATTTACACATAATGAAAGAGGTCAGAGAGAAAAAATAAGTCTTTGAGGTAACAAAACTGGAAGGAAGCAGTTTGAGAAACATTATTATAGATGAACTCTAATATCCCTTCCTATTTCAAAGAATTTTATTCTATGACATTCTTAAATGATAGAGACCAAAGTCCACAAAGCCATGAAAATATGGGTATGTTTGACAAGGAAAACCGTAAATCGGGGCATGTTTACATTTATTTTTCTTACTATCAACATCCTTGCCAATATTTTACCCATTCGAGTGGGTAAAAAGATTTTCTCCTGTTTTCTCTTAAAAGTTTTATGGTTTTAGCTTTTTAACTTATGTTCCATTTCAGGTTAATCTTTTTGTGTATGAAGCAAAGGCTGAGGTTCTTTACTCCGCCCCCATGTAGATAGAAGCTAGTTCTTCTAGCTCAAAAACACAACACTATCACTTCCCCATTGAATTACCTTTGTACTTTAGTCAAAAATCAACAAAATACATACATAAGCCTTTTTTTTTTTTTTTTAAGAGCCAGGGTCTCAGTCACCCAGGCTGGAGTACAGTAGCCCGATCACAGCTCACTGTAGCCTCAAACTCCTTGGCTCAAGCAATCCTCCTGCCTTAGCCTCCCAAGTAGCTGAGATGACAGGTATTCACCACCACACCTGCCTAGTTTTTGTTGTTGTTTTTTTTTTAAATTTTTCTTGTAGAGACAAGGTCTCACTTTGCTGCCCAAGCTGGTCTCAAACTCCTGGCTTTCAAGCAATCCTTCTGCCTCAGCCTCTCAAAGTGCTGGGATTACAGGCATGAGCCACTGAGCCCAGCCTCTACAGGCCTATTTTTGAACTCTCTATTCTATTCCTTTTATGTCTATCATTATGCCAAAACCACAGGGCTTTGCTTATTATAGTTTCGAAAATGAAAGAATGTCTTCTAATTCTTTTTACTTAAGTTCACGGTGCTAAAACAATTATTCTTCTCTGATAGATCTATATACTTTTCAGGTAGCCCACTAGCTCCAAGCTTTGGGTCAGATTAGGCCAATTATGAGGTCCTGCAAATTTTGTTAAGACAATTTGAAATGATGTTTAGAGCCGGGTGTGGTGGTTCATTGCTGTAATCCCAGCACTTTGGGAGACTGAGGCAGGTACATCGCTTGAGCCCAGGATTTCAAGACCAGCCGGGTAACATGGCAAAACCCTGTCTTCTACAGAAAACTACAAAAAATTAGCTGGGAGTGGTACTGTGCGCCTGTAATCCCAGCTACCTGGGAGGATGAGGTAGGAGGATCGCCTGAGCCAGGGAAGTCAAGGCTGCAGTAAGCCATGATCGCACCACTGCACTCCAGCCTGGGCAACAGAGTAAGACCCCGTCTCAATAAAAAAACAAACAAAAATCCCCAAATGAAGTTTAGCCTGGTACAGTGGCTCATGCCTGTAATCTCAGCACTTTTGGAGGCTGAGGTGACAGGATCGTTTGAGGCCAGTTCTAGACCACCTTGGGCAACATGGTGAGACCCTATCTCTACAAAAAACCCAAAAAAGTTAGCTGGGCATGGTGGTGCTCACCTGTAGTACCAGCTACTCTAGAGACTAGGGCGAGAGGATTGCTTGAGCCCGGGAGTTCAAGGCTGTAATGAATTATGACCATGCCACTGTACTCCAGCCTCGGTGACAGAGACCCTGTCTCAAAAATAAATGAGTAAAATAAAATTGAAACAAAATGAAGTTTAGAGCAAAAGATCATGGGTCTAGATGAGACCAGAAGCACCTTCCCAAAAGTCCACATTTTAAAATAGGAAAGGTAGGCCTTTATTTTTGGGAATGCCTACCAATTTCATCCTTCCTCTATTCGCTGGCAAAATGGGAAGCACTTTTAAGTTTACTAGCTTCCCAAACGTTTTATCAATAACTCAGGCTGATTCTTTTGTGTACTGTGACTAGGTCTGCTTTAATCTATATAAACTGGTAATTCCATTTGTGTTTACCCTTAATACAACACACATCCCCCCTGAAACTATTAAGTAGGTTAATGCCTCTAAAACAGTTTCTAGGATTTAATCTGAGATCCATGTAGTAGTTGAACAATCACTGCCTCTACCTTTTCCTCCTCTTCATCTATCGCCATAAACAAATGTGTGTTCACTCCAAAGGTCTGTTTACCCAAGTGCCATTCCCCTTTTACTTCTGCCCCTTTGACCTCCACAATAGGTTAGCAAGTACGTTTAATCTCCAAAGTGTGCTGCAGCTAATACAACACTTAACTGTGTCATGTAATGAGAAAAGCCTTAGGATATAATGAAAAAAGTGAGATACTTAAAAAAAGAAAAAAAGAAACATAAAAAAGTGAGATACTTGGCAGTAATAAGGTAGACATTCATGTGGACTGCCTAATTACTTACATCCTTCTAACAGAAAGCTATTAAGTCTATGAAAATGTTTTTGAAATCCTCACACGAGGTTGAATATATTAAAAAACATCAAGACTGGGCTGAGTGCAGTGGCTCACGCCTGTAATCCCAGCACTTTGGGAAGTCCAGGTAGGCGGATCACTTGAGCTTAGGAGTTGAAAACCAGCCTGGGCAACATGGTGAAATTCCATCTCTATAAAACAACAACAACAAAAACAAAAATTAGCAGGGCGTGGTGGTACACAGCCTGTAGGCCCAGCTACTCTGGGAGCTGAGTCAGGAGGACTGCCTGAGCCCAGGAGGCCAAAGCTGCAGTAAGCTGTGATCACACTACCGCACTTCATCCTGGGTGACAGAGGGAGACCCTGTCTCAAAACAAAATGAAACCAAAAAACAACCAAAACCACCCCCAAACCCTCTCATATTTGAGAAGTTACTACAGGAATGGAGAACAGTACCTTAGCTGACTGTGGTGTTGAGAAATTTAGCCAAGCAGGAACAAAATCATGCTGCGCCATTTAGGTCCAGTGTCTCCTTTCAGTAAGGTGAGGCATCCAACCTCATGGCCAGGATCTGAAAACAAAACAATTCAAATCACTTATGTTTACAAGAATCTGATACCAATGTGTAAAGGAATCTGTAATTATTCTAAGATTCCTCTTTACAGAAAGACCTGCCCTCTGAGCCTGTCTACAGATTACTTACCAAGCCTTATAACTCAGAGAAGTTCTAAATAAAAGCAATTTTTGTTAAAACAAAAGTTCTAAACAAAAGAAAACTGTAACATGAGCCTGGAAGATTTATTTTTTGGAGAGGAAGGGTCTTGCTATGTTGCCCAGGCTGATCTTGAACTCCTGGCCTCAAAAGATCATCCTGCTTCAGCCTCGCAAAGTGTTGGGATTACAGGTGTGAGTCACTGCGCCCAGTGAATCTGGAAGGTTTTATGAAGGAAGCTAATGAATTCTTGATTGTTACATCAAAGAACATGAAGAATTAAACATCTATTTAAAACCACAGACACTTATGAAAAGAGATTAATCTGCTTCAAGTACTCAGGTAACTTCTAGCAAAAGCAGTAGAAAAGATCTTCTTGGCTGGGCACGGTGGCTCACACCTGTAATCCCAGCACCTTGGGAGGCCGAGGTGGATCGCTTGAGCCCAGCAGTTCGAGACCAGTCTGGGCAACATGGCAAAACCTCATCTGTACAAAAATAATAATAAAGGAGCCAGGTGTGGTGGCACACGTCTGTGGTCCCAGCTACTCTGGAGGCTAAGGTGGGAGAATCACCTGAGCTGGGAAGGTTGAGGCTGCAGTGAGCTGAGATTGCACCACTGCACTCCAGCCTGGGTGACAGAGTGAGACCCTGCCTCAAGATGGGGGAAAAAAAGATCTTCCTAGAGAAGGACGATACAACCTCTCAAGAGCTTTTATATTTAGTTCACATTAATTTCTTCAAATACCAACTAGCATCAGTTTTCCTGAGATCTGTTGGTGTCTTCAAACCACCCCACTGATATTCTCCAAAATTAATTACATCAGAAAGCAGTCGGTATTTTTCATGATGCATATACATAGAGTCTTCTTTCCAAGTTAGACATATGGAGAATATTTACCCCAGAGTGTAACCTCTGTGGTCCTGTTTCTGAACTCGAGTCGGCCAGCTGGATCTCCCACAAGGTTTCCTTGTTAAAAGGGTGCTTAAGTAACCTGGCCGGCAGCACGACTTATGATGAAGCACGAAGAAGCCAGGTTCTGTGTCGATCACTCTCTCAGTCCCCTCAACTGCTCATCTTAAACTATTTGGTTCCTGACACGTTTCCAAAAGGGGAAAGGGGAAAAGGGGAAGGGGGGAAGGGGAACATAAAAAGTATTTGTTACATTTAAAAAGGGGGGGAAGGGGAAAGAGCTGTATCTATGTTCACCTCATTCAACTTCCTTGAGTTATGGCACTATGATGTTGCTTAATTAGGTAAGACATGGATATTTGCACCGAGTGCAAATACTGTTCATAACAAGGTCATAGCTAGAAAGACAGATGGGCTCAAGTGTGGACAAATAATGTCATCAAGGTAATAGATCAAAAATATTAAAGCCCTATAAAAGATCTGAGCAGTCAACTCCAAAACATCCACATGACAAAGTCCTTAAAATACAAATCTCATTACTCTTACTCATGCAACTGCTAAAAAATAGTGTGCAGATATGTATTTATATTTGCCTTAACCTTCAAAATCTAGGGACATAAATCTTGTCTTTGTTAAAAAAAAATAAAAAATAAAAATAGACAGGAATTTGCTACACTTTTCCCTCCACGAACAGCAGCTTTCAAGGCAAATTTCTTGGTATAAAGCTACTAAATGTATATTCTATGTCTTTGGCCTTTACTATTTATAAATTCAGAGCAAAGTTAAAACATTAGAACGATGGGTAGGATGGATATTAAGAAATAGTCAAGGAGAAATATAGGTCCAAAATGAGGATTTCTTCTCTTCAGTTTTCTGTGTTTCACTTGTTCTGCTCCTTCCCAAAATCTAAATTGAGCCACTGGAAGGAGATATGAAGAATCTTCTATGCTTTGGTAGAGAAGTCACTTATTATTTTGGATCCATTTCCACCACTTCACAATCATTTGAAAGGCCACACGAATCTATCACTCTGTAAATGAAAAAACAAAACATAAAATCACAGAAGGCAAAATCACTATCATATATACATATATCTGCTAAAATGAGACACAGTTAAATAATGAAATCAAGGTCCTGAGAGTCAAAACTCTTAAGTCCAATTTAGATACTACAGATGTATGTCACCACCTATACCAACAAGATGACTTGGATATAAATCTTTTTTAAGGATTTGAGAAAAGTCATCTAAACAGAGTTTGCTCTTTTTTTTTTTTTTGGAGATGGAGTTTCGCTCTTGTTGCCCAAGCTGGAGTGCAATGTCGCCATCTCAGCTCACTGCAACCTCCACCTCCCGGGTTCAAGCGATTCTCCTGCCTCAGCCTCCTGAGTAGCTGGGATTACAGGTGTGCACTACCATGCCCAGCTAATTTTTTGTATCTTTAGTAGACATGGGGTTTCACTATGTTGTCCAGGCTGGTCTCGAACTCGACTTTGTGATCCGCCCACCTTGGCCTCCCAAAGTGCTGGGATTACGTGAGTGACCCACCATGCCTGGCCTGGAGTTTGCTTTTTTATATAAAAGCACATGTAATCTCAACACTTTGAGAGGCCAAATTTTCCAATCAGCTATCTAAGGTATTCAGAAATGCAAAATAATAGGTCTTTCAGATATAGATTTTTCTCTCATAAATGGGACAGGTTGCCATGAGTGGTCAAAGAACCATATAGCTTGCTGGTATATCACCAACTACCTATTTGTTTAGTACTAGCCACAGCTAGGATCCTTGAGATATCTGTCACAGTATATTTTATATATTTATATGGTATATATTTTTAGATACCTGGCTCTCAATTCAGAGATTTAAAACTTTTATAATCTAACTTGTTAGGCACGGAGTGAAACAAAAATTTCTTCGGTAATTTCTCAACATTCTTTCAGGGGATACAAATTAGAAACAGGGTCTCACCCTATTGCCTAGGCTGGAGTGCAGTGACTTGATCGTAGCTCGCTGCATCCTTGAACTCCCAGGCTTAAGCAATCCTCTCAGAGACCTCAGCTTCCCGAGTAACAAAAACCATGGGACTACAGATATGCACCATCATGCCCATCTAATTAAAAAACATTTTTTTGTAGACACAGGATCTCACTGTGTTGCCCAGGCTGGTCTTGAACTCCTAGGTTCAAGCAATCCTCCTGCTTTGGCCTCTCAAAGTGCTGAGATTACAGGTGTCAGCCACTGTGCCTGGCTGTGGAAATAATTTTTTGATAGAAAAGAATTTTTGCATCTATGGGCAATTCTGGTCTATACTGGTAAATCTTAGTTTGGAAGATATTTCTCATATATCCAATTCAGCAGCCTTGCACTATTGTTCATGGGAATAAGTTCATAGGAATAAGAAATATCAAATTCAGGATAGTAAGTATCTCTGGGGAAATGAAGGGCAATAAAAGAGAGGCCCCAAAGAGTTTCAACTGTATCTGTAATGCCTTATTTCTCAAGTTGAGCGATGGGTACAAGATGACTATTCACTTATTGCTCTTTTTATAAACTTCTAACACTTAAAAGAATATTAGGCCGGGTGCGGTGGCTCACGCCTATAATCCCAGCACTTTGGGAGACCGAGACAGTGGATTAATGGAGGTCAAGAGTTCAAGACCAGCCTGGCCAACATGGTGAAACCCCGTCACTACTAAGAATACGAAAATTAGCCAGGCATGGTGGTGCATGCCCATAGTTCCAGCTACTCAGGAGGCTGAGGCAAGAGAATAACTTGAATCCGGGAGGCGGAGGTTACAGTGAGCCGAGATCCCACCAATGCACTCCAGCCTGGGTGACAGAGCCAGACTCTGTCTCAAAAAAAAAAAAAAGCAAAAAACCCCAAAATTGTTTTTATATAAGCCTACACCTGTAACTCTCAGTAATAGATAAATGAAACTGTCCCTGTAGTGAAGTTATTCTGGAAAAATAAGTCAAGCATCCATATGGAAAAGATATAAATAACTGTCTGGTGCGTACTTTTTATCTTACGAATTCTAGTTTAAACCACAGAGAACCTGAAGTTCAAGACAGAGAGATAAATCATCTGTTAGGGTATAAAGCTGTTGGACACAAAGGAAAATGCCTCAATTTTCAACATAAACAATTCCCTCTTTTCAATCACCACTAGGTACCTTCCGGTTTTCCAACTGACACACACCACCACCTTTTCAGTGTTTTACATACCGAATCCAAAGTTTCTATAGCAGAGTCCCAACTTAGGCAGTGACTGTAGAAGAAATACTAACTAGCAATACTTTGCTACTATTACGGGTCCTACTAACAATTACTCACCCATCACCCTCAAGAAGCTGGGATATCTGAAGTGTAAAGAGTGTGACCTACACATGCATGTGCAGAGTATGTGGTTGAGAGGAGATGCGCCATAAGTGGGGACACTTAATCAAACAGAACAAATAAAAAATGAAGAAGACAGATAAAAGAGATTTCTGTTCTGGAAGTAAAAGACTAAAAGGAAAAATCCCAAAATGTTAATAATGGTTTTATTAGAATGGTGGAATTATGGGCATTTTGTTTTATCTTCTCTATTAGTCAAAAGTTTTTGTAACGAACTTACTTGCTCTGAAAATTTTAAATTAAAGATCTTTAGTGATGTCTTTTAGGGCTGTGGCTATTTTTACAGAACGGCTAACTGGGAGACTTCTGCTTATTACTAAAAAATTCTGAGAAGAAAAAACACATCATTTAAAATTCTCTTAGAACTTTTTTTTTTTCTGAGACAATAGAGCAGGGTCCTGAGTAGCTGGGACTGCAGGTGAAAGCCACCATGCTGAGCTAATTAAAAAAAAATTTCTTGGGCCAGGCGCGGTGGCTCACGCCTGTAATCCCAGCACTTTGGGAGGCCGAGGTGGGCGGATCACGAGGTCAGGAAATCGAGACCATGGTAAAACTCCGTCTCTACTAAAAATACAAAAAATTAGCTGGGCATGGTGGCAAGCGCCTGTAGTACCAGCTACTCGGGAGGCTGAGTCAGGAGAATGGCGGGAACCCGGGAGGTGAAGCTTGCAGTGAACCGAGATCGTTGCCACTGCACTCCAGCCTGGGCAACAGAGTGAGACTCCGTCTCAAAAAAAAGGCCGGGCGTGGTGGCTCACGAGGTCAGGAGATTGAGACCATCCTGGCTAACACGGTGAAACCCCGACTCTACTAAAAATACAAAAAATTAGCTGGGCGTGGTGGTGGGCGCATGTAGTTCCAGCTACTACGGAGGCTGAGGCAGGAGAATGGCGTGAACCCGGGAGGTGGAGCTTGCCGTGAGCGGAGATGGGCCACTGCACTCCAGCTTGGGTGACAGAGCAAGACTCTGCCTCAAATAAAATAAAATAAAATAAAATAAAATTATTCCATAGAGATGGGGTTTCACTATGTTGCCTAGGCTGGTCTCAAATGCCTGAGCTCAAGCATCTCACAGTTTTTTTGTTTTGTTTTGTTTTGTTTTTGAGATGAGGTCTTACTTCGTGACCCTGGCTGGAGTGCAG
Organism: Homo sapiens; assembly: GCF_000001405.40. NCBI lineage: Eukaryota > Metazoa > Chordata > Mammalia > Primates > Hominidae > Homo > Homo sapiens. The sequence continues at coordinate 45,664,733 of NC_000001.11, forward strand.
TGGCATGACCTCAGATCACTGCAACCTCTGCCTCCTCCCGGGTTCAAGCAATTCTCATGCCTCAGCCTCTCAAGCAGCTGGGATTGCAGGCACCCACCACCACACCCGGTTAATTTTTGTATTTTTAGCAGAGATAGAGTTTCGCCATGTTAGCCAGGTTGGTCTTGAACTCCTGACTTGAAATGATCCACCGCCTGGGCCTCCCAAAGTGCTGGGATTAAAGGTGTGAGCCACTGCACCTGGCCTCATAGAACTGTTAAAAAAGATGAAAGATGGCCGGGCGTGGTGGCTCACACCTGTAATCCTAGCACTTTGGGAGGCCAAGGGGGTTGGATCACCTGAAATCAGGAGTTCGAGACCAGCCTGGCCAATATGGTGAAACCCCCGTCTCTACTATAAATACAAAAATTCGCTGGGTGTCGTGGCTGGCACCTGTAATACCAGCTACTTGGGAGGCTGAGGCAGGAGAATTGCTTGAACTCGGGAGGTTGAAGTGAGCCGAGATCACGCCATTGCAGGCTGAGGGAGACTCTCACAAAGAAAAACAAAACATGAAAGACTAGACTGGAGGGGAAATCAAGATTCTTTCTAATATGAGATGTCAAGCATGTGCTCTGGAGCTCAAAGGGGAGGTGTGTTCTACTGGTAGAATTTTCATAATTGTCAGTATTTGGTAGACAACATTTAAAGTTTGGGAATAGGTGAAATCCAAGGAGAACATAAAGATGGAAAAGTTGGCCAAGCGCGGTGGCTCACACTTGTAATCCCAGCACTTTGAGAGTCTGAGGCAGGCGGATCACAAGTTCGAGACCAGCCCGACCAACATGGTGAAACCCTGTCTCTGCTAAAAATACAAAAACTAGCCGGGTGTGGTGGTGCATGCCTGTAATCCCAGCTACTCAGAAGGCTGAGGCAGGAGAATCGCTTGAAACCGGGAGGCGGAGGTTGCAGTGAGCCAAGATCACGCCACCACTGCACTCCAGCCTGGGCAACAGAGCGAGACGCCGTCTTAAAAAAAAAAAAAAAAAAAAAAAAGGAAAGTTTCCAAGTCTTGTTTATTTCATTACTTCTTTTCCACCTGTTACTTTCGACTCTTCAAGGTCAAATTACTCTCTAACTTAAAAAACTAATTTTTTAGGCACTACTAGTCTCTTTCCACCATCTGCCTCAGCCTCTCCTACTGGTTGCCACTCTCTGTTCCTAGACTTAGGTTGTAATTATATCACTACCCTGCTCAAAAAGTTCTGATTTCCCACCAACAATACGACAGGATTTAAATTCCTCAGTCTAAGAGACAAGAAATAAGCCTTTCCCCCACCCCTCAAAAACCAGTCTAAAAAGTCTCCTTTAATACTCTGTCTGGAAGTAATCCCTGCCTCTGAAAATGAAATCTTCAAACACTTTTTTTTTTTAGACGGAGTCTTCTGTCACCCAGGCTGGAGTGCAGTGGCACCCACTGCAACCTCCATCCCCCAGTGGCACCCACTGCAACCTCCATCCCCCAGGAGAATCAAGCAATTCTCCTGTCTCAGCCTCCCAAGTAGCTGGGACTACAGGCGCCCACCACCACACCCGGCTAATTTTTGTATTTTTAGTAGAGACGGGGTTTCACCATATTGGTCAGGTTAGTCTTGAACTCCTGACCTCAGGTGATCCGCCCGCCTCGGCCTCCCAAAGTGCTGGGATTACAGGTGTGAGCCACCGCGCTCGGCCTCAAAGTACTTTAATTGTGCCTATTAAGCCACTAATACTCACTTCTTCCAGGACACACACAGCATGTATCTAGCATGGTACCATGCATATGGTAAGGATTCAAAAGTTTAATAAATTTTTATGAATTATAATAAAGCAAGGATGCAGAGAAATTAGAAACCTAATGTATTGCTGGTAGAAATGTAAAATGGTGCAGCTACTGTGAATAACTGATTAAACACTGAGGCACCATATGACCTAATAATTCTACTTCTAGGTATATATCCAAGAGAAATAAAAACATGTCCACACAACACTTGTACATGAACGTTCACAGCAGCCTTATTCACAATAGCTACAAAGCAGAAACAACTGAAATGTCTATCAACAGATGAATGAACAAAATACTGTATATTCACACCACAGGCTATTATTCAGCTATAAAAAGGAAATGAAGTACTGATATAAGCTACAACATGGATGAACCATGAAAATATTACGTTAAATGAAAGAAGGCAGACACAAAAACTGTAAGTTGTATTATTCCACTTATATGAAACATCCAGTCTCACAGAGCTAAAAACAGATCAGTGATTACCAGGGACTGGGAAGAGGAGGGAATGGGGTGTGACTGCTTAATATAGATGAAAATTTAGTTTGGGGTAAGAAAAGGTTCTGGAACTACATAGTGGTGATGGTTGCACAACGCTGAGAATGTACTTCATGCCATGGAATTGCACACTTTTTTAATTGCTTATGATGGTAAATCTTGTATTTTCCCATAACTAAAAAAATTATAATAAAGCAGTCAATGTTAATATTAAATACAAACACTGCCCTACATCACCCATTCTTTTTCAGATTACATAAGTACTTTTGCTCCCTCTCTACAAACTCCTTGTATCTGAATACTTGATCCAACCATTCATTCATAAACATCTGTCAAATATTTTATCTCTTCAAAACCTCCAACTTATCGGGCACCTCATATGTCAGGCGCACTATTCGGTACTTCACAACATGACCTAATTTTATATTTTATAATTAAGTTTATACTGCTAGGAGAGCACCTCCCCGGCCAAGAGTCTTATCTCAATTACCTCTACTTCAGGCTCCTTTTACCTAGATACAACACTACCAGTGCTCTTGGCTTCAACCACTCATTTTCTCCAGAGTCCAGTAGCATCATCAATTTATTCCTTCTGGTAACTTCAACTTCTATTTACACTGAGTCCACTTAACAAAAAACTGTATCCAATTCTCCAAATTAAAACAAACCCCCTTCCTAGAGCCTGTATCTTGCTCCAGGTATATCCTTTATGTGCTTTACTCTCCAGTTCTTTGAGACAGAGTCTCATTGTCGCCCAGGCTGGAGTACAATGGCTCAATCTTGGCTCACTGCAACCCCCACCTCCTGGGTTCAAACAATTCTTGTGCCTCAGCCTCCCGAACAGCTGAGATTACAGGCATGTGTGACCTGTATTTTGTATTTTTAGTAGAGACGGAGTTTCACCATGTTGGCCAGGCTGGTCTCCAACTCCTGGCCTCAAGTGATCCACTTGCCTTGGCCTCCAAGAGTGCTGGGATTACAGGTGTGAGCCACGCCTGCCCTCTAGTCTTAACAAAAATCTATACAGAATAGTGTACCCTTATTGTCTTTATTTCCTCACTCACCCATTTATTCCTCAACCCACAGAAAATTACCTTTCTCCCACAGCTCTGACTGGTACCCCTCTATTTTCAAAATATTCCCATTAAGTTAATCTAACTAGTATATGATAGGCATAAATAAGTTTGCAGAGAAATGGTTGATGAATGACAGTTTAGAAAAGATATGCGCTGAAATAAGAATGAATATATTTATAGTATTCAAAATTCTGTAGGAATATTTATGAAATTTTTTAAGTACCTAATAAATTAAATTGCACACTTAAAAACAGAACACCTAGCCAGGTGCAGTGGCTCACGCCTGTCATCTCAGCACTCTGGGAGGCTGAGGCAGGCGGATAACTTGAGGTCAGGGGTTCAAGGCCATCCTGGCCAACATGGTGAAACCTCATCTCTACTAAAAATACAAGAATTAGCCGGGCATGATGGCACACACCTGTAATCCTAGCTAGTTGGGCTGTTGAGGCACAAGAACTGCTTGAACCCGGGAAGTGGCAGAGGTTGCAGTGAGCCGAGATCACACCACTGCACTCCAGCCTGGGCAACAGAGCAAGACTCTGTCTCAAAAACAAAAACAAAACAAAAAAACCAAAACAGAACACCTGCATCTACATATTAGGCTGAACAAATGTTCTTGAGGATGTTAATGGCCGATGTAATGCCCTAAACTTGAAAAACTTCACCAGCCTAGGCAAAATAGGGAGACCCTGTATCTACAAAAAATTTAAAACTTAGCCAGGCATGGTGGTGGGCGCCTACTTGGGAGGCTGAGGTGAGACAATCACCTCACCTTGAGCCCAGGAATTCAAGGTTGCAGTAGGCTATGACTGTACTACTGCGCTCCAGTCTGGGTGACAGTGAGACTGTGTCTAAAAAAATAAAAATTAAAAGCTTCACTTAATTTCAATACATTCTCCATCTGTCATTGATACACCATTTTAATTCTGTCAAAAGCATAATTTTGAGCACATCTTCAACCATGAAATAGTTTCCATTCTATCTATACTATATAAAACAATTAAAAAGCATTGTCCTCTCTGTAACACCATTTAAGTTTGGCTCAAATACAGAGATTATTCTTTCTTTTTTTGGAGACAGGGTCTCACTCTGTTGCCCAGACTAGAGTACATTGGCACAATCATAGTTCACCATAGCTTTAAGCTCCTGAGTTTAAGCAATCCTCTTGCTTTAGCCTCCCAAGTAGCTGAGACAATAGGCGCATGCCACCAACAGTGGTGCTAGAGATGGAGGTCTCACTATGTTGCTCAGGTTGGTGTCAAACTCCTGGCCTCAAGGGGCCCTTCTGCCTCAGCCTCCCAAAGTGCTAGAATTGTAGGTGTGAGCCACTGTGGCCAGCCCAGGGATTTAATAGCTCTATGGGAAAATCTAAAAGTATGCAGCATCTGACTTTTGACCAGCCTTGTTTAATTTTGGCTCCATAAACAAAGTGACTTTAAGTAAAAGAATAACAGACATAGTTTAGTCATTTGAAAGTCTTCTTCGGGGTAAAGGCTTTTGGGTATGACCCCCCCTCCAACCCCCTGCCAAAATTGAGAAAATGACTAAGTAACATGATTTCATAAACTAATTGGATAGTTTACAATCTGTGTATTCCACAAAATAGAAAAAGAATGTAGTTCTCAGCTAAGGGATCATTAAAAATAATTTTTGATGGATTGTGAAGTGACTTTTAGTAAATACAAGGATTCAAAGAACTGAGTGGCACTGATCAAACAGTATGTAACATTCTTAGAACTTATATCCATAAAAATGAAAAACATAAGTTGGCACAAAACTGAACTCCTTTTTAGTATTTCCCTGTATCACTAGTTATCAATCTATCTTTATCTGTCTCCCACTGATCCCAAGCACACAGAACACTATCTGGAACATAGTAGATAAATATTTCCTGAATGAGTGTATTAATAAATGCTTTGGTGACTAGTAGGGCAGTACATCTTCAACTTCACAAGGTAATGTCATAATACTTCTGAACAACGTGTAACCAGTTTTCACCATCAGCAGCAGCATTTTAAGCGTTCCATCTGCTTTACATCTTCAACCAAACTACATATGGCCAGACTGGAGGTTATTCTTTGCTCTGCTGGTAGGTTTAACACGATCACCTACTGTGTGGTCTTTTAATCTATTTATCAGGTCTTTGTACTTCCCTTTTTATAGGATACCTATTCTTTTTACCATTCTTCTTTTGGTTGTTGATCTTATTAATGCAAGAGAATAAATCAGATACGAATCCTATGATTATATGAGTTGCAAATACCTTTTTCCACTTCATGGGTTATCTTTTGATTTTCTTTCCCATGTCTTGATGAGCACACGTTCTTAATTTAGATGCAATCAAAGCTGCTGGTCATTTCCTTTATGATTCACATTTCTGTGTCTTGTTTGTAACAGTTCTTCTCCAAGGTCCAAACAATTTACCTATATTGACTTCTTAGTTTTAAGTTTTGTCTTTCACATTTACAATCAGTTGGAAATGATTTGTATACGGTATGAGACCCAGGTCCAATTTCATTCTTTTCCATATGAAAAAAAAACTGTCCCAGAAGTATTCTTTTTCCACTGATTTATACAGCCAGCTCTATCATAAATTGTTTCTATATATGTATGCAACTGCTTCCAAATTTATGTTCCATTGGCTTATTTACATATTTCTACACTACTACCATATGTCTTTTTTTTTTTTTTTTTTTTTGTGAGATGGAGTCTCACTCTGTCACCCAGGCTGGAGTGCAGTGGTGTGATCTCGGCTCACTGCAAGCTCCGCCTCCCAGGTTCACGCCATTCTCCTGCCTCAGCCTCCCGAGTAGCTGGGACTACAGGCGCCCGCCACCACACCCAGCTAATTTTTTGTATTTTCACTAGAGACGGGGTTTCACTGTGTTAGCCAGGCTTGTCTCGAACTCCTGACCTCAAGTGATCCGCCCGCCTCAGCCTCCCAAAGTGCTGGGATTACAGGCGTGAGCCACCGCGCCCGGACTACCATATGTCTTAACTATCATACCTTTACAATAATATTCTGATATGTATTAGAGCAAGGCCATCTCCCCTCATAATATACCTATAAAATGCCTTAGCTATTCTTGGCTCTCTGGCTTTTTTTTTTTTTTTTTTTTGAGACAGTCTCACTCCATCACCTAGGCTGGAGTACAGTGGTGTGATCTCAGCTCACTGCAACCTCTGCCTCCCAGGTTCAAGCAAATCTCGTGCCTCACCTTCTCAAGTAGCTGGGATTACAGGCATGTGCCACCATGCCCAGCTAATTTTTGTATTTTTAGTAGACACGGGGTTTCACCATGTTGGCCAAGCTGGTCTTGAACTCCTGGCCTCAACTGATCCACCTGGGCCTCCCAAAATGCTGGGATTACAGGCTTGAGCCACCATGCCCAGCCTCTCTGACTCTTTAATATTAGTTTTAAAACAGGCCAGGCACGGTGGTACATGCCTGTAATTCCAGCACTTTGGGAGGCTGAGGTGGGAGAATTGCTTGAGCTCAGGAGTTTGAAATCAACCTCAGCATCATGGTGAAACCCCATCTCTACAACAAAGAAAATACAAAAATCAGCTGCATGTGGTGGCTTGCACCTGTAGTCCCAACTACTCAGGAGGCTGAGGTGGGAGAATTGCTTGAACCTGGGAAGCTGAGGCCGCAGTGAGCAGAGATGGCATCACTGCACTCCAGGCCTGGGTGACAGAGCGAGACTCTGTCTCTAATAATAATAAATAAATAAATAAATAAATAATTTTAAAAACAACTGTCAAATTTAAGGGGGAAAATATTGCTATGACATTGCTTGGAATGGCAATAAATCTAGATCAAAATGGGAGAACTGACATCTTCATAATAAATCTTCCAAATCATGAGCACGGTCAACTTCTTATTTAAGTCTTCTTTAACATCATCAAATAAAGTTCTAAACTTTTCTCCATAAAGATGCAATAATACCTTTTTAAAAAGATTTATTCAGGCTGGGTGCGGTGGCTCATGCCTGTAATCCCAGCACTTTGGGAGGCCAAGGCAGGCAAATCACGAGGTCAGGAGCTCGAGACCAGCCTGGCCAACACTATGAAACCATGTCTCTACTAAAAATAAAAAAATTAGCTGGGCATGGTGGCCAGGCGCTTGTAGTCCCAACTACTCGGGAGGCTGAGGCAGGAGAATCACTTGAATCCGGGAGGCGGAGGTTGCAGTGAGCTGAGATTGTGCCACTGCATTCCAGCCCAGGCGACAAAAAAAAAAAAAAAAGGATTTATTCTTAGGTACCTTTATATATATTTTTTGATGCTATTGCATTATTTCCTTTAAATGGCTGTTTACTGCTGGCATAAATTATATCCAGCAACCTTGCTAAACTCTCATTAATTCTAATAATTTGTCTATAGATTCCACAAATAATGAGAGACAGAAGAACTCTTTTTATACACATGTTAACTTTTAGGTGCCTACCAGACATCGAAGTGGAGATGTTAAGTAGATAGCTGGATAAGAGTCTGCAGTTCATGACAGAAATACAGACTGTAGACCAATTTTATTTAAATCCATGGACCCAGATGAGATCATCAACAAAGTGAACGTAAAAAGAGATGGAACCTTGACATACAGCTTTAAAGATTGGGGAGACTGAGGAAAAAAACCATCAAAGTGTGGGGACCCAGAAGCTAAGCAGAAACATGTTTCAAGAAGGTAGAGTGACCATTTTCAAATGTTATTAAATAGGATAAAAAGCTGAGAACTCATCACTGGATTCACATGGAAGTGTCAGTGATGATGTTGGATAGGGGAGGTGGTGAAAGCCTGATTCCAGTGAGTTCAAGAGGGAAGGAACTGGAGACTAAAAGTATAGACAACTCTTTTGAGAAGTGTTGCTGCACAACAGAGAAAAGGAGCATGTAGGCTAAAAGGGGATGTGTGGTCAAAATAAGTTTTTTACTGCACTGATAGGAATAACCCAGTAGAAAAAGAAAACGATGCAGCTGATACAGAAAACTGCTGAAATATCCTTCAGCAGTTCAGAGGGGTGAGATGGGATGTACCAGTGAAGACTGGCCTTCAGCAGGCTCATGAATACATAGGTGGGAAAGCAGAACACGTGGGTACTAATGCAATGAGAGCTTGGAAGGTCTACCCTGATTGCTTCTATCTTCTCAACTAAGTAGACAGCAAGACCTTCAGCTAAAAGTATGGGTAGGTGCAGAGGAGTTGAGGGGTGTGAGAAGAATTAAAGCGTGAAACTGAAGAATGAACTACAGAGATACAGCAGAGCTTCCCAGCAGAGTAAGGGCCCACACTTGTAAGCTACCATGACTTTTGACTCCCTGAAGTCTCTTGCTCTTCTCACTGACCCATACCCAATTCCCCAAATGCCAATCTAAGTTAAGATCCCAGTTCTTGCTTACTTTGCTTGTCACCCATGAAGCTGACTGTGGTTGAAAGATACACAACCATGCTTTTAAATATTTGTTTTCGGCTGGGCGCGGTGGCTCACGCCTGTAATCCCAGCACTTTGGGAGGCCAATGCAGGCGGATCACAAGGTCAGGAGTTCAAGACCAACCTGACCAATATGGTGAAACCCCATCTCTACTAAAAATACAAAAAAATTAGCCAGGCGTAATGGCACATGCCTGTAATCCCAGCTAGTCGGGAGGTTGAGGCAGAATTGCTTGAATCCGGGAGACAGAGGTTGCACTGAGCCAAGATCACGCCACTGCACTCCAGGCCAGGCAACAGAGCAAGACTCCGTCTCAAACAAACAAACAAAAAAAATTGTTTTCTACAACAAAGAACCCTAATCAATATACTCTCAAAAGTCAATGAAAGCCAGGCACGGTGGCCCAGGCTTGTAATTCCAGCTACTCAAGAGGCTAAATCACGAGAATCTCTTGAACACGGGAGCGGGAGGCTGCAGTGAGCCGAGATTGTGCCATTGCACTCCAGCCTGTGTGAAAGAGTGAAATTGTCAAAAAAAAGAAAAAGTCAATAACCTGTGAATCCCCAACTTCAATGGCTTACACTGTTTACATGTTCCTTAGCAAAACCCATCTTAAATCCCCTGATTTCCATGACATTACATCATTAGACCAGCAGTTCTCAAACCTGGATTACATCAAGCTAAAAAAATTCAAAAGATGTTTTAAGGACTGACACAGGATTGCCTATTTTATTTGGATAAGTAGAAGATTAAAAATTTTAATATCACAATTTCATTAAAGACAGTATGTCATAAAAGACAAATCTTGGAAAAAGGAACAACTCACCTTAAAAAAAAGTTAACAATCTTACATTGATAATATTCACAAAGGGCTGAAGTCTTTGTCAGAGAGCAGCAATGAGTGACAACCACTGTATTAACATATCCTGATCTTCTCCCTACCCTGTGATTACAGATGGTCCCTAACTTAGGACGATAGTTCAATTTAAGATTGTTCAACTTTACAATATTGTGAGGTGAGAAAGCAACTCAACAGAAACCATACTTTGAATTGTGATCTTTGCCCAGGCTAGCAATACGCAGTACAATATTTTCGTGTGATGCTGGGCAGTGCCAGCAAGCCATAGCTCCCAGTCAGTCACAAGGGTTAGACAACAGTAAACACCTGATACTGTACAGGGTATGTGTTGCCAGATGATTCTGCCCAACAGCAAGCTCATGTAAGCATTCTGAAAACGTGTAAGGTAGGCTAGGCTAAGCTATGATGCTTCGTAGGTTAGGCATATTAAGTGCATTTTCAACTTAACATTATTTTCAAATTACAAATGGGTTTATCCAGATGTAAGTCAAGGAGTAGCTGTACTTTTTTCGGACTCTTCCTTTCTCTTGTCAATGTAATGGTTCTTTAAATGCTTCCATGTAGTCCTTTTCTTGTTTTTCTGTGCTCTTCATTATCTCATCAATTTTCAAGACTTCAGGTCTCCAAGTGAGTGACTTAAACTCTTGCTTCATTGGGAGGCCGAGGTGGGCAGATCACAAGGTCAAGAGATCAAGACCATTCTGGCTAACATGGTGAAATCCCGTCTCTACTAAAAATACAAAAATTAGCTGGGCGTGGAGGTGCATGCCTGTAGTCCCAGCTACTTGGGAGGCTGAGGCAGGAGAATCGCTTGAACCCAGGAGGCGGAGGTTGCAGTGAGCCGAGATCGAGCCACTGCACTCCAGCCTGGCAACAGAGCGAGACTCTGTCTCAAAAAAAATAAAAATAAATAAATAAAAATAAAAAAATAAAAAATTCTTGCTTCATGGGCCCATTACAATGCATTACACTTACCTTTTTATGTATTTATCTCCCTTACAAATGGGACACACTTGGTAGGGATTAATAGCAAAGGTGATTATCTCTATCTTTTTATAGACGGGGTCTATTTAGTGGGTGCCCAATAAATGGTAATTTTTTAAAGGTGTTGACAATTCTATAAATTAGTATCCCCTTCATCTTAACTGTTCTTTTTTGAGACAGGGTCTCACTCTGTTGCCTAGGCTGGAGTGCAGTGGCACGATTACGGCTCATTACAGTTGACCTCCCAGGCTCGAGTGATCCTCCCAGCTCAGCTTCCCAAGTAGCAAGGACTACAGGCACCTATCACCATGCCTGGCTATATTTTGTAATTTTTGTAGAGACAGGGTCTTGGCCATGTTGCCCAGGCTGGTCTCAAACTCCTGGAGTCAAGCAATCCACCAGCCTCGGCCTCCCAAAGTGCTAGGATTACAGGCATGAGCCACTGTACCCAGCCTTCTTACTGTTCTTAAGAGCTATCCTTGAGCATTCCTTATTCCTTAAACTGCAGATCCTAAGACTATAGTATGTTTATCTTTAAATATTCACTAACCCTAATATTTCTTTTCAAAATCTCATGATTTGAAAACCACACAGGTTTAAGGGACTTCCTTCAAAGGACTGTATAACCTTACAGTAGTCTATATACTCATTTTCTATCTGTACATAGTTTCCCTCCTAAGTCCTCAACAAGGAGAACTCAAGGGTTATTAGTGCCTTGCTTCTTTTATTTCTAATTCTTAACAGAAAAGAGCCCAAAGCCATTTTCTACTTTAGTACTACTTATTTTATCTCCAGAAGAGAAAAATTCCTATTTAAGATTTTCTGAAGAATATGAAATTTGAGCAAGTCTTTCAATGAACCAAAAGGGGACATAAGATACCTTAAGATTTTTTTTCCCATACAGCATTTCTGTCTATTAAGAAAATACTTGGGGCTGAGCACAGTGGCTCATGCCTGTAATTCCAGCACTTTTGGAGGCCAGGGTGAGCAGACTGCTTGAGCCCAGGAGTTTAAGACAAACCTGGGAAACAGGGCAAGACCCCATCTCTACAAAAAAACACAAAAAAATTAGCCAGCTTTGGGAGGCCGAGGTGGGAGGATCACCTGAGGTCAGGAGATCAAGACCATCCTGGCTAACATGGTGAAACCCTTTCTCTACTAAAAATACAAAAAATTAGCCGGGCTTGGTGGCAGGCACCTGTAATCCCAGCTGCTCGGGAGGCTGAGGCAGGAGAATAGCTTGAACTCGGGAGGCAGAGGTTGCAGTGAGCCGAGACTGCACCACTGCATTCCAGCCTGGGCAACAAGAGCGAAACTCTGTCTCAAAAAAAAAAAAAAAAAAAAAAATTAGGCATGGTGGCACATGCCTGTAGTCCCAGCTACTTGGGAAGCTGAAGTGGGAGGATCCCTTGAATCCAGGAGGTCTAAGCTGCAGTGAGCCATGATTGTGCCACTGCACTCCAGCCTGGGTGACACAGAGAGACCCTGTCTCAAAACAGCAACAACAACAACAAAGTACTTCGCCAGGAACGGTGGCTCATGCCTGTAATCCCAATACTTTGGGAGGCCGAAGAGGGAGGATCACTTGAGCCCAGGAGTTTGCCATCAACCTGAGCCACATGGTAAGATCTCTACCAAAAAAAAACAAAACAAAGCTAAAAAAAAAAGGGCCAGTGCAGTGGCTCACGCCTGTAATCCCAGCACTTTGGGAGGCTGAGGCAGGTGGATCACTTCAGGTCAGGAGTTTGAGACCAGCTTGGCCAATGTGGTGAAACCCCATCTCTACTAAAAATACAAAAATTAGCCACGCATGGTGGCGCATGCCTGTAGTCCCAGCTACTCGGGAGACTAAGGCAGGAGAACTGCTTGAACCTAGGAGGCGGAGGTTGCAGTGAGTGAGCTGAGATTGCGCCACTGCACTCCAGCCTGGGTGACAGAGGAAGATTCGTCTCAGGAAAAAAAAAAAAAAAAAAAGAATTTTAGCCAGGCATAGTGGTGTTGTAGTCCCAACTACTTGGAAGGCTGGGGTGGGAGCCTGGGAAGTCAAGACTACAGTGAGCTGTGATGATCATGCCACTACACTCCAGCCTGTGCTACAGTGTGAGACCCTGTTTCACAACAGCAAAAACAAAGAGAAAGTACCTAATACTATGGTGATTAACATGGATATGTAAAGTCTATTATGGAGTCTAATAAACAAAATCCCTGTAGTGGCTAGGAAAAGAAAAAAATATAAACAAACAAAAATTGTATTTCTATCACAAATTCAACGACAACAATGGGATTTCTGTACCCATAAGAGGTGCATGAGAGAAATCATGTGAAGTGCTATGACATAATATAAAGCACAATATAAAACATTATCTCGAATTATTCACTAATTCATACTCTTAAAACCTGAATCAAATCATGAGACTATTTTACACCTATCAAACTGGCAAAAGAAATTCTGACACTACAAAGTGTTAATGAAGATGAGGCACAAACAAAGAATTCTCATATATTGCTGATTAGAGTGAACACTGGCACACAACCACTTTGGAAACTGGCAAACAAGTTGTAAAACCTCTATGACCCATTAATCCTAATCACCCATGACCACAAGAAATTCTGATAACATCCTACAACATGGATGAACCTTCATCCATTATGCTACATGAAAGAAGCCAGACACAAAAGACCACATGGTATACTTATATGAAACATCCAGAATAGGCAAATCCAGAGAGAGAGAAAGTAGATTAGTGGTCGTCTAGAGCTAGAGAGGAATGAAGAATGACTGGTAATGGTTACAGTTTATTTTGGGATGATGAAAATGTTCTACAATTAGTAGCAATGGTTGTACAAATGCGAATATACTAAAAACCACTAAATCGAACACTTTAAATATGTGTATTTTGTTATATAAATTACAGCTCAATGAAGCTATTCTCCCAAAAATTAAGACCAACGATTGATACGGGACTGGGAAATCCTTCGCCACCAAGGTAACACCATGCAAATTAGTTTCTTGTTCTAAGGGGAAAGATTGTTTAATATATAGATAGGACTACCTTAATAAAGAACCAATCTTAGCATTACAATGTCTTTTGTGATACAATGCAAAATGAGGAATTGCTATGCTGTATTTTAGTCAACAATGTTTAAAGGTGAATCCATCAATCTGTCAGCTATAAACTTTAGAGAAAAATACAGGAATTAAAAAAAGAACAAGCTAAATAATACCATAAGGATGCAATCATACCAAACCACTCCAGGTTAAGTGACACAGTCTCAAAATCAGTGTCACTGAAAAATAAAGACTATACTGCACTAAAAAGATATAGATAAAGTAAACATTTGCAACAAGGTCCTGAATCAGATAATGGCTTGGATAGCTAGCTGTAATAAACATTTTTTGGATCAGCTGGAGAAATTTGAATAGCACCTGGGTATTAGAAGAAATGATCATTTACTCACATGGAAAGTGGGTATCACCAACTAAAAAAAGCAAGTTGATCTCATTTAGTAAAATAAAAATAGAAACCTAAACATATGCACTTAGACTACAATCTGGAAAAAAATGCACGGAGTTGTGAACAGTAGTAACTCCTGTGTGATGGGAATGCCAAGGCTTTATTTTTGCATATCTATATAGTCTAATATTCTACATTACCCTTACATTGCTTCTGTAATAATAAAAAGAAAGAATGACACGGAGAGTTTTAATAAACCACTGATGTCCAGGCCTTACCCCAGATAAATTTTAAAAGGTTGAGAACTATCACTTTTGAGAATTGGGGCAGATAAAAGGGAAAATTGTCTGACAAGTTTAAAAAGGAATTTATCAGAAGAACCCTGGGAATTCAGAGGACGAAGCAGAGGCTCCCTTGACTTGGCAAACACGAAAAACCAAAGGAAGCTAAGCATTCAAAACCCCTGCCAAGGTCATGCCACAGGAAGAGCCTGCTTAGGAAACTGCTCCAGCTAGTAATGCCACCACCAACAGCCACTGGAATGAACTCCAAACGGTCCTTGCATCTTTGCATCTCTCACTTCTGGTGCAAGTCCCCAAAGTAAAGGGCATCTGACTGGCACAGTTTGGGTAACATGACCCAGCTCTAGCTGCCAGGGGTCCAGCACAGAAAGTTTATCTATATGGTATGTGTATGTGTGCACCCAACCTTTCCAGCATCCTCTCCCAATAAGATTCACAAAAAAGCAATACTGGAAGGGGGCTAAAATGGTAAACAGACAAAAGAAACAACAAAGAACCATTTTAAAGCCCAATTAGTAAAATGTCCAACACAGGAATCCTGCCAGTCTAGCCATTTGGAATCAACTTGAATTACTGTGCCTTCTTCTACTTCATTGTTCCAAAAAAATTTCCTAAAAAGTAATTTTAGGCAAGGCACAGTGGCTCATGCCTGTAATCCCATCATGTGGGGAGGTAAAGATGGGAGGAATTGCTTGAGTCCAGAAGTTCAAGAGCAGCCTGGACAACAGTGAGAGACTCTTATCTATACAAAAAAAAAAAAAAAAAAAAATTAGCCAGGCATGCTGGCACACACTTGTATTCCCAGCAGGGCGGGGGGTGGGGGCCCAGGATGAAGCTGAGGTGGGAGGATCACTTGAGCCTAGGAGGTCAAAGCTGCAGTGAGCTATGAACATGCCACTGCACTCCAATCTGAGCAACAGAGCAAGACCCTGTCTCTACAAAATAAATAAACTTTTATCAGTTTCAGCAGCACCAAAAGGCTCTATTTCCCTATGATTACAAGTAAACAGGCTATTTGTAACATTTTCAAAACTATAGTTTTTTTAAACAAATGAGTGATTTAATAGTAGTGACTAACAGATTGAGACACGCTTTTTTTTTTTTTTTTTTCTTGAGACAGAGTCTCGCTGTGTCACCTAGGCTGGAGTTCAATGGCACAGTCTTGGCTCACTGCAACCACCACCTCCCAGGTTCCAGTGATTCTAGTGCCTCAGCCTCCAGAGCAGCTGGGATTACAGACATTCACCACCATGCCCGGCTAATTTTTGTATTTTTAGTAGAGACAGGGTTTCACCATGTTGACCAGCCTGGTCTTAAACTCCTGGCCTCATGTGATCCGCCTGCCTCAGCCTCCCAAAGTGCTGGCATTACAGTTGTGAGCCACCATGACCAGCTGAGACATACTTTTTTTTTTTAAAAAGAATCATTTAAAAGCATCTCTAAAAATCTCTTCTTAGATGAGCTTCACTTCCAATGCAAATATTAATTTTTAAGTTAGAATAGCAAATTCTGGACCTAGATGGCTCTGTCACACACTAGCTGTGTGACTTTGAATAAGTTATTTCACCCCTTTTTGTCCCAAATACCTACCTAATTTGGAGACTCTTGAATTGTTGATTAAATGAGTGAATGTATATAAAGTGTTAAGAGTAATGCCTGGATGTTGTTCCCTGCAAAAAGAAAAAAGAATAGTGCCTAGCCTACAGTGAGTATACCATAAGTGCAAATAATAAAATGCCTAATAGTTGGAGGGTAGAAAATAGGGAAAAAAATTCAGTTTTGAGAAATTTTCAGATTGAATATGCTGAGACAACTATTCATTAGTAACCAAAACCAGGAAACAAGAACACTGAAAACCCATGATACTTGGCTCAATTTTATAACAGAATAAATATACAAGTAGGAAAAAAAAAAGGCAGGAAAGAAACTACCTGGAACAGTTAATACTGAATTGGGCACCAAAGCAAACCAAACACTCCACTTTACTTAGCATCTCAAACGAGAGTAAATAAACCATAAAGTTATTCTATGTTGCCCAACAGAGAAATTGCAAGAAAATGATACAGATGAGAACCACTGAACAAACCAGAAAATAAAAATCCCCAAATACACAGAATCACCTAACAAATTTAGTCTTCTCAGTCTTCTCTATCTCCAAATCAAATCTCAATCTAAGCCTCTATATCCAACTACCAATTTACAAGGAATCAAGAAAATCTAGAATGTGGGAAACTGCAGGACAAATGACCTGGTTTCTTCAACAAAGTACAAGGAAAAAAACTGAGGAGAAATATGCAAATTAAGGCATTTAAAATGGCAGCCAATTGCAGTTTGTGGGACCTAGATCCTGATTCAAATAAATTACAAAGGTCAACAGAAAAGTAGTACCTAAGAAAGAAAAACACCCCTCCGTGTGCAACTCATCTGTGCAGATTTCACTGAATTTCACTGGATTGGTGTGTTAAAGGATGTTCATTAAAGACAACTTCTCTAATAATCATGAAGTTCTTACCGTCAGACATTATTTTAAGAATTATACAAATATTATTTATTACAACAACCCTAGGAGAAGGTACTATTATTGTTCCTATTTAACAGATGAAGAAACAGGCAAACAGTCTCATTTAAATAATTCACTCAAAGTCACAAAGCTGTAAGCAGCAAAGCTGAGATTCGAACCCAAATGGTCTGGCTACAAAGCCAACCACTGATTACCATACTATGCCATTTCTCTGTGTGCTATGGTGGAAACTATGCTTTGGAATCACAGAAAGCGGCCCAAATCTCCATCTCTATGTTACCGAAATTACTTAACTTCTTGGAACCTCTGTATATCTCTTGTAGAAGGGTTAATATCTACTTCTTTAAATAGTAAGGAATAATAAGATTACATAATTGACTCTATTACAGCATCTGAGTTTATGAAGCCCACAATAAATGGTTCCTATTGCCCTTCCTGCCATACATGGTAAGACGAATTAAAAAGTAGAAAAATTTACTAACAGCACAAAAACTGGAAAAGCTCTACTTTCAAATTAACTAAACAGCCCCAAAACCAACTTTTCTATATACTTATAAACTTTAAAGATAGCAATAATTCAGACAATAACTTTTTTATATACCAAACTTTTAAACTTAAGCAGAAACAGAGTTTGCAAGCTCAATTTAAAGTATAGCTAAACTTAACCAAATGAGATTTTTCTGGGGGAAAAAACTTACTCCACACAAATAGACCTACTGCTCAGAAAAGGGTACTAAAACTTTGTTCATTCTGGTGATTCTCTAGGCTGACCTCTGGTTAACAAAAGGCAAAGTGGTTTTTATCTTAGAAAAGGAAGGTGAACTTAATGACTTTGTTAAAATCAACTCCTTTAAGAGTAATTGCTTTTTATGTTATCCTCCAACTATTAAGTATTATCTGTTAAACCGTAAAGTTCTTTGTTTTATGGTCATCTAGATACTCCCAATCCCTAGTTTCTTAACAAAAATAAATGATTGAGCTGTTTTAGCTGAAAAATGATTCAGCTAACAGATCAATTATTTGCCTTAGTAAAGAAAAATAATAGGCTCTTTTAAATGTTTGCCTAGCACGTTTGAAATCACCTATAAAAATTCAATTTACATAACATTAGAAATATATCTACCTCAGTTAAAGTATACCTGTGGACAAAAGTTCAGTTCCTCTTACTGAACTATTTTCCAAGTTTGATTATAGGCTGTTTGAGGCAGATTTCAGTGGGAAATAGGAAACACTAAGTCTGATTTAGAAGTAACTTGGGCAATTAGGTCTCTAACAGCACAACCACGTATTAAATTCCAGACAACAGCAACTACAGCCACTTAGGGGGTATGTTATTTTTCCCCTCATCTATCTGAACAACCATAAATACACCAAAATTTGCCTTTCCCATTAGTTTTTTTTTTTTTAGTTGGAATCCTTTAAAATTTTGTCTGCCTTTCATCTTTTAGACCAACAGTCTTACTTTCATGTTTAAAGGCAGTGACCATAACAGTCAAGTTAAACACAACAACTTAGATTGCCTAAATTTGAATATAGGCCTTTTTTTTTTTTTTTTTTTTTTTTTTTTGAGAGGGAGTCTCGCTCTGTCCCCAGGTTGGAGCGCAGATCTCGGCTCACTGGAAGCTCTGCCTTCCGGATTCATGCCATTCTCCAGCCTCAGCCTCCCGAGTAGCTGGCACTACAGGCGCCTACCACCACGCCCAGCTAATTTTTTGTATTTTTAGTAGAGACGGGGTTTCACAGTGTTAGCCAAGATGGTCTCCATCTCCTGACCTCGTGATCCGCCCGCCTCGGCCTCCCAAAGTGCTGGGATTACAGGCGTGAGCCACCGCGCCCGGCCTGAATATAGACTGTTACCTACCAGCTGGATGAATCTCTGGACTCCTTTTCCTCAACTACAAAATAGGGTATAAAACAGTATCTACTTAGACCTGGCGCTGTGGCTCACGCCTGTAATCCCAACACTTTGGGAGGCCAAAGTGAGCAGATTGCTTGAGTCCCTGAGTTCGAGACCATTGCTTGAGTCCCTGAGTTCGAGACCAGCTTGGCAATAGGATGAACCCTCCCCCTCCTCTCTAATAAAATACAAAAAAAAAAAAAAAAAAAAATTAGCTGGGTGCGGTGGCACGCACCTGTCGTCCCAGCTACTAGGGAGGTTGAGGTGGGAGGACTGCTTAAGCCTGAGAGGTGGAGGCTGCAGTGAGCTGAAATCATGCCACCGCACTCCAATCTGGGTGACAGAGTGAGACCCCGTATCAAAAACAAAACAAAACAAATAAACCAGTATACTTATAAAAGTAAACAACAAGCCGGGCGGGGGCGGTGGCTCATGACTATAATCCCAGCACTTTGGGAGGCCAAGGCAGGCGGATCACCTGAGGTCAGGAGTTCAAGACCAGCCTGGCCAACATGGTGAAACCCATCTCTACTAAAAATACAAAAAATTAGCCAGGCGTAGTGGTGAGCCCCTGTAATACCAGCTACTCGGGAGGCTGAGACAGGTGAATCGCTTGAACCCAGGAGGCGGAGGTTGCAGTGAACAGAAATCAAGCCACCGCACTCCAGCCTGGGCAACAAGAGCGAAACTCCGTCTCAAAAAAAAAAAAAAAAAAAGAAAAAGAAAAGAAAAGAAGGAAAAAAAAGTAAGTAACAAATACAAAGCACTTTAAACAGCAGTCAGTCCCTGGCACATCAGAGTTATAGCCATAAAATAAAGATATGCAATCTTCTGAAGTATGATTCACGATTGTGTCTTATCTTTAACTCAAAATTAAAAATGAATTACAAGCAGAAATGTGCACCAGATTTCTTATCATTCTAAATTTAAATGGTTGAATGTGTCCTCCTCAGCTAAGCATTTTAACAGCCACTGATGAGCAATCTAGTAAATTGAATTCGCTCAAAATAAAGGTTTCCCCAAGAGTTCCCCCCACACCACAAATCAAGAGCTCTGATAAAGACACCATCCAGAATCAACTGAATGTTTATATTAACATGTACAAACCACTGAGTACCCCCCCAAAAAATCAATATCTCACTCCAGTTTAGTAGTTAACAGTGACAAAACACAAAGCAACTAGCTTGTAATTTCTATTAAAAACTTTAAATATTTTTCCTGTAAAACCACCAAAATAATTTAACAACAACAACAAAAAATCCTAGGGGTATTAACAAAAACCAACTTTTGTATTTGAAAAAACGTCAAAAGGTACATTGAAAACTGACTCCCTAGGAAAGATGAGTTTATTTTACTATTAATTTCAAAGTTCTCATTCACAATTAGCATTTCACTCTTTTATCTTTTAAATAGATACAGGCTTCAGCACCTTTCCAAATATTGAAATTTATTGGTTTTGGTTTCCAATCTATGACTTTTTGTTTAAACTTCTGGATCTATCGATTAAAAAAAAAAAGCAAACAAAAGACAGTCTCTTGTTCAAAAGGGCACGACAATCAGGTACTCCATACCTAAAGTATGTTTTCACTTGTTAAAATGTCTTACACTATTCTAGTAAATATCTCAAACTTAATAGCACCCTAATTTCCTTTCAAATATTGGATAAAAAAGACCTTAGAAAAGATCAGCAGTCTACTAAATTACAAATATAAGTCTAATGAGGAGTGACTACCAATCACTTTACTTTTGGATAAGATTTACACAAGAACACGACTTACTACTAAACTAAAACATGAACCACTATTATTAACTGTATTTTTCTGGTAAGCAATAAATGTCAATGTTAAAAATATTTCAACAAATATGACAAGCCAACTTCAGAGCACGAAGTTGGCAGATAAAATTGACACCACAGCACAATTTCAAAACTATAAGCAACTATTAAACACACACACCACCGCACCGCACCCATTCTTATGTAAACTTTTGGAATAGTCAACTTTGTGAGCCTCACCTTTGTTTTCACCCAGCATAAGGAGAGTTAAAGGTGAGACACCAACTGCAAAAAACCAAAATATCAAAAGATTCAGTTAATGTCCCCACAGGGGAAAGGACTAAAATCTTTAAACGTTAATGTATTTAAGTAATCGAAGGGCAGGGCACTTCCCCAAGCTACAGCCATTTTGGATTCAGACTGTCTTTCGAATTTCACGGGTTGGGGAGAACTAGATTTAAAACAACAGAAAAAAAATAACACTTAAAACATTTCAGGATCGACCAGCTTTCCCTGCCCCTCCAAGGAAAGGAGGTTGGTAGATATCGGATAGACTCAATCTAAGCGAAAACACCTCGCTACCACAGAGAACCGGAAAGCTGGGGGTTAAAACTTTTTTCCCCTCAGATATCCAACATTTGACTTACACTTTTTCCTCCTTAGGTTTTCCTTTGAAGGAAAACAAAAGCCCTTAGCTCTCATTTCAAGAAGGAAAGAAAAAAACCCGTAAGCCAAGTCACTCAACGAGCACCAAGCCGGATCGCCTGGAGAGGAGCCAAAGAGCCGCAGGTGAGCGTTCCGACCCGACGACCGAAGTTAAAGTAGGAGCGCTTTCGCGGAGCCCCGGCGACGCTCGCGTGCAAAGCTCCATGCACGGGGGAGGCGGGGGTGCCGCATCCGAACCACTTGACCCGTGGGCTCCGCTCGCCCCTCTCGGGTCGGACCTATACCCAACCACCTGTGTGAGAGCTTCTTTCAACTAGTTTTAACAGCCCGTTGGTTAGGCACCGGGCGGAGCCCCGCGCCAGAACGACTCCAGGATCTCCTACTGCCCCGTTTCCCAAACTCCCACTCACCGGGCAGCGGCGGAGCTATGGCCAGGGACTAGACGCTGCGTCTGAGGACGCGTCCCCAGCTTGTCGACCCGGCAGAGGCGGCTAGTCCACAACCATAACAAAGCTCTTCCCAAAATGGCTGCCCGGCCCACAAGGTCCAGGAGGGGCAGAGCGGGTGGAGGAGGAGGAGCGACCAGCAGCACGGCCCTCCCATCCCCCGTCCGACCCCGCCTTACACACGCCCACCTGAAGAAGCGCATGCGCAAGGGACTGCTCCGGCGACCCTCCCGGACGCCAGTTCCCTACGCTGCCAACGTTCGGCCTCCAGAACGGCGGTTATGCCCTGCCCCGCCC
The DNA here is from genome assembly GCF_000001405.40 of Homo sapiens. Lineage (NCBI taxonomy): Eukaryota > Metazoa > Chordata > Mammalia > Primates > Hominidae > Homo > Homo sapiens. Next base: position 45,686,745 of record NC_000001.11, read on the forward strand.
CCGGCTCCCTTCTTCGCCGCTTGAGGCGGCGCATGGTCACCTCTGCCCCCTACAGAATTGAATCCTCTGCCTTTCCTCGTGCCGCCTGAGGCACGGACAAGCCTAGTTTAGTACGCCCCTTCTAACCCCCTTGCCCACTTCCAGGGCCTGGGCGCGTATGAATGAGTGGGTGGGTATGCATGTGTGTATCCCTTTTTTCTTCACCCTCCCACAGCCCGCCCCTTGGCCAGTGCGCGTCCCGAAACTACCTCTACAAGGACTTGCAAACCGGTTTCGGAGGAACGTGTGTTTTCCGGCCCTTTCCCACCTTCCGCTCCTTACTTCTCGTGTGCGCGTCGTTGAGACTCCAGTCCCCAGCGGGCCACACGGCCTGGCCCCGGAGGCTGCGCGGCTGCGTCGGCCGCGCTACCCGCTGGGAGTAGTAGTTCCCCTGGAGCGCAGGCGTCACTCCCCCGCCCAAGCGAAGGGCGGGATTCCGGCGAGAGCCTGCGCTTGCGACAGTGCCGTTTCTCCTACCTGAAGTCTCATTGGGTATCGCACTACTGGAAGGGGCGGCGCTGCCATGACAGAGAAGGCAATAAAACTGAAGGCCTAGCTCGACTAAAAGCGCTTACTATTAAGGAAGACTTCGCTGTGGCTCCATCCGGCACGGAAAGCTAAACCGTGTAATGGCTGGCAACCAGGAAGCTAGACTACCTAGAATCCGGAGGATTGGAGGGACTGGCCGGCGTGGGCCCCTGAGATCTCCTACTACATGTCTTCAGTTTTATCCATAGACACGGAAGGGCACTAAAATTGCCTGGTGCCATTTCCTGTGAAACAAGTCTAGATAAGAGAAGGGACTTGCCCAAGGTCACATAGCCGAGAAATAAAGCCGAGGGCAGTAGGAGAAATGATCTGACTTTCCGAACCACCCCCAAGCCTAGGGCCCTTATCACCACACCTTTCATGGAAGTGAAAATCCTGCTCTTGTGCTCTTTAACCCTTAATGAAGTTTATAGGTCCCAGCAAAGAAAATGGATGTAAGAACTGGGCTTTTTTCCCCCTCTAAATGATAGTAAAGGGCCCTAATGCAGTGAGATGTGTCCCCATAGGCCTTATAAACCCTGTTTTGCAAAGTAAAACATAAGTCCCACAGATGGCAAGCAATTCAGGTCACACTGGGCCTAAAATCCCGTCTCTTACCTTCCTTCACCACCATCATTCTGAGATTGTTTCAGTACTTGCACTCTACTTACCCGAACTCTGTGGGCAGATTCTGCTGCCTGGGAGCCCTGGAATAGAACTTCAAGGACCGTTCAACATCTGGATTCAACTAGAAATTAAGAATGGCCCCCAAACAGAAAGCCGGGCCTAGGAACCAATTAGCGCAGGTCAAGTCCCTACCCGGACTCATTTTTTTTCAGCCCTCAGGAAGTAGGGGCCTCTCTGAATCCACTTGCCGGAAGTGCCTTTCCAGTGGACCTGGGCTGTTGTTGCGGTTGTTTTCCTTCTCTCCGTGCAACGCTGGCAAGTCTCAAAGTCGCCACAGGTGCAGGTTGGGATGGGAGGCACCAAGGGTTGGTAGTAAATTTGCGACGTTGGGATGGGAGGGCACCAAGGGTTGGTAGTAAATTGGAGACGCGGGCACTCTCGGGCAGGGTTTCCCGAAGACACTGGCGTCTAAACCCCGCCTTCCTTTCTCAGAGGTCAGTTTGAAGCTGGCAGTTTGCAGTCTTCCCACCAGGGCAATGGGAATATTGAGCTTTTTCATTTATATTAGGAGGATTAAGCTTTGAGTCTCAGTCCTTAATCCCGCATCACCTGCCGTCCCTGGACTTTTTAGGTTATCACTTTTTAATACCCACTAGTTGGAAAGCACGTGCCACAGAGGAAAGGGAGTTTCCAAAGATGGGGGGATGGTTGAGATTTTAAATGGAGTGGTCTGGAAAGTCCTTAAGAAGAAAGTGATTTTGAACAAAAGTGATGGGTACGCTCTGCGGGCATTTTGGTCTGGGGCTCAGGTGGGTGGGTGTGGGTGTGATCTAAATTCTACTCGGAGGCCCAGGATTACTTACCTCCCTACTTGCTTCCTTAAGTATAGTATGAAGACATTAACTGGTATACAGGATTTCTTGACCCAGCCCTAAGATCTGTGATCAATAAATTAGTTCAATCGATTTTTTTTTTTTTTTTTTGAGACGGAGCTTCGCACTGTCTCGTGGGCTGGAGTGCAATGGCGCGATCTCGGCTCACTGCAACCTCCGCCTCCCAGGTTCAAGCAATTCTCCTGCCTCAGCCTCCCGAGTAGCTGGGATTACAGGCGCCTGCCACCACGCCCAGCTAATTTTTTGTATTTTTAGTAGAGACGGGGGGGAGGTTCACTACGTTGGCCAGGCTGGTCTCGAACTCCTGACCTCGTGATCCACCCACCTCGGCCTCCCAAACTGCTGGGCTTACAGGAGCGAGTCACTGCGCCCTGCCCAATCGATTTTTTAAAATTAAGCAGCAACTGTAGGTTTTTTTAGACATCCCATTCTCTTGGTTAAGAATGAAATTGTCAGATCTAGATCCATATTATCATTCACCTGTTTTTACTGGCTGCTTACATTAGAGTTTTTAATCAGTCCCTCCTGTGTAAAGTGCTTTGTGTCAGGGACGGTTCTCAGCTATTTACATGTAGTAACTTATTAAGTGTTATATCAGGCTAAGTGGCACACACCTGCAATCCCAGCACTTTGGGAGGCCGAGGCAGGTGGATTGCTTGAGCTCAGGAGTTCAAGACCAGCCTGAGCAATATGGCAAAACCCCTTCTATACAAAAAATACAAAAATTGGGGCCAGGCACGGTGCCTAATGCCTGTAATCCCAGCACTTTGGGAGGCCAAAGCAGGCGGATCACGAGGTCAGGAGATCGAGACCATCCTAACATGGTGAAACTCCGTCTCTACTAAAAATACAAAAAATGAGCTGGGCGTGGTGGCATATGCCTGTAGTCCCAGCTACTCAGGAGGCTGAGGCAGGAGAATGGCATGAACCTGGGAGGCGAAGCTTGCAGTGAGCTGAGATGGCACCACTGCACTCCACCCTGGGCGACAGAGCAAGACTCCGTCTCAAAAAAAAATTGGCTGGGCATGGTGGCGTGGCCTGTAGTCCCAGCTCCTTAGAGGGCTGAGGTGGTAAGATCCCTCGATCCCGGGAGGTCAAGGCTGCAGACAGCGGAGAGCACGCCACTGCAGTCCAGATTGGGTGACAGAGCGAGACCCTGTATCCAAAAAAAAAAATGTTACATCAACCCTATGAATTAGTATCCATATTTCAAAGGTGAATGAACTGCACCATAACAAGATTAAATAATTTGTTCAAAGACACACAGCTAATAAGTAGTGGAGCCAGGATTCCAACCAAGTTTGACACCAAAGTCTGCACTCCAACAGGCTATTCTCTCTCAGTACTAAGTTAATGAGGTTATTTTGAGCATTAAATGAGTTAATGCTCACCGGGCGCGGTGGCTCATGCCTGTAATCCCAACACTTTGGGAGGCCTAGGCAGTTGGATCACCTGAGGTCAGGAGTTCAGGACCAGCCTGGCCAACATGGCGAAACCCCATCTCTCCTGAAAATACAAAAATTGGCCAGACATGGTGGCAGGAGCTTGTAATCCCAGCTACTTGGGAGGCTGAGGCACAAGAATTGCTTGAACCCGGTAGGCAGATGATGCAGTGAGCCAAGATCGCGCCACTGCACTCCAGCCTGGGCGACACAGCAAGACTCTTGTCTCAAAACAAACAAACAAATTAAAAAAACCTAAATTATATTGGTTGGTACTATCGTTATTTTGAGTTGTGAACTCTTAAGCCCCAAAATAGGAGGAAAAAAGGAAACAGAAGCTATGACCTTCCAGTTTTGTTTTGGTTTTTTTTTTAATTTCACAAAAACACCACTTAGAAGACCCTTCATTTTAAAGATGAGAAAACCAGTACTCAAGCAATTTGCCCAGTGTCACACAGCTAGGAAATGGTGGAAGTATCTGTAAAATCTCTATGTGCATTACTCTTTCTATTACACTAGACAGCCAAAGCTAAAAGAACAGTTCAGATACTAAAAGGATCTATTTTGTTACTGTGTTACCGACAGTTTGAAAACATTAATGATTCTTTTCAAAGGAAAGTGTTATATTCATGAATTACTACTATTTAAAAATTAATGTATAAAATGAGGAAAATTAAGTGACACCTTGTGTTATACACAGAAACATGCCCCTGATTCAGTGCCTCTGCTTAGCTGTAACATGTTAATCAGAACTACCTGGCATCTTCCTGAACAAGACTTTCAATAGGGGCCAGTATGCTTCGCTTCATCCAGAAGTTTTCTCAAGCATCTTCAAAGGTTGGTTTGTTCAGCAGATATTTGAGCACTATTTGCCAAATATTGCTTGGGCTAGGTCAGTAGCAGTGAAAAAGACAAAAATCCTTACCCTTGTATATTCAGGTGATGGAGGGAAGAGTTAAGTAAAATACAAGTAAGTAAAATGTTTATTATATCAGGCTGGGTGCAGTGGCTCACGCCTGTAGTCCCAGCAATTTGGCAGGCCGAGGTGGGTGGGATCACTTGAGCTCAAGGAGTTCAAGACCAGTCTGGGCACATGGCAAAACCCCATCTCTACAAAAAATTAGCTGGGCATGGGGTCACACGCCTATAGCCCCAGCTACCTGGGAGGCTGAGAGAGGAGGATCGCTTGAGCCCAGGAGGTTGAGGCTGCAGTGAGCTGAGATCATGCCACTGCACTGCAGCCTGGGTGACACAGCAAGACGATGTTTAAAAAAAAAAAAAATTGGCTAGGTGCCGTGGCTTACGGCTGAAATCCCAGCACTTTGGGAGTTGAGGCAGGTGGATCACTTGAGGTCAGGAGTTCAGTACCTGCCTGGCCAACATGGTAAAACCCTTGTCTCCACGGAAAAATACAAAAATTAGCTCAGCATGGTGGTAGGCGCCCGTAGTCCCAGCTACCTGGGGGGCTGAGGCAGAAGAATCACTTGAACCCAGGAAGCAAAGGTTGCAGTGAGCCGAGATTGTGCCACTGCACTCTGGCTTGGGTGACAGAGGAATAATTCATCTCAAAAAGTAAAAATTAAAAAAAATAAGGCCAGGCACGGTCACTCACTCCTGTAATCCCAAAACTTTGGGATGCCAAGGCGGGCAGATCACGTGAGGTCAGGAGTTCGAGACCAGCCTGGACAACATGGTGAAACCCTGTCTCTACTAAAAATACAAAAATTAGCTGGGCATGGTGGCGGACGCCTGTAATCCCAGCTACTCAGGAGGCTGAGGCAGAGAATCGCTTGAACCTGGGAGGCAGAGGTTGCAGTGAGCAGAGATTGTACCACTGCACTCCAGCCTGGGTGATAGAGCAAAACTCGGTCTCAAAAAAATAAAAATAAAAATTAATACATCAACTGGTAAATGCTGTGGAGAACTATAAAGCAGGGAAGGGCAATAGGTAGTGTCAAGACGTAGGATTGGACTTACAAATGGCAGGGGATCGGAAGTAGGTAACTGAGGGAAGAGCAGTAAATATGGAAACAGGGAAATGGTTCCAAGATGGAACCATTCCTAGCATGTTTGAGTAATCACTGAGATTCTTCAATAACTTCAATTTTTTCTTTAATGCAACACTTTTTAGTTGAAGTCTGGTCACTAAAACACAGAATCAGCAGGAAAGGTTATTACTTTGCCCGTGTACAATGAAAGGCAGTGGGGATTTTAAGGCAAGGAAAAAAATACGGTCCTGGCTCTCAAGTCTACTGAGACAAAGACAAGTAAACACACAATTTTAATTCACTGTGAGAAGAATTATGATGGAAGTGTGCACAGGGTGCTTACTATAGGAGCATTAAATCAGACCGTAGAAGGGTAAAGGAAAGCTTTAAGTTGAATTTTGAATGTTGAGGTAAGTTTCCTAGATAGGAAAGTAGTAAGAGCTAGAATTCTAGGCAGAGCATACACAAAGGTGTGGAACTGTGAAAAGTATGTGGTGTTCATAAAACTAAGTTGGAAGGTAGATTTATTTTCTCCATATAAAAACAGCATTCCCACGGTAATTAGTGCTGCTGCTTTTGCTATTTATAAATAAAAGAGGCAGTTTAGAAGGCCAAATTCTGAAGATCTAGTCTTTACCTGCTCCTCTTTCAGATATTTTTCTCATGGAATAAGATTAAGTGGTAGGTTGAAATATATCACTAGTTTGTGTTCAGTGGTTTCTTTTGTACATTGTATAGCCATTTAATACTCTTACCAGCAATAATATCACTTCAGAGTTATTAGTTCATCCTTTCTGTATAGTTTGATGTGGTAATGGAAAGCAGATCTTTTTTGTTTGCTCCTTTCAAACAATCCCCATTATTTCATACTGGGATTGACTAAAATCTGATGATACATATATATATTTTTAATTTTGTCTTTTGGTTCTATTTTCTTTGTAGATACTGAAGTACTCTTTCCCAGTGGGACTAAGAACCAGCAGAACAGATATACTTTCTCTCAAGATGTCTCTCCAGCAAAACTTTTCCCCATGTCCAAGGCCTTGGCTTTCCTCATCATTTCCAGCGTATATGAGCAAGACACAGTGCTATCATACATCCCCCTGCAGCTTTAAAAAGCAGCAGAAGCAAGCACTTCTAGCCAGACCCTCAAGCACCATCACTTACCTAACTGACAGCCCAAAGCCAGCATTATGTGTAACTCTGGCAGGACTAATCCCCTTCGTTGCTCCACCACTGGTCATGCTGATGACAAAAACTTATATTCCCATATTAGCTTTTACTCAGATGGCTTATGGAGCCAGTTTCCTATCTTTCTTGGGTGGGATCAGATGGGGTTTTGCTCTACCAGAAGGTAGTCCAGCCAAACCAGACTACCTTAATTTAGCTAGCAGTGCAGCTCCTCTTTTCTTTTCATGGTTTGCCTTCCTTATTTCTGAAAGACTTAGTGAAGCCATAGTCACAGTAATAATGGGTATGGGAGTAGCATTCCACCTTGAACTTTTTCTCTTACCACATTATCCCAACTGGTTTAAAGCCCTGAGGATAGTAGTCACTTTATTGGCCACTTTTTCATTTATAATCACTTTAGTAGTTAAAAGTAGTTTTCCAGAAAAAGGACATAAGAGACCTGGTCAAGTATAAAAAATATAAAAGTCTGGGAAGTGAGGAGCACCTCTGCCCAGCTGCTGCCCCGTCTGGGAAGTGAGGAGCGCCTCTGCCTGGCCGCCTGACCATCTGGGAAGTGTGACAAGCGCCTCTGCCCGGCCGCTGTGCAACCTTCCACGTGTGAAGTGACAGCCTTGTGTGTGATCTTTTCTGTCTTCCCCAAGTTTGCATTTTCGACATTAAAGTTTACTTTTTAGTTAAAAGTTTTAAAAATATATATATATAAATACACTGTAGATAACATTTGTATGCCAGCTACACCTTTTTCTACTTCTGTTTGGCTTTTTTTCCCCACACCAATGGTAATTTATCTTCACAGATTGTTCTTCATTTCTAGAAATTGTTACTTCATGGTAATTACTTGAGCAAAAGCTTGAAAATCCCTGACAAGTACTTTTCATCTCATAGTATATTAGTTTTCACTCAGTCATTTTATGAATAATATAGTTATCCACTTAAACATTTCAATATTTTAACCATCTTGAAAATTAAAGATTAAAAATCCCCTTTGTTAGAGTCTTGTGATCATTGAAAAGAATGCACATATTCTCCCACTTCAAGCGGAAAACCTCGTATCTGTGAGTATCTGAAAAGAAAAGGTAGTTCCATTGAGTTTTCACAGGAGTTACCACTGGGAAAGGCATGTCCAAACTTATTTCACATGGTATAACCCAATTATATGAGCTAAAAGGATCTATGGCTCTAAAGTCAGTAGGGAGCAGTGTCATGAGGGAAAGCCACATTCAAAGGTAAGTTGGACATGTTTTCCAGTTTTTATTAGGATATTTGGCATGGTACAGATAACAACTTGTCCCTTACCACCAAACACATAATAGCTGGTCAAAATGATTATTTTCAAAGGAAACTATTTAAAATAAAGCCACTAGTACATATAAATTAGGAAAGAAAAGTCAAGCTGGAGCCATCTTGATATTCTAATGAGCAGGCCTATCTAGTTCTACATCTTTTTTTTTGAGATGGAGTTTCATTCTGTCGCCTAGGCTGGAGTGCAGTGGCACGATCTTGGCTCACCGCAACCTCCACCTCCCGAGTTCAAGCGATTCTCCTGCCTCAGCATCTCTAGAGTAGCTGGGATTATAGGCACGTGCCACCATGCCCAACTAATTTTTTGGTGTGTATTTTTAGTAGAGGTGGCATTTCACCATGTTGGACAGGCTGGTCTAGTTCTACATCTTTTAAATCACAGAGAAGCTTTTAGCTTTGGTGTGTTTTTGTTTTTGTTTTGTTTTGTTTAAACGCAGGGTCTCACTCTTGCTCAGGCCAGAGTGTAGTGGTGTGGTCATGGCTCACTGCAGCCTCGACCTCCTGGGCTCAAGCAATTCTCCCACCTCAGCCTCCTGAGTAGCTGGGACTACAGTTGTGCACCACTATGCCAAGCTAATTTTTTAATTTTTTGTAGAGACAGGGTCTCCCTATGTTGCCCAGGCTGGTCTTGAACTGAGCTCAAGCAATCCTCCTGCCTAGGCTCCCAAAGTGTTAGGATTGCAGGCGTGAGCCACTGCACCCAGTGCAGAAGCTTTCTTAAAACAGCAAAAGCAACACCTTAGATTTTCACTTGAAAACGTAGTCTCTAATCACTCTACTTAAGGTGGAGAAAAAAAGAATTAACAGAAAACCTAGTTTTCTGAAATTCCTAGTCTCACCAAAAAGGAAAAACATTAAAAATGGTCTAAGGATTAAAAATGGTCTAAGGATATAGATCAGGATATAGTATAACCTGGAATTTTTTTTTTTTTTAGATGGAGTTTCACTCTTGTTGCCCAGGCTGGAGTGCAATGGCGCTATCTCGGCTCACCGCAACCTCCGCCTCCCGTGTTGAAGCGATTCTCCTGCCTCAGCCTCCCGAGTACCTGGGATTACAGGCATGCGCCACCATGCCCAGCTAATTTTGTATTTTTAGTAGAGACAGGGTTTCTCCATGTTGGTCAGGCTGGTCTCAAACTCCCAACTTCAGGTGACCCACCCACCTTGGCCTCCCAAAATTCTGGGATTACAGACATGAGCCACCGTGCCCGGCCTGTATATTTTTTAGAGATGATGTTTCCACTCAGTCTCAATCTGATTCTACTCAGATTGTTTTGATAAGGAAACTCACTTCTTTGTTATTAAATTGCATGAATGCTATACAAATTTAAGACTTTTCCATAATCTGAATTAAATGAATTATTTTCCAGAATAGAGGCAAATCATATTTTTAGGCTAATTGCCTAATTTTACTTAAAAATGCTATTTTTCCAGGTGAATTACAGTGTATGCTTCTTTAAGAAAACTGATTTTTAAGTACATTTGATTAAGTACATTGGCAGGATACTTAGAAGCATATCGGATTGTTAAACATTTTGGAGGTAGATCACTTTAATCATTTCTCAAAAAACAGAATTAAATGTAAAATGAAATGTGCAAGTCCTTAAAGTTAAAACAAAACCAACTAAAAAACTTGTGCAATCCTACTACAGTTTGGTAACCCAGAATGCCACTGATAAAGTAATACAAAGAAACAAAAAAACTAGATACTTTATTAGTACATTCTTTTAAAAACAATCTTGTTAGCCTGGTGAGGTGGCTCATGCCTGTAATCCCAGCACTTTGGGAGGCCAAGGCAGGCAGATCACCTGAGGTCGGGAGTTCGAGTCAAGCGTGACCAAGATGGAGAAACCCCACCTCTACAAAAAATACAAAATTAGCTGGGCCTCGTGGTTCATGCCTGCAATCCCAGCTACTCAGGAGACTGAGGCGGGAGAATCGCTTGAACCCGGGCGGCAAAGGTTGCGGTGAGCCAAGATCATGCTATTGCACTCCAGTCTGGGCAACAAGAGCGAAACTCCATCTCAAAACAAAAACAAAAACAAAACCAATCTTGTCATTACCTAGGAATAATAAGCATATTTACAGTCACCTATTTTCAGGGATCTTCGGGACCTGTTAAAACACTGACTGCCTTGACATTACATTTCTGCCACAGCTGTGCAAAGCACACCCCTTCAAAGTGTCATTTTCAGTTGCTACTAGACAATGAGAAATTAGTTGTAGAAGTATTTTGTAAATCTGTTTTGAATCAGAATACAGATTCTCTGTAACTAGAAATAGTAAAGGCACATGAGTTATAGCTTAGTCTATAAATTATCTTTATTCTTTGACATCTTACAGATCTCTACACAGACATCTGTGACCCTTCAGACGTTCAGGATGCCCCAGAGAAGGGAACATAGAGCTTCCTGTCTGCATTACATAAACTTTTCCTAATAAATGCATATGGTTAAGTTATAAGGAAGGTATAGTTGTAGACTAAACCAAATATTTTTTGTTTTATTTTTTTTTGAGACAAAGTCTTGCTCTATGGCCCAGGCTAGAACACAGTGGTATGATCTCAGCTCACTACAACCTCCACCTCCTGGATTCAAGTGATTCTCCTGCCTCAGCCTCCTCAGCAGCTGGGATTACAGGCATGTACCACCACCTGCTGCCAATTTTTTGTATTTTTAGTAGAGACGGGGTTTCACCATGTTGGCAAGACTGGTCTTGAACTCCTGACCTCAAGTGATCTGCCCACCTCAGTCTCCCAAAGTGCTAGGATTACAGGCATAAGCCACGGTGCCCGGCCTAAACCAAATAATTTGGATATGAGTGCTACCTAATTCATTAATGCAATTAAAAGTTTTCTATCTAAATAAGTTGATGATGCTTATAGTAATATACTGAAGGACCTTAGCAAAGAAATGGGAAATCGGCAGAGTGCGGTGGCTCACACCTATAGTCCCAGCACTTTGGGAGGCCAAGGTGGGCAGATCACAAGGTCAGGAGTTCAACACCAGCCTGGCCAACATGGTGAAACTCCGTCTCTACTAAAGATACAAAAAATTAGCCAGGCATGGTGGCTCACGTCTGTAATCCCAGTTACTCGGGAGGCTGAGGCGGGAGAATCGTTTGAACCAGGGAGGCAGAGGTTGCAGTGAGCTGAGATCACACCATTGCACTCCAGCCTGAGTGACAGGGCAAGACTCCATCTAAAAAAAAAAAAAAGAAACGGGAAATCAAATCCTTAAGTCAACTAGTTAAATTTTACTGTATGCAGCCGGGCACGCTGGCCCATGCCTGTAATCCCAGCACTTCAGGAGGCCAAGGCAGGTGGATCACCTGAGGTCAGGAGTTCGAGACCAGCCTGGCCAACATGGTGAAACCCCATACAGAAAAATTAGCTAGGCATGGTGGTGGGCGCCTGTAATCCCAGCTACTTGGGAGGCTGAGGCAGGAGAATCGCTTGAATCCGGGAGGCGGAGGTTGCAGTGAGCCGAGATCACGCCTTTGCACTCCAGCCTGGGCAACAAGAGCAAAATTCCATCTCAAAAAAAAATTTTTTTTACTGTATGCAAGACCTTTAATATATATTGCTCCAACTGGCCAGTAGAAATAACTTAAAAGTAACCGCATCATACACCCAGTAAATCTTTCTCTTAGAAATGAACAGAGAACAATTCTTTAGAATGCTTCTCAGGGAGAAAATGAGAAGTTTTGAGAAGCAGTTTTGTTTGGGTCAAGGGGTACTTTCAAATTACACTTATGAGTCAGTATCTATAAAAAGTTTCAGAAGTACCTACAATTTAGCCCTCTACATCCAAGCAGTAGCTTTGCAGTATGCTCTTACTTAGGTTTGCCCAAGTACAAATAAATTTTACAAAGCTTGATAATCTAATAAAATTCCCTCTTCCTAAAGCCAAACAGATAATTTTGGTGACAACAATCTAGCAAAAAAGGAAGAATTTTTTTTTCTTTTTTTTTTTTTTTTTTTGAGACAGGTTCTCATGCTGTCACCCAGGCCGGTGTGCAGTGGCACAATCTTGGCTCACTGCAGCCTTGACCTCCTGGGCTCAAGTGATCCTGCAACCTCAGCCTCCCAAGCAGATGGGACCACAGGTACAAGCCACAACGCCCGGCTAATTTTTATATATTTTTTGGTAGAGACGGAGTCTCATCACGTTGCCCAGGCTAGTCTCGAACTCCTGAGTTCAAGCCATCTTCCCGTCTCACCTCGGCCTCTCAAAGTGCTGGGATTACAGGTGTGAGCCACCATGCCCAGCCTAAAAAAGGGAGAAATTTCTAGGTGCATACTGCCTGCTGGACTGTATAGCCCATTACAACATCTGGTCACTAAGAACCTCCTATTAATTCCTTACTTGCATTCTCAGGATCAAGACAAAAAATATGAGCAAGCAAAAACTTATCATCAAGCAAAAAGGTATCTATCTATTAAAATAGCTAGATATTTCCCAAACACCCCTCCTAGGATATCTGCTGCCAATAAAAAGTTTGGGGCTAGTGAAAACTCTTGGCATTAAATAAAAGTAGGAATCTATTTCATTGGCTTTCTCTGTGGCTCAAACTATGGCCATGGAAAATTATGCTCTGGATATAATTGTGAATATAGAGGTCTTTAAACTGTGTCATTGACACTATTCCTATATCACATAAAGTTTTATGTTACAATTTATACTGCACTGGAGAAGTAGCTAAAGGGACTATTTGCCAGGAAGCTTCTAGTAAATAATTTCTACAAATTTGTAAAATAGGAGTTGTCTACACTTAAACTGGAGAATTCTACAGCATAAATGGCATTTCTATTATTAGTAAACCTGGCAAATCTGTGTGAGCTCTTTATTAATTGGGATATATTCCATATCCATTCTCACTCATATTTTTAGAAAAATCATTCTTGAGTTTATTTTTTTTCTTTAAGAGACAGGATCTCATTCTGTTGCCCAGAGTGGAGTGCAGTGGCATGATCGTAGCTTACTACAACCTCAAATTCCTGGGCTCAAGTGATCCTTCTGCCTCAGCCTTCCAAAGTGCTGGGATTATAGGCATGAGGCCACTGCGCCCAGCCTCGTTAGTCATTTATCTACCAAATACATGGAAAACTCACAGAATCAGAGGGTCTTATCACCAAATCTATGTTTGCTTTGCAAAAGGTCAGGTCCTGCATTTTCAAAATGTTCCTTGTGCTCTGTTATGCTTTATATTTCATAGCACAGCAACGCCCCCTTCACAACGACTGGTGATCATGTTACCAATTTCTGTCCATGTATCTGAATGAGGGTTATAAACTTCAACTGAGTCCAAGGTACCTGGAGCCAAAAAATCATGGCTGGAAGATCGACCTCCAGAAACATACAGAAGACCATTGACTGCCACAACACACATGCCTGCTCTAGGCACTTTCATTGAGGCAACTTCAACCCACTTTTCCTGGTTAAGAGAGAAAAAAAAAATATGTTAGCAGTGTTATGAAATGATAGTAAAGAAATCCACTGAGAAATTCGATATCCCAGTTCTTTTTACATGTTTAAATGTAAAACTATCTAGTCAGGTAAGCATACAGATTTTTTTTTCTTTTTTTTGCTTTGTTTTTTCCTTGGAGACAGGGTCTCGCTCTGTCACCCAGGCTGGAATGCACAGCAACGATCTCGGCTCAGCGCAGCCTCAACCTCCCAGACTCAAGAGCTCCTCTTGCCTCAGCCTCCTGAGTAGGTAGGACTACAGGTGTACACCACCACACCTAGCTAATTTTTCTATTGTAGAGATGGAATTTCACCATGTTGTCCAGGATGGTCTTAAACTCCTAAACTCAAGTGATTGTCCCACCTCAGCCTCCCACAGTGCTAGGATTACAGGTGTAAGCCACAGCACCCGGCCCAGAATATTTTAAAATAAACTTGAAGTGGGCATGAACAAAGTAAATTTAGAGGAATATAATTTTTTAAAAGGTCTGATTATAAAACATGATCAGGAAATGACCTAGAACTCATACACAGGACAACATTCTAAGAAACAAAGTCTATGGAATACAAGTAGGTAATACACTCAAAAATAAGCAAATAAAAACAAAAGAACCACAAAGCTCCAAGGAGAAAGAAGCTTATAAACCAAAGGATTTTTTAAAAGCCTTTAGTATTTTAATGAGTCTTAAAAATGTCCAAGAGAATGACACAGCATGGAACACCTGACAAATTTATTTGACCATGGAATCCTTTTTACAAGGAGCATCCAGTGGAGTTAGTAATCTGCAGAACATATTTTCAAAAAGGTGGGCTAACCAGGGGTTGGGAACTATAGTCTACTTTGGTATAGCCTGAGAACAAACAATGATTTTCCCATATTAAAAGGTATTTTTTAAAAAAAGACAAAGCATATATCAAAAAAGGATATTGTGTATGGCCCACAGGCCAAAAATATTTACTATCTGGGCTTTTACACAAAAAGTTTGCTAACTCCTGTTATACATCATTCCCTGAAGAAATTTCAATGTGCTGCTATAGCCAAAATGACTAGTAGTGTCTTACTTTTTTTTTTGTTTTTTTTTGAGACGGAGTCTCGCTCTTGTTGCCCAGGCTGGAGTGCAATGGTGTGATCTTGGCTCACTGCAACCTCTGTCTCCCAGGTTCAAGCGATTCTCCTGCCTCAGCCTCCTGAGTAGCTGGGATTACAGGAACCCGCCACCACGCCTGGCTAATTTTTAGTATTTTTGGTAGAGACAGTTTCACCGTGTTGGCCAGGCTGGTCTCAAACTCCTGACCTCAAGTGATCCACCCGCCTTGGCCTCCCAAAGTGCTGGGATTACAGGCGTGAGCCACCGCACCCAGCGACTAGTAGTGTCTTACTTGAGGGAAAACGTCCATACTCAGAAAACAAGAAAGCTACTAAAGGTCCTAAGAAGTAATTAGGAGAGCAAAGAGCAAGTGGCCAGGTAATGGGAGAACAGATTATCAATCTTTAAATAAAGCATATGATGAACAAAGTTTTTTTAATCATAAATAGTGAAGACTGATTATTCATCAATGCTAGAAAGTAAATTTTTGAGGACAGGGACTTGAGCTTCTCATCCCAGTACCCACATAGGTACTAGGATAGTGCCATCATATTATAAACAGTTAGTGTATGTTTGCTGATGTGAACTTAAATAAGATTATGAAATACTAAACCAGGGACAATTCTTTGAAAGTGAAGGACTAGATTAAATTTGAAAGCTATTTGATCATCTGAAATTACACAGCACATCACAAAACTGACACAACTGAAAAATACTTACATTTTAAAATATAAATACATTCTCAAGAAGATCCATTTCTGGTTAAGATAAATTAGGATAATTTAGGTTATGTTTGTAATTAGGGAGAACCTTTGCTCTCCCACAAAATGCCCCTTGACAATAACAAAGGGACCTTAGGGCTCATCCTATATTGTTCTTCTTTCATTTCTACCAGTGTATTAGAACTACAGTTTAATTTTTAAATTTTTATTACTTTATTTTTGATTTAATTGACATGTTCTCATCTAATATAATTTGCTTTTTATCCCATGTTACCTCAAAAAAAAAAAAACTCTGTAAGAACACTAACAAGTTTTACATTATCTTTTCTGGATTTGTAACACAAATTGTTAGTAGGTAGTCAATAACAATAAAATTTCATATGCATAAAAAACAAGGTAACACATTGTCGTTGTTGTTGTTGTTATTATTATTATCATTTGAGACGGAGTCTCACTCTGTCGCCCAGGCTGGAGTGCAGTGACATGATCTTGGCTCACTGCAACCTCTGCCTCCTGGGTTGGAGCAATTCTCCTGCTTCAGCCTCCCAAGTAGCTAGGATTACAGGTGTGCACCACCACTCCCAGCTAATTTTTGTATTTTTAGTAGAGACAGGGTTTTACCATGTTGGCCAGGCTGGTCTTGAACTCCTGATCTCAGGTGATCCACCCACCTCAGCCTCCCAAAGTGCTGTGATTACAGGCATGAGCCACTGCACCCGACCATTAACAATTATTGATAAGACTTAATTTGAAACTAAAATCTATTCATTTCAAAGCCATATAGAAAAATTAGCAACAGAAAGTGCCCTCAAAAAGTTCACTTTCTATATTAGATAAACTCAAATAGGATCATGGAGAAAGGAATTTGAAATGTCACCAAAGTTTAAAACTTGTCAGAAATGAGAATCAAAATCCTTATGCTTTACAACAAGACATGAAAGTCCATTCTTGCCACTTCAACATTGTACTGGAGGTTCTAGCTAGGGTAATGAGGGGAAAACAATGAAAAAAAATGCATCTAGTTTTAATCCAGATTTAAGAAGTAAAACAATCTTTTTTGTTCGTTTGTTTTAAAGACAAGGTCTCACTCTGTGGCCCAGGCTGGAGTGCCGTGGTGCAATCATGACTTACTGCATCCTTGACCTTCCTGGGCTCAGGTGATCCTCCCACCTCAGCCTCCTGAGGAGCTGGGACTACAGGCGTGCACTACCACACCTGGCTAATTTTCACATTTTTTATAGGACAGGGTTTTCACCATGTTGCCCAGGCTAGTCTTGAACTCCTGGGCTCAAGTGATCTACCCACCTTGGCCTCCCAAAGTGCTGGGATTACAGGTGTGAGCCACTGCACCTGGCCAAAAGTTCTGAAGGTTTTACTAACCATAAGTGACATTAAAAACCATAAAATTCAAATAAGACTAAACCTTATTTCTCAAAATTTGTTCCCTGAAACACTTCCACAAGATATTCTGCAAATATCCACAGAACAAAGCAAGGGTGGTTATGTTCAAGTGAATTTGAGAGACTTGACATAAAGATTCATAAAGTACATTATTGTACTAAATTCTGTAAAGAAGTCCTGTGGTAAAGAAACTAATTTAACCTGGTTTAACCCAGATTTCCTTGAATATAGTTGACCAGGGAAACTCAAGTTACTCAATTCCTATTAACAGTGCAAAAAATTAGTATTCCATGGAAATTAATTCGGAAAAAGCTGGCCTAACCTGTAAGTCTAGGGCATAACACACTTTGTACTTCACTTTCCCAGCACTTAACACATTGTAACATAACTGACTATTTATTTCTCGTATTCCTCAATGCAATGTAGCCTCCTTGAGAGCAGTGGCTGTATATGTTGAGTTTGTTCTTGTTTCTGCCTGGCATGGTGTCTGATCCATACTTACATACTAAGAAGTCTGTATTTGTGAATGAATAAATGAGCTAATGAACAAATACATGACAGAACAGTGACTCAGTGAAGATGCAACCTCCTGTCTCCTACCTTTCTCTTCTCTTCTCTTACTATAAGCATAATTGTGTCAACCCAGGAACTGAGGGAATGAGGGAACCCTGGGGAATTCACCTAGGCAGTGACTGGATGGGTCACTGGAGATGTTAGATGGAGAAGACAGCTGGTATGGTAAGAAAATTGGCTTCATTTAGCAAATAAGTAAATTGAATGAAATATTGAGGATAATGGAAGCAAAGTCTTTTTTTTTTTTTTGAGACAGAGCCTCGCTCTGTCACGCAGGCTGGAGTGCAGTGGCGTGATCTTGGCTCACTGCAGCCTCGGCTTCCTGGGTTCAAGCGATTCTCCTGCCTCAGCCTCCAGAGTAGCTGGGATTATAGGCGCCTGCCACCACGCCCAGCTAACTTTTGTAATTTTAGTAGAGATGGGGTTTCACCATGTTGGCCAAGCTGGTCTTGAACTCCTGACCTAGCAATCCACCCGCCTCGGCCTCCCCAAGTGCTGGGATTACCGGCGTGAGACACCGCGCCCGGCGGAAGCAAAGTCTTTAACTGACAGAAAAGGTATTTACAACATGGAAAGGGAGAAGGCCTGAAAAAACCTGGTGTACTAGAATTGGAGCTATCATTATGAATTCATGGTTTTACAATATAACTGCACAAATAGATATAGAAATATTTACAGATGAATATGTGTGTGAAAACCTGTTTACATACATACATTTCCTAGCTCTGTTTACTGAGGGTGGCTATGAGGTAGAAGGTGGTGAATCAACTCCAGACAAGATTGAAGACTAGCTGAAACAGGGAAGAGGCGAAAGCAACTCTCTGTAAGACACACCCACCAGTGCCCTGTCAGTTTACCATTGCCAGTGGCAACACCCAGAAGTTACTGTCCTTTCCATGGCAACAACCCAGAAGTACCACCCTTTTTCTAGAAAATTCTGAATAACCCACCACTTAATTTGCACATAATTAAAAGTAGGTATAAATGACTGCAGAACTGCCTCTGAGCTGCTACTCTCAACACACTGTCTATGGAGTAGCCCCGCTCTGCAGAAGTAGTTACAGAGCTGTAACACTGCCACCTCAATAAGGTTGTTTTCTTCTACCACCAGCTTGCTCTTAAATTCCATCCTGAGCAAGGCCAAGAACATTCCTGGGCTAAGCCCAATTTGGGGCTCTCCTGCCCTGCTACAGCTAGAAGCAGCAACATCCAAGTAGCATTTAGTACTCTAAGTGTGTACATCTTGGTTTCTAAATACTGTCCTTCACCAAAAGGAAATAAGGCTTCTTGAAGAAATGGCTGATTCCAGGGCTAAAGCAGAAAAAGTATAAGATAAACTGAAAATATTTCTGCCGGAAAATAAAGAAATGCTGAATGAATGACAGTAATGTATCAAAAGGACACAGGAGGGATTTCCATTTCCAGACATAATAGATCAATTGTTACCAAACTTGCCCTCTGACCCTAAAGACCTAGAAAACTAGATAAAACATGAAACAAAACTTTTAGGCATTAGGCCAGGTGCGGTGATGGCTCACGCCTGTAATCCCAGCACTTTGGGAGGCTGAGGTGGGCAGATCACTTGAGGTCAGGAGTTTGAGACCAGCTGGCCAACATGGCAAAACCCTGTCTCTACTAAAAATACAAAAATTAGCTGGGCGTGGTGGTGCGCACCTGTAATCTCAGCTACCTGGGAGGCTGAGGCACAAGAATCACTCGAACCCAGGAAGTGGAGGCTGCAGTGAGCCAAGACTGCCCCACTGCACTCCAGCCTGGGAGACAGAGTGAGACATCGTCTCAACAAACAAACAAACAAACAAACAAAAAACCTCTCAGATATTAGATAACAGGCAATGTAAAACTGTAATCCCTGAGAAAATGAAACAAAGTAAACACAGCCACCTAGACTTTATGCCTGGAGGGGCTTTTTGAAAACAGGTACGCAGAAGGGGATCTCAAGCAGTGCATGATAGTCAGCTGATACAGGAGACAGAGATCAGAGTTTGGTACAGTATACAGGTCCCCTTCAGTCTTTGACTGAATACTACTAATCTATGCATGCTAAGGTGAGATTCCGTGGGTACAGGCAAAGGACAACTAATGGGAGGAGTTGTAAGCTGAGTAATTCCTAGAGCTCACACAAGGCTATGAGATATTTGAGTTCTGACCAACCAAAGTGAAGATAATTTGTTGAACACCTGGGGCAATCAGCAGAGACCCAAAAAGAGTCATGCTTTAGTAATAGGGATAAACTAGATCTAAAGGAAGGGCTACTCTAGACCTTCCCTACAAAGCCTTAAAACAAGTCTCAAGCTGGGTACCATGGCATGTATCTGTAGTCCCAGCTTACTTGGAAGGCTAAATTGGGAGGATTACTTAAGTCCGGGAGTTTGCGTCTAGCCTGGACAATACAGCAAGATCTCATCTCTGAAAAAAATTTTTTAATAATTTTTTTTTTCCAAGATGGAGTTTCACTCTTGTTGCCCAGGCTGGAGTGCAATTGCGTGATCCCAGCTCACTGCAACCTCTGCCTTCCAGGTTGAAACGATTCTCCTCCCTCAGCCCCCCAAGTAGCTGGGATTACAGGCATGCACCAACCTGCCCAGCTAATTTTGTATTTTATTAGTAGAGACAGGGTTTCACCATGTTGGCCAGGCTGATCTCGAACTCCTTACCTCAGTGATCCACCCATCTTGGCCTCCCAAAGTGCTGGGATTATAGGTGTGAGCCACTGCACCCAGCCTAAATAATTTTTTTAAGTCTCAAAAATATCAGTCTGATTTGCAAATAATTGAATTATTTAACAAAACAAAATTCAACACTTAAAAGAAGAAAACAAAATCCAAATACTCAGCAGCATAATATTTACAATGTCTACCATCTAATCAAAAGTTAATAGAAATGTGGAGAAGCCAGAAAAAATGTTACTCAAACCAGGAATTTAAAAAGTCAACAAGGCACCATAGTGCATGTCTGTAGTACTAGTTACTCAGGAGGCTGAAGCAGAAAGACCACTTGAGCTTAGGAGTTTGATGCCACCCTGAGCAACACAGCAAAACCTTGTCTCTAAAATTTTACAAGTCAACAGATACATATCCAAACATGACAGAGATGATGAAATTAGAAAAGACTTTAGGCTGGGCACAGTGGCTTACGCCTGTAATCCCAGCACTTTCGGAGGCCGAGGCGGGTGGATCATGAGGTCAGGAGATCGAGACCATCCTGGCTAACACGGTGAAACCCCATCTCTACTAAAAATACAAAAAATTAGCCAGGCGTGGTGGTGGGCGCCTGTAGTCCCAGCTACTTGGGAGGTTGAGGCAGGAGAATGGCGTGAACCTGGGAGGCGGAGCTTGCAATGAGCCAAGATCGCGCCACTGCACTCCAGCCTGGGTGACAGAGCAAGACTCCATATCAAAAAAAAAAAAAAAAAAAAGACATGACTTTAAAACTAATATTATTAATTGTTTGGGGAGCTAAAGGAAAATATGAACATGATGAGGAGAGAAACAGAAGACATAAGAAAACAGATCTTCTAGAGCTAAAAAATACAATATCTAAAATGAAAAATTCCATAGATGGGATTGGACACTGCGAACTAGAAGTTTGGATACTCTAAAGGATTAATAAACTTGAAGACAGAGCAAAACAAACTAGACAAACTGAAGCATAGAGAGAAAAGAGTGGGAAAAACTTAGCAGAGCCTCAATGGCTGTGGGACAATATTGGGTGGTCTTACATATATATATATAATTGGAATCCCAGAAAGACAAGAGAATATTTGAAAAAATATGGCAGAAAACATTCCAACTTGATTAAAGCTATAATCCCACAGATTCAAGAAGTTCAATGAATTCCAAAAAGGTTAAACAAAAATAACAAGGCACATCATAATCAAATTACTGAAGACCCATGATGAGGAGAAAATCTTAAAAGCTGCGGAAGAAAAAACACGTTACATATGGAGGAACAAAGACAAAAATTACTACTGACTACTTGTCAGAAAAAAATCTAAGAGGAAATTAAAAAACATCTTCAGGGTGATTATTTTATTTTATTTTTACTTTTTTTTTTTTGAGATGGAGTCTCACTCTGTCGCCCAGGCTGGAGTGCAGTGGCATGATCACAGCTCACTGCAAGCTCCACCTCCCAGGTTCATGCCATTCTCCTGCCTCAGCCTCCCAAGTGGCTAGGACTACAGACGCCAGCCACCACGCCCAGCTCATTTTTTGTACTTTTAGCAGAGACAGGGTTTCACTGTGTTAGCCAGGATGCTCTCAATCTCCTGACCTCCTGATCTGCCCGCCTCGGCCTCCCAAAGTGCTGGAGTAACAGGCGTGAGCCACCGCGCCCAGCCCAGGGTGATTAAAGATAAAAAAAAGCAACCTAGGGCCAGGCGCGGTGGCTCACATCTGTAATCCCAGCACTTTGGGAGGCCGAGGCAGGTGGATTACCTGAGGCCAGGAGTTCAAGACCAGCCTGGCCAACATGGTGAAACCCCGTCTTTAGGAATAACACAAAAATTAACCAAGTGTGGTGGTACACACCTGTAATACCAGCTACTCAGGAGGCTGAGGCAGGAGAATCACTTGAACCTGGGAGGCAGACATTGCAGTGAGCCAAAATCGCACCACTGCACTCCAGCCTGGGTGATGAGAGTGAAACTCACCTCCAAAAAAAAAAAAAAAAAAAAGCAACCTAACATTCTATACCCAGCAAACTATCTTTCAAAAATGAAGGAGAGTCTGAACGCGGTGGCTCATGCCTGTAATCCCAGCACTTTGGGAGGCCAAGGCAGGTAGATCACCTGAAGCCAGTAGTTCGAGACCAGCCTGGCCAACATGGCAAAACCCTGTCTCTACTAAAACAATACAAAAATTAGCTGGGCGTGGTGGTGGGTACCTGTAATCTCAGCTACTTGGGAGGCTGAGGCAGGAGAACTGCTTGAACCCGAGAGGCAGAGGTTGTAGTGATCCGAGCTCGTGCCGCTGCACTCCAGCCTGGGCAACAGAGCAAGACTCCATCTCAAAAAAAAAAAAAAAAAAAAGGAGAAAAAAAAGACAGTTTCAGAAAATGAAAGCTAAGAGAAGTTCATCACCATCACCACCAGACCTGCACTGGAAGAAATATTAAGAGAAGCTCTTTGGCTGGGTGCGGTGGCTCACACTTGTAATCCCAGCCCTTTGGGAGGCCAAGACAGGCAGATCACGAGGTCAGGAGCTCGAGACCATCCTGGCTAACAGAGTGAAACCCCGTCTCTACTAAAAATACAAAAAATTAGCCAGGCTTGGCAGCATGTGCCTGTAGTCCCAGCTACTCGGGAGGCTGAGGCAGGAGAATGGTGTGAACCCGGGAAGCAGAACTTGCACTGAGCCGAGATCATGCCACTGCACTCCAGCCTGGGCGACAGAGCAAGACTCCGTCTCAAAAAAAAAAAAAAAAAGAGAAGCTCTTTGAGCTAAGAAAACATGATGTGAGATAGAAATGCAATTCTACACAAAAGAGTTAATAGAACTAGAAATAGTAAACATATGGGTATTTATAAAAGACATTCTCAACTGGGCACGGTGGTTCACGCCTGTAATCCCAACACTTTGGGAGGCTGAGGAGGGCAGATCACGAGGTCAGGAGATCATGATGGAACCCCATCTCTACTAAAAATACAAAAAAATTAGCTGGGCATGGTGGCATGCACCTGTTGTCCCAGCTACTCGGGAGGCTAAGACAGGAGAATTGCTTGAACCCGGGAGGCGGAGGTTGCAGTGAGCCGAGATCACGCTACTGCACTCTAGCCTGGCGAAAGAGAGCAAGACTCTGTCTAAAAAAAAAAAAAAAAAAAGAGAGAAGCTCTTTGAGCTAAGAAAACATGATGTGAGATAGAAATGCAATTCTACACAAAAGAGTTAATAGAACTAGAAATAGTAAACATATGGATAATTATAAAAGACATTCTCAGCTGGGCGCGGTGGCTCACGCCTGTAATCCCAGCACTTTGGGAGGCTGAGGAGGGCAGATCACGAGGTCAGGAGATCATGATGGAACCCCATCTCTACTAAAAATACAAAAAAATTAGCTGGGCATGGTGGCATGCACCTGTTGTCCCAGCTACTCGGGAGGCTAAGACAGGAGAATTGCTTGAACCCGGGAGGCGGAGGTTGCAGTGAGCCGAGATCACGCTACTGCACTCTAGCCTGGCGAAAGAGAGCAAGACTCTGTCTAAAAAAAAAAAAAAAAAGAGAGAAGCTCTTTGAGCTAAGAAAACATGATGTGAGATAGAAATGCAATTCTACACAAAAGAGTTAATAGAACTAGAAATAGTAAACATATGGGTAATTATAAAAGACATTCTCAGCTGGGCGCGGTGGCTCACGCCTGTAATCCCAGCACTTTGGGAGGCTGAGGAGGGCAGATCACGAGGTCAGGAGATCATGATGGAACCCCATCTCTACTAAAAATACAAAAAAATTAGCTGGGCATGGTGGCATGCACCTGTTGTCCCAGCTACTCAGGAGGCTAAGACAGGAGAATTGCTTGAACCCGGGAGGCGGAGGTTGCAGTGAGCCGAGATCACGCTACTGCACTCTAGCCTGGCGAAAGAGAGCAAGACTCTGTCTAAAAAAAAAAAAAAAAAAAGAGAGAAGCTCTTTGAGCTAAGAAAACATGATGTGAGATAGAAATGCAATTCTACACAAAAGAGTTAATAGAACTAGAAATAGTAAACATATGGATAATTATAAAAGACATTCTCAGCTGGGCGCGGTGGCTCACGCCTGTAATCCCAGCACTTTGGGAGGCTGAGGAGGGCAGATCACGAGGTCAGGAGATCATGATGGAACCCCATCTCTACTAAAAATACAAAAAAATTAGCTGGGCATGGTGGCATGCACCTGTTGTCCCAGCTACTCGGGAGGCTAAGACAGGAGAATTGCTTGAACCCGGGAGGCGGAGGTTGCAGTGAGCTGAGATTGTACCACTGCACTCTAGCCTGGGTGACAGAGCGAGACTCCGTCTCAAAACAAACAAACAAAAAAAAAAAGACCACAACTGGCTGGGTGCAGTGGCTCACGCCTATAATCCTAGCACTTTGGGAGGCCGAGGTGGGTGGATCCCGAGGTCAGGAGATGGAGACCATCCCAGCCAACATGGTGAAACCCCATCTCTACTAAAATAGAAAAGAAAAAAAAAATTAGCCAGGCATGGTGGCGGGTGCTTGTAGTCCCAGCTACTCGGGAGGCTGAGGCAGGGAATTGCTTGAACCTGGGAGGCGGAGGTTGTAGTGAGCCAAGATCACGCCATTGCACTTCAGCCTGGCAACAGAGTGAAAACTCCGTCTCAAAACAAAAAACAAAAAAAACCAGACCACAACTATGTGCTGTCTAGAAGTGCAGTTTGTAAAGACACAGAAGTAGAAGGAAAGAAGAAGATAAAATATACCATGAAAACACTAATGAAAAGAAAGCTTAGAGGCTGGGTGCAATGGCTCACACCTGTAATCCTAGCACTTTGGGAGGCCAAGGTGGGCAGATCACTTGAGGTCAGGAGTTTGAGACCAGTCTGGCCAACACGGCAAAACCCCATCTCTACTAAAAATACAAAAAGTAGCTGGGTGTGGTGGCACATGCCTGTATTCCCAGCTACGTGGGTGGTTGAGGCACAAGAATCGCTTGAACCCAGGAGACAGAGGTTGCAGTGAGCTCTGATCATGCCACTGTACTCTAGCTTAGGCGTCAGAGTAAGACTCTGTCACAAAAAAAAAAAAAAAAGTAGACTTCAGTATAAAGAATATTACCAGAGATAAAAATCAAAGAATCCATTCATTAAGAAGACATAATAAACTTAATGGGTACGCATCTAATAATGGATCTTCAAAATATGTGAAGCTAAACCTGACAGAAATGAAAGGAGAAACAGACAAATCCATAATTATAGATGGACATTCCAACACTCCTTTTTTAAAAACTGACAGAACAATTGTGCAAGTAGGACAGACAAGGGAAGATCTGAATGACACTAAAAAACCAACTTGAGGCCAGGAGTGGTGGCTTACACCTGTAATTCCAGCACTTTGGAAGGCCGAGTCGGGTGGATTGCTTGAGGTCATGAGTTCGAGACCAGTCTGGCCAGCATGGTGAAACCCTGGCTCTACTAAAAAAATACAAAAATCAACCAGGCATGGTGGCGCGTGCCTGTAATCCCAGCTACTCGGGAGGCTGAGGCAGGAGAATCACTTGAACCTGGGAGGCCAAGTTTGCAGTGAGCTGAGCAGCCTGGTGACTGAGCAAGACGACGTCTAAAAAAAAAAAAAAAAGCAACCAACTTGACTTAATGGACATTAGAACACCACATTCAACAATAGCAGAATACAAATTCTTTTCAGATGTACATGACGTATTAATAAGACAGAAGCAATACAAAATATGTTTTCTGATTATAATAGAAATAAATTAGAAGTCAATAATAAAAGATTTATCTGGAAAATCCCCACATATTTTTAAATTAAATAATGTTGTTCTTACAACCCATTAGTCAAACAAGAAATTACCAGAAAAATTTAAAAAAGAAAAAAAAGGCCGGGCACGGTGGGCTCATGCCTGTAATCCCAGCACTTTGGGAGGCCGAGGCAGGAAGATCACGAGGTCAGGAGATCGAGACCATCCTGGCTAACATGGTGAAACCCTGTCTCTACTAAAAATACAACAAAAATTAGCCAGGCGTAGTGGCGGGCATCTGCAGTCCCAGCTACTGGAAGGCTGAGGCAGGAGAATGGCGTGAACCCAGGAGGCGGAGCTTGTAGTGAGCCCAGATCACACCACTGTACTCCAGCCTGGGTGACAGAGACTCTATCTCAAAAAAAAAAAGAAAAAAAAAAAAAATATATATATATATACACACCATCCGCCTTGGGCTCCCAAAGTGCTGGGTTTACAGGCATGTGCCACCACACCTGACCTAAAAAATATTTTAATATAAATGCCAACTAATTAAAAGGCAACATATCAAAATATGTGGGATGAAATTAAAGCAGTGCTTGAAGAGAATTTACAGTTTCTATTATAGAAAAAGGAAGGTCTAAAATCGATCATCTAAGCTTCCACTTTAAGAATCTAGAAAAAAAGAGCTGAGATTGTTGGGATTTGGGGAGCGCAGTGGCTCCGAAAGATCTGTAATGCCAGTGCTTTGGGATGCCAAGGCAGGAGAATCGCTTAAGACCAGGAGTTTGAGATCAGTCTGGGTTACATAGCGAGACCCTAACCATAGAAAAAAAAAAATTCAGCTGGGTGCAGTGGCTCATGCCTGTAATCCCAGCACTTTGGGAGGCTGAGGCGGGCGGATCACCTGAGGTAGGGAGTTCGAAACCAGCCTGACCAACATAGAGAAACCCCGTCTCCACTAAAAATATAAAACTAGCCAGGTATGGTGGCGCATGCCTGAAATCCCAGCTACTCAAGAGGTTGAGGCAGGAGAATTGCTTGAACCCAGGAGGCGGAGGTTGTGGTGAGGTGAGATGGTGCCACTGCACTCCAGCTTGGGCAACAAAAGAAAAACTCCGTCTCAAAAAAAAAAAATTACTCTTTTGAGAGAGGGTCTCTTGCTGTTACCGAGGCTGGAGCACAATGGCTTGATCACAGCTCACTGCAGCCTTGACCTCCTAGGCTCAAGTGATCCTCCCACCTCATCCCCCTGAGTAGCTAGAACCACAGGTGCATACCACCATGCCCAACTAATTTTGTTATTTATTATACAGTCTCACTATGCTGTTCACGCTGGTCTTGAACTCCTGGGCTCAAGCTATCCTCTCATCTTGGCTTCCCAAAGTGCTGGGATTACAGGCGTGGGCCACCACGCCTAGCAGTACAAAAAAAGTTTTTTTTTTAATTAACTTGGCAGGAGTTCAATGTTACAGTGAGCTATGATTATATCAGTGCACTCCAGCTGGGCAACAGAGCAAGACCCTGTCTCTTAAAAAATTAAAAAATAAATAAATAGTCTAGAAAAAGAAGAGCAAACTCAATCAAAAACAAATAGGAAAAATGGAAAAGTAAGAACAGAAATCAATAAAACAGAAAATTGACAATAGAAGAAAAGCAGTGACACCAAAAGTTTCTTCTTTGGAAAGAAAAAAGGGGAAAAAAATCCACGAATGATCAATATCATGAGTGAAAAAGAGTGCATCACCACAGATCTTACAGACATTAAAAGAATATCAGGATACTAAATATCTGAAATCATCCAACCTACCTCTTCAAAGGAATATTTTTCTACAGTATGAAGAGCATCTTGGGTCTCATTCCATCCTCCAACAGAATAGATGCAGTCATTGAGTGCAGCCACACCAAGATATGCTCTCCTGGTTCCCATTGGAGGAAGTGGAGACCAACGCTTAGAAAGTGGATCATAGACTTCAAAAGAACGAAGTTCTATTCCTTCATTGCTGATGCCCCCAATTACATAAATTAAACCTGGAAGTGGAATATTTTTGCTCAGATGCTACAGATAGTGAGATACAAATAATGATGAAAAGTAATGATTGTGATCTATGTTTCCAATGCCGATGCTATGTTTAATCTAGGGCTTACATTATTATTTAAGAGAGAAAATCAACTTTGTCAACTTTATCACCTCACTATTCAGCAAGTTGCAAAAAATTAGTGGAATTAATTTAAAATAGCATTGAGTTTTCAAATAACTTGAAATAATCTGTCAGCTAAGGATTTTCTATCTAATTGTCTGCTTGGTGATCTCAGGTTCCAGATCCACCCATAGATAAAACAGGAAAGGAACATGGATTTTTTTTTCCCTAAAAATGTCATGCACTTAAGCTGGGAATTACATGGCCCTCTTTAGTGACAGCCTATCTGTTGCTCAGATGGACATAAAGTAGGGAATTTAAATTTAAATAGTATATGGCTAAATTAAGATATCAGAATCAATTACTACAGTACACAGCTGGGTGTAGTGGTTCACAATCCCAGTACTTTGGGAGGACAGGGCAGGCGGATCACTTGAGCTTGAGACCAACCTGGGCAAAAAATACAAAATTAGCCAGGCATGGTGGTGTGTGCCTGCAGTCCCAGCTACTTAGGAGACTGAGGTGGGAGGATGGCTTGAGCGTGGGAGGCAGAGGTTACAGTGAGCCAAGATTGCACCACTGCACTCCAGCCTGGGCAACAGAGCCAGACCTTCTCTCAAAAAAAAAAAAAAAAAAAAATTACTACGGTAAAATATAATGTAATTTACATAAAATTTCCTTATAAACTCTGGCAATCTACAATTATTTTTGAATCTCTAGTGTTGTACTTCATCTTCTAAAGTGAGGAGTTACAAAGAATTATATTTTAAGAAATGTGGGCTAGGCCGGGCGCGGTGGCTCACGCCTGTAATCCCAGCACTTTAGGGGGCCAAGGTGGGCAGATGACGAGGTCAGGAGATTGTGATCATCCTGGCTAACACGGTGAAACCCCATCTCTACTAAAAATACAAAAAATTTGCCAGGTGTGGTGGTGGGCGCCTGTAGTCCCAGCTACTCAGGAGGCTGAGGCAGGAGAATGGTGTGAACCCGGGAGGCAGAGCTTGCACTGAGCCAAGATTGCACCACTGCACTCCAGCCTGGGCGACAGAGCGAGACTCCATCTCAAAAAAAAAAAAAGAAATGTGGGCTAAATATTAGTATAGTAAACTTGGGTTTTAGTTCCAGCCTTGCCAGTAACCAGCTATGAGAAAAGATAACTCACAACCTTCCTGATCTTCAGCTTCCTCATCTATAACTTAAAGAAGTTGACATAGATAAGTTCAAAGATCCCTTTCTAGCTAGCTCTATGATTTCAGATGGGATGATAAAAATAATAAATATAAAACAACTAGGAGACAATATCATATTAAACAGTAAGATATAGTCTGCACTGCATAATTTGCTAATGGAAATCAGAGAAGGTAACCACAGAGCAGAAAGAACTTTAGCAGGTTAGGCTGTCATACAACAATGGGAAAGTTGCTTTCTTCTCCACAGGTGCATAAAAATCAGCTCTCCAATCCTACACAGAGAATTAGGTTCTAGTTAAAACAGCTTACTACCTACCTCTCAAGAGTATAGTAGACAATTAAAATAATGTTTGTATACCACTTTAATATGCAACATAGAATCCTTTAAATCTGTCACAGGATTATATGTTATGTGAGCGGCATCACAATGTACTTTGTAGAAAAAAAACGCTAAAGAAGCCTATAGACCATGAAAATAATTTATTTTTATTTATTTTTTGAGATAGAGTCTCACTGTTACCCAGGCTGCAGTGCAGTGGCACCATCTCGCTCACTGCAACCTCTGCCTCCTGGGTTCAAGCAATTATCCTGCCTCAGCCTCCCTAGTAGTTGGGATTACAGGTGTGTAGTAACATGCCCAGCTAATTTTTGTATTTTTAGTAGAAATGAGGTTTCACCACGTTGGCCAGGATGGTCTCGAACTCCTAACCTCAGGTGATCCTCCTGCCTCAGCCTCCCAAAGTGCTGGGATTACAGGCATGAGCCACCACACCCAAAAACTGTTTCTGATACTCTCTCCCTACTTAGAAATATTTACTTAGATGTTCATGGGAGAGAAAAGACAATAACAGATAACACTTCAAATGTTTATTGTGCTAGTCAGATATTCCTGCTTACTTACAATTTTTAATTCTAGCCTTGTTTATTTCTGAAAAAATCAAATCAATTATTTTAGCAATACAGAAATAAAAGTCAATGATAGGAGGTAAAAAGCAGAACTTCTATGCTGCTAGTATCAGTCATTCAATACTAACAGACTTAAAATATACTTTTGTGAAAATAAGGCCTCAAACTCAAACAGTTTTTCAGAACTACATTTTGAGGAAAAATATTTTATAAAGTGATTACCTTGCATTTCACAGCACCCAAAGTAGTAGCGTGACACAGCCATGTTACCAACTACTTCCCATTTATTTTCATCAGGATCAAATCGTTCAATGGTGTTCCCTATCTCAGCTCCAACCCATCCACCTGTAATGAAATAGAAAAATGTTTGTTTCCGGGATAAAAGATTCTTATTTATGACAAAGACCTTAGAAAACATCTAAACCAAATACTTCATATTATAGATATCACATGAGCCAAAGAGGTTATCTGTTCCACGATCCCATGAAAAAGTTAGAATTTGACCATGAGTAGAACTCAGGTCCTTTGCATAACTGATGCTCTTTTGAGAAAAAAAAAAAAAAAAAAAAAAAGGAATTCAAGTCTTTTAACTCCCTATTTTTCACTAAAGACTAAAACAAAACAAAACAACAAAAGCCCCAAAACTTCAATATATTGCATGGAAAAGATGGTATTTTGCAAAACTACCTTTTGAAATTACTTCTGGCTATTTAGAATGTTTATCCTAATCAAGGCCAGCTCCAAACCTAATCAGAGTATACCGTGTATTTGGTGTAATTTCAGGAATTTCAAAAAGGCCCCTTATCCCCACAATAACATTTTCTTAACACTCTCCAATTCTTTTTTTTTTTGAGATGGAGTCTCACTGTGTCACCCAGGCTGGAGTGCAGTGGTGCAATCTCGGCTCAGGCTCAGTGCAAGCTCCACCTCCTGGGTTCATGCCATTCTCCTGCCTCAGCCTCCGGAGTAGCTGAGACTACAGGCGCCCACCACCACGCCCAGCTAATTTTGTTTGTATTTTTAGTAGAGACAGGGTTTCACCATGTTAGCCAAGTTGGTCTCGATCTCCTGACTTCATGATCCGCCCGCCTCAGCCTCCCAAAGTGCTGGGATTACAGGCGTAAGCCACCATGTCCAGCCAACACTCTCCAATTCTTAAAACTGAAAATATTATTTCCCACAATTAACTGAAAAATGCAGATACTTATGGAGGTAATAAAATATAATAGATTAAATTCACCTTAAGGTAACTGATATTTTTTCCACAATAGGTTTGGATGAGGGGAAGACACTGAGTTACAGTGAACTGAAGAAGGAGTGAGAAGGAGAAAATAGGGGAGGCTGAGAGCTACATCAACTTATAACTTTCCCTAGGAACAACCTTGATTGTAACATTTGTTACACAGATAATCAAAGTAGAATACCTTGCTCATAATCATTCACTACATATACAAGAATAAAAATAATATAGTACAGAACTTCCTTGTGATATATTTAATTTTTTGGTATGTGCTTTCTTATATTAGACATAATTAGGCCACTATGCAGGGTGGTAAAAATGTTATATGCTTAATTAAAATAATGAGATTTAACTACTCAGCTAAAGTACTTCACTGGATGTCTCATCTATATTTTATCTCCAGTAATACAATTTTGAGAATAAGAATTTAAAGAGCTGACAAGTGCATCTACAGCATACAGTAGCTCCAGAGATACCTGCAGAAGAATGTGTGTGACTAGCAGCTTGGTCAGCCAGCCAACTGGCCAGGCAGGCATCTACCATCTGCCCAAGAACTGATGCATCTGCCCAACAAGGCTCTGCCCTGCAGGTGCTCAGGTCCTCCTGTACCATCCCCCGCCTGAGTGCCTCCTTAGGATGGACAGCCCAGGAGCACCCCCTCCAATCCCTGACCAGCTGACCCCCACCTACACCTTCCCCTAAGACCTTGCCCAGCCTCCAGAGTATACAGATTAAAGCCAGTTGGTTTTTAAAAAAAGAATGTAAAGAGCTGAAAAGAGGGAAAGAACATCTCCAAAGTCATCAGAACCCAATAATTTAAATAATATTAGCTATCTTTATAAACATTGCATATTCTCACTTCTTTGTGGGATCTAAAAATCAAAACAATTGAACTCATGGAGATAGAGAGTAGAAGGATGGTTACCAGAGGCTGGGAAGGGTAGTGTAGTGGGGGTGGGGAGGGAGGAGGTGGGCATGGTTAATGAATACAAAAAAAAAAAAAAAAGAATGAATAAGACCTAGTATTTGATAGTGCAACAGGGTGACTATAGTCAATAATTTAATTGTACATTTAAAAATAACTAGAAGAGTATAACTGGATTGTTTGTAACATAAAGGATAAATACTTGAGGAGATGGATATCCCATTTTACAAGATGTGATTATTACGCATTATGTGCCTGTATCTCATGTGCCCCATAAATATATATACCTATTATGTATCCACAAAAATGAAAATTAAAAATACATAAACAATATTAGCTATCTTTAAACTGAACAACATAATTACCCAAAGCATAGATAGCCCCATAACACACACACACTCCTAAGCCGCAGCGGGGATGATTCATCGAAGCTACAGTTGTCCACTGTTTAGTAACTGGATCATAGCATTCAGTACAATCAAAAATCATTGAATCCTTTTCACCTGAGTTAAATAAAAGAGACAAATATTATAAAGTTTAGTAATGCCAACAGACTAGCACCATAACACAATATTCAGTAGTATTCCCTATCGTCAAAAATTCAACCATTATGTCTGATTTTATACTATTCATTAACTTTCATTTGCCTGTCAAGCAGTATTTTGAATCTAGAGCACTGTCATTTATTAAAGCCCACTTATGAAACAGAGGCACAATTTTCCTATTATCTATTTCTACCACCCAAACAATCAAACAATCCATGTAATGTTTTAGGATACAATTTGCATTTTAACACTTCTATATTTTTTTTCACATATTAGTTTTGGTGGCTGGCCCTGGTACAATTTGAGTTTTAATGTAATCCTTTTCTAACAACAAACAGAAAATGAAATTTTTCTTTTTTTGGAGACGGAGTCTCGCTCTGTCGCCCAGGCTGGAGTGCAGTGGCACAATCTCGGCTCACTGCAAGCTCCGCCTCCTGGGTTCATGACATTCTCCTGCCTCAGCCTCCTGAGTAGCTGGGACTACAGGCGCCTGCCACCGCGCCCAGGTAATTTTTTGTATTTTTAGTAGAGACGGGGTTTCACCTTGTTAGCCAGGATCACAAGATCCTGACCTCGTGATCCGCCCGCCTCAGCCTCCCAAAGTGTTGGGATTACAGGTGTGAGACACCGCACCCAGCCTGAAAATGAAAAAATTTTAAAAAGATACCCAAATTTTCATGTTTTTGATATTTATTTATTTATTTATTTTTAGAGACAGAGTCTGGCTCTGTCACCCAGGCTAGAGTGCAGTGGCACAATCATCGCTCACTGAAGCCTCAAACTCCTGGACTCAAGCGATCCTCCTGCCTCAGCCTCCCAAGTAGCTAGGACTATAAGCATGTGCCACCATGTCCAGGTAATTTAGAATTTTAAAATAAGATATTTAGGAGTAAATCTAACCAAAGATTATGCAATGCCCCTATGGATAACATTTATAAATTTTATTTAAAGTTTTAAATTGTGGAACATCTAAATAAATGAAGAGATGAATAATGCTCATGAATTATAAGAGTCAATGTATCATGAAGATTTTTGTATTTAAAAAAAAGAGTCAATGTAAAGATGATAGTTACCCCATATTGACTTAAAGATTTAATGTATTCCCAATCAAAAAAATCCATTTTTTAATAGATTTGACAAACTGATTCTAAAATTTATATGGAAGTACAAAGGGCCTAGAAGAGCCAAGCATTCTCGGAAAAGAATAAGGAGAAACAGTCTCATCATATATCAAGACATATAACAAAGCTATAGTAATTAAGAAAGGGATAGACAGAGACTAATGGAACAGAAAAGAAATTCTAGGAACAGAAACGTACCTATATGATTACTTGATAGAAGACAGAGTTAGCACTACAGAGCAGTAGGGAAACAACAATCTTTCATGCTAGAATAATTGATTATACATTGGGAGGAAACTAATGCCCTACTGCATATTATCCATAAAAACTCAATTCCAGGTAGATTACTGACATAAGTATGAATGGAAAAACTATAAAACTGTATAAAACAATGAAGGTATAGGTCCTTATGATTTGGAGTAGGGAAAGATGTCTTAAATAAGATGCAAGAAACATTAACAATAAAGGGAAAAAAATAAGAGATTTGACTACACTAAAATTAAAAATATCTGTTCATCAAAGGATACCATAAAGAGAATAAAAGATGAAGCAGCACAGTAGAAGATACTTATAGCACATATGACTTTATGAGGGTCTAGAATCCTGAATATAAACAAAATTCCTATTGTACAGAAAATAATTAACATAGCAGGCCTAAAAATGC
The DNA here is from genome assembly GCF_000001405.40 of Homo sapiens. Taxonomy (NCBI): domain Eukaryota; kingdom Metazoa; phylum Chordata; class Mammalia; order Primates; family Hominidae; genus Homo; species Homo sapiens. The sequence continues at coordinate 45,721,168 of NC_000001.11, forward strand.
CTGTCCTTAGAAAGGCCTACTTGGAAGATTGACCCTTTGCTGGAATCTGGGAATATGGCTGGTTAACAGTTCCCTCCACTGATACAAAATTTTCCCAAAATGGTAAGAGTGGCTCACTGTGCTTAAACTGTACAAACAATGTGGTTTATGCTGAACACACGCTTTCCTTCTGAAGGTCTGGAATTTTGGTATGTGCTAGGAAGAAGGAGGCTATGTCATCAGCTGCCTGCAAAAACCTTGGGCACTATGTCTCTAATGAGCTTCCCTGGTAGACAACACTTCCCACATGTTGTCACAACTAATTGCTGAGGAATTAAGCATGTCATGTGTGACTGTGACTCTACTGGGTGAGGACTCTGGAAAGCTGTCAACTGGTTCCTTCCAGACTTCATCACATGTGCCTTTTCCTTTGGCTGATTTTGTTTTCTACATTTCACTATAATAAATCTTAGCTGTGGAGACAATTACATGCTAAACCTTTTAAGTCCTTTTAGCAAATCACTAAAACTGGGAGTGGTCTTGGGAACCCTGATGCACCTACAAATCAACAAAATAGACAATTTTTAAAATGCACTAAGTATCTAAAAAGTTACTTCTTGAAAGAAGAAATCCGGCTGGGCGTGGTGGCTAACGCCTGTAATCCCAGCACTTTGGGAGGCCAAGGCGGGCAGATCACGAGGTCAGGAGTTCTAGACCAGCCTGACCAGCCTGACCAACATGGTGAAACCCTGTCTCTACTAAAAACACAAAAATTAGCCAGGCGCGGTGGTGCGTGTCTGTAATCCCAGCTACTTGGGAGGCTGAGGCAGGAGAATCACTTGAACCCGAGAGGCAGAGGTTGCAGTGAGCCGAGATCACGCCACTGCACTACAGCCTGGCACAGAGTGAGACTCCGTTTCAAAACAAAAAGAAACAAACAACCAACAACAACAAAAAACTGGCCAGGCATGGTGGTCTATGCCTGTAATCCCAACTACTTGGGAGGCTGAGGCAGGAGAATCACTTGAACCCGGGAGGCAGAGGTTGCTGTGAGCCGAGACTGAGCCACTGCCCTCTAGCCTGGGTGACAGAGTGAGACTCCGTTTCAAAAAATAAAAATAAAAATACAGGGTGGTGGCTCACCCTGTAATCCCAGCACTTTGGGAGGCCAAGGCGGGTAGATCACCTGAGTTCAGGAGTTCGAGACCAGCCTGGCCAACATGGTGAAACCCCATCTCTATTAAAAATACAAAAATTAGCCAGGTGTGGTGGTGCATGCCTGTAATCCCAGCTACTTGGGAGGCTGAGGCATCACTTGAATCCAGGAGGCAGAGGTTGCAGTGAGTCGACATCGCACCACTGCATTCCAGCCTGGGCAACAGAGCGAGACTCCATCTCAAAAAATAAAAAAATGAAATAAAAATAAATATTTTATGTAAGTAAAAAGCAAAAAAAGAAAAAGTTAATAACAATATATATCTCAAAAAGTTAAATATAGAGTTACCATATAACCTAACAATTCTACTCCTAAGTATATACCCAAAAGAAATCAAACTTACATCTACACAAAAACTTTTACTTGAATATTAAGTGGAAACAATGTAAATGTCCATCAACTACAGAATGAACAAACAAAATATGATTATTTCCACACAATGAAATATTATTCAGTCATAAAAAGAAATGAAGTACTGATACGTGTTATGACATGCTAAGTGAAAGAAGTCAGACACAATATTATATGATTCCATTTATATGAAATGTCCAGAATAGGCAAGCCATAGAGACATAAAGTAGATTAGCGGTTACTAGGGTTTAGGAGGAGAGATGGGAAGTGACTGCTGATGGGTACAGTGTTTCTTTCTGGGGTGATGAAATGTTCTGGAATGAGATAGTGGTGACAATTGCACAACTTTGTGACTATGCTAAAAACCACTAAACTATATTCTCTAAATGATGAATTTGGTATGTGAATTATATCTTAATTTAAAAAACCCAACATTTAGAATATGAACCCAGATATGTATGTATCGGGAAGAAACTAAACCAAAATGTTAACTGCGATTATTCTGGGTGGTATGATTATGGCATAAGGGATTTAAAATTTCTTTTTCATATGCTTCTGTTTTAACAAAATTTTGTACAACAAACCTCAATTACTTTTATAATTTTAAAAGTATTTAAAAGTTATATATTAAGGAATATCTTAAGATAGCAATGTTGACAGTATTAATAGCTAGTGAAGTCATAGCAGTTTTGAAGAGCCTCTGTAAGCACTTCTGTGGTATCAGGGGATGGAATACATACATATGCAAGTGTCACAGAAGGACCTCTGACCCTAGGTTAAACAGAAGAGTTCAAGTGATAAAACTATGCATAATTGACAGAAGACACATAAAAGGAATTATTAAAGTTGTAGTCAAAGACTATACAGAATTGTGCTCTTTATGCAGACAGGAAGTTATTGCTTAAAATTCTAATTTCCTTGTTGGAATTTTCTGTTGCACATGTCATTTCTTGATTTAATAAACAGTTCTGAGTTATATACCCTCCAAAGTAAAGATAAAAATCAAATAGTTCCTATATCACCATAATTTAAACTGACAGTACCACAGTCAGAAAATATTTATACAATTTTTGGGTGGGGATGACTCACCAAACCCTGGCCCACTAAAAAATAAATAAATAAAATAAAAATAAAAATAAATTAATTACAATTTTTTTTTATATACAGTTTGGGTGCCATGGCTCACATTTGTAATCCCAGCACTTTGGGAGGCTGAGGCAGGAGAATCACTTGAGCTCAGGAGTTCCTCTCCCTCTCCCCCTCCCCCTCCCTCTCCCTCTCTCCACGGTCTCCTTCCACGGTCTCCCTCTGATGCCGAGCCAAAGCTGGACTGTACTGCTGCCATCTCGGCTCACTGCAACCTCCCTGCCTGATTCTCCTGCCTCAGCCTGCCGAGCGCCTGCAATTGCAGGCGCGCGCCGCCACGCCTGACTGGTTTTCGGTTTTTTTTGGTGGAGACGGGGTTTTGCTGTGTTGGCCGGGCTGGTCTCCAGCTCCTAACCGCGAGTGATCCGCCAGCCTTCGCCTCCCGAGGTGCCGGGATTGCAGACGGAGTCTCGTTCACTCAGTGCTCAATGGTGCCCAGGCTGGAGTGCAGTGGCGTGATCTCGGCTCGCTACAACCACCTCCCAGCCGCCTGCCTTGGCCTCCCAAAGAGCCGAGATTGCAGCCTCTGCCCGGCCGCCACCCCGTCTGGGAAGTGAGGAGCGTCTCTGCCTGGCCGCCCATCGTCTGGGATGTGAGGAGCCCCTCTGCCTGGCTGCCCAGTCTGGAAAGTGAGGAGCGTCTCTGCCCGGCCGCCATCCCATCTAGGAAGCGAGGAGCGCCTCTTCCCCGCCGCCATCCCATCTAGGAAGTGAGGAGCGTCTCTGCCCGGCCGCCCATCGTCTGAGATGTGGGGAGCACCTCTGCCCCGCCGCCCTGTCTGGGATGTGAGGAGCGCCTCTGCCGGGCCGCAACCCTGTCTGGGAGGTGAGGAGCGTCTCTGCCCGGCCGCCCCGTCTGAGAAGTGAGGAAACCCTCTGCCTGGCAACCGCCCCGTCTAAGAAGTGAGGAGCCCCTCCGCCCGGCAGCCGCCCCTTCTGAGAAGTGAGGAGCCCCTCCGTCCGGCAGCCACCCCGTCTGGGAAGTGAGGAGCGTCTCCGCCCGGCAGCCACCCCGTCGGGGAGGGAGGTGGGGGGGGTCAGCCCCCCGCCCGGCCAGCCGCCCCGTCCGGGAGGTGAGGGGCTCCTCTGCCCGGCCGCCCCTACTGGGAAGTGAGGAGCCCCTCTGCCCGGCCAGTCGCCCCGTCCAGGTGGGAGGTGGGGGGGTCAGCCCCCCGCCCGGCCAGCCGCCCCGTCCGGGAGGGAGGTGGGGGGGTCAGCCCCCCGCCCGGCCAGCCGCCCCGTCCGGGAGGGGGGAGGGGGGGTCAGCCCCCCGCCCGGCCAGCCGCCCCGTCCGGGAGTGGGGTGGGGGGTCAGCCCCCCGCCCGGCCAGCCGCCCCGTCCGGGAGGGAGGTGGGGGGGTCAGCCCCCCGCCTGGCCAGCCGCCCCGTCCGGGAGGTGAGGGGCGCCTCTGCCCGGCCGCCCCTACTGGGAAGTGAGGAGCCCCTCTGCCCGGCCAGCCGCCCCGTCCGGGAGGGAGGTGGGGGTGTCAGCCCCCCGCCCGGCCAGCCACCCCATCCGGGAGGTGAGGGGCGCCTCTGCCCGGCCGCCCCTACTGGGAAGTGAGGAGCCCCTCTGCCTGGCCAGCCGCCCCATCCGGGAGGGAGGTGGGGGTGTCAGCCCCCCGCCCGGCCAGCCGCCCCATCCGGGAGGTGAGGGGCGCTTCTGCCCGGCCGCCCCTACTGGGAAGTGAGGAGCCCCTCTGCCCGGCCACGACCCCGTCTGGGAGGTGTGCCCAGCGGCTCATTGGGGATGGGCCATGATGACAATGGCGGTTTTGTGGAATAGAAAGGCGGGAAGGGTGGGGAAAAAATTGAGAAATCGGATGGTTGCCGGGTCTGTGTGGATAGAAGTAGACATGGGAGACTTTTCATTTTGTTCTGTACTAAGAAAAATTCTTCTGCCTTGGGATCCTGTTGATCTGTGACCTTACCCCCAACCCTGTGCTCTCTGAAACATGTGCTGTGTCCACTCAGAGTTAAATGGATTAAGGGCGGTGCAAGATGTGCTTTGTTAAACAGATGCTTGAAGGCAGCATGCTCGTTAAGAGTCATCACCACTCCCTAATCTCAAGTACCCAGGGACACAAACACTGCGGAAGGCCGCAGGGTCCTCTGCCTAGGAAAACCAGAGACCTTTGTTCACTTGTTTATCTGCTGACCTTCCCTCCACTATTGTCCTATGACCCTGCCAAATCCCCCTCTGCGAGAAACACCCAAGAATGATCAATAAAAAAAATAAATAAATAAATAAATAAATAAAGAGTTCAAGACCAGCCTGGGCAACATAGTGAGACCCCATCTCTAAAAAAAAAAAAAAATGGCCGGGCATGGTGGCTCATGTCTGTAATCCCAGCACTATGGGAGGCTGAGGCGGATGGATCACCTGAGGTCGGGAGTTCGAGACCAGCCTGACCAACATGAAGAAACCCTGTCTCTACTAAAATTACAAAATTAGCCGGGCGTGGTGGTACATGCCTGTAATCCCAGCTACAGAGGAGGCTGAGGCAGGAGAATCGCTTGAACCCGGGAGGTGGAGGTTGTGGTGAGCTGAGATCACCAGATCATGCCATTGCACTCCAGCCTGGACAACAAGAGCAAAACTCCATATCAAATAAATAAGTAAATTTTTAATGAGCCATACATGGTGATGCATGCCTATAGTCCCAGTTACTTTATTATTTAATAATTCATAAAAACAGTTTTACAAAACACCATGATTTCGACCAAGAAATATATCCTACTATTTTGTTGACTTGGTTTTTACGTATCCAGTATCCATACTGCTTGGTTTATTAAATGAATCATTATGCAGCTTTCAGAATTTAAAAAAATTCTATCATAAATATTGATCTAAATTTTGATGCCACTTTTTTTTTTTTTTTTGAGATGGAGTTTCGCTCTTGTTGCCCAGGCTGGAGTGCAATGGCGCGATCTCGGCTTACTGCAACCTCCGCCTCCCGGGTTCAAATGATTCTCCTGCCTCAGCCTCCTGAGTAGCTGGGATTACCAGCACCCGCCACCATGCCCAGCTAATTTTTTTGTATTTTTTGTAGAGACAAGGTTTCACCATGTTGGCCAGGCTGGTCTTGAACTCCTGACCTCAGGTGATCTGCCTGTCTCAGCCTCCCAAAGTGCTAGGAGGGATTACAGGCATGAGCCACTACGCCAGGCAGGTGCCATATTCTATAAACAACTTTTCTTTTCTTTTTTGAGAGAGGGTCTTGCTCTGTCACCCAGGCTGGAGTACAGTGGCACGATCATGGCTCACTGCAACCTCTGCCTCCTGGGCTCAAGCAATCTTCCCACATCATCCTCTCAAGTAGCTGGGACTACAGGAATGTGCCACCACATCTGGCTCATTTTAAAATTTTTTGTAGAGATAAAGTCTCGATATATTGCCCAGGCTGGTCTCAAACTCTTGAGCTCAAGTGATCCGCCTGCCTTGGCTTCCAAAAGTTCTGGGATTACAGGTGTGAGCCACTGCACCCCGCCACAACTTCATTAAAACCAAACCTAAGTATTCTGGCTTGTGATAAATCACAGAATTCATCTGATATGAAATATTGACCATCTTGCCCTTCCCCTTCCCCTTGCCCTTCTCTTCCCTTTCTCTTCCTTCCCTCCCTCCCTCCCTCCTTCCTTCCTTCCTTCCTGTAAATACTTATTGAGGACAATTAGATATATGTATATCACATAGCAACATATAAATCATAAAGCATATTAGAATATAGCCAACAAGACTAATTAAGAAAATAAGACATTTTTATTATTACCTCCAATAGCGTAGACCATCCCTCCCAGAACTGTTACTCCCAGCCCACTTCGAGCCTGATGAAGTGAAGACACAGTGGTCCAGTACTGGCTAAAGGTGTCAAAACGTTCTACACAGCTGAGGGCTCTGCTATCACTCCAGCGACCCCCCTGCAACCGAGTATATCCACCTAAACAAAAGAAGAAAAGGTAGTAATGAAAATCTACTGTTCTACATCTAAACATTTAGTATAACTACTATATAACAAGAAATAAATGGTTTAGAAATTACTTTCTCTATATACATATAATGTAATATTCTTAAATTTGCCAATTCCTGAAAGATTGTGGCTTAAATACAGTAAGAAGGTTAGCCTCAGTGTTTTACCACTTGGTCTTGGTTATAAATAGAATATTATATGAAATATAAATCTAGGCACTGCTTATCTGTTAAATTAGGAAAGTTTCATTATAACTTTCATTAATGTCTTTTTCAATTAAAAATAGTGAGTTGAAAGCTGTGTGTGTGTGTGTGTGTGTGTGTGTGTGTGTGTGTGTGTGTGTGTTTGAGGCAGGGTTTCACTCTGTCACCCAGGCTGGAGTGCAGTGATGTGATCACAGCTTACTGCAGCCTCGATCTTCCCTCATCAACCTCCTGATGAAATCCTTGTTTTGACTACACATCCAATCGGCAAAAAAATTTTAAGAAGCACCCAAAAGCATTATACTTAAATATTAATACATATATGTAATTATATATATGTAAATTATAAATTATCTCATACATAAGGTACTTACATAAAAACAGTATTATGTATACAGATCTGGACTATATGTATCAATATGCTATATATTATATGTATTTTAAATGCTGATAAAGTTTAATGCTTTTTTTTTCTTTTTTTGAGACAGGGTCTTGCTCTGTTGCCCAGGCTGGAGTGCAGTGGTACAATCTCTGCTCACTGCAACCTCTGCCTCCTGGGCTCAAGTGATCCTCCCACTTCAGCTTCCCAAGTAGCTGGGACTACAGGCACACACCACCACACCAAGCTAATTTCTGTATTTTTGCATAAAGACAAGGTTTCATCATGTTGCCTAGACTGGTCTTGAACTTCTGGGCTCACACCATCCTCCCACCTCAGCCTTCCAAAGTGCTGGGATTACAGGCCATGAGCCACCACATCCAGATGTAAGTTTAATGCTTTTTAAAATAAAAATGAAAAGAAGTTGTAATATGTGGCAGGGCACAGTGGCTCACGGCTGTAATCCCAGCACTTTGGGAGGCCAAGGCAGGCGGATCACAAGGTCAGGAGTTCGAGACCAGCCTGGCCAATATGGTGAAACCCTGTCTCTACTTAAAATATATATATATATATAGGTATACAAAAATTAGCTGGGCATGGTGGCGCATGCCTGTAGTCCCAGCTACTCAGGAGGCTGAGGCAGTAGAATCGCTTGAACCCAGGAGGCAGAGATTGCAGTGATCCGAGATCACGCCACTGCACTCCAGCCTGGGAGACAGAGTAAGACTACCTCAAAAAAAAAAAAAAAAAGAAGAAGTTGTAATATGTTCCTCTGATATTCCTATGGATCATCTTTTATAACCACACTTTGGAGATCATTGGTTCCTATCACTCCTAATGACTAGGATACTGTGAATAGTTTAAAAACTTGAGATTTATTTTCTTTATTTTTCACAATAATTCAAATTTTTTACTTTTAAAGCAGCACTTCTTTAGTCACTTATTTGATAACTGGATAATCTACGAACTCAAAGGTTTAGATCACAGAATAACAGATATCAAATGAATAGCTATTTCTTTTTAGACATATTTGTCATAATATATAAATGCAGTTTATAAATCTGTAGTCTGTATGTGAAATTAAATATGCCTCTTCAACACACCCACATATTCTGACATGTATAGTAATAACAACAAAATATTAAAAAGGTTTGATCTGGAACACAAATATAATTTCTATTACTTTTTTAAGGGCTCTCTCACCTACTGCATACAGGTACTTTCTTGCTTTCTTCCGAGGTCGAACCTTAGATGTCTGCAGAAAACTACAAAACTTGTTCTCTTTGGGAGATTTGCATACTTCACAGTACTCTTTCAGAAGTGTTTGCAATGCAACACGAAGATTAAAATCGGATACTCCTAAAACAATATTTAAAAAGACAATGTTTTAAACAATTTTTAAATAATATTGAAAAAACACATTTCTATAAAGATAAGATACATTTAACCATCAAGAAATAAAAAATCATCATCAAACAATGGTGTTTGTTTCCTACAATACCAAATATTGGTACTGACTATTTTAAGGGAAGTATTTTCTTCACTAATGAAGAATAAAAAAGGTTGTTGTTAAAATATATGCTTCATATATAAGCAGAATAGCAACTAAAAAATATATATGCTTCACAGTATCCCCCCATGCATAAGAATTTCCAGGCCAGACGTGGTAGCTCACGCATGTAATCCCAGTACTTTGGGGGGCCAAGTCAGGTGGATTGCTTGAGCCCAGGAGTTAGAGACCAGCCTGGCCAATGTGGTGAATGAAACCTTGCTGCTACAAAAAATACAAAAATTAGCTGGGTGTGGTGGCACATGCCTATAGTTCCAGCTACTCAGGAGGTTCATGTGGGAGTACCACTTGAGCTCAGGAAGCAGAGTTTGCAGTGAAGCAGGATTGCACCACTGCACTCCAGCCTGGATGACAGGGTGAGATTCTGTCTCAAAAATAAAAAAAAAAAAAGAAGAATTTCCAAATAAAGATTGCAAACTGAAACAAGATCACAATTATCTAACAAAATTTAAAAATTAAAATAGCCACAAATTCTATACTTACAACGTAACAAAAAAGATATAAAATTATGTCATTAACATTTAAGAATGATAGACAAAGCAAGAAAAATAAATTCTGGTGGCATGAGTACCATATCCTAAAAGGATTATGCATATGATGAGGTAGGTTGTCCTTGCTCAAGCATGCTTAGCTGAGGAGGTAAACGGCATGAGAGTCAACCTGTGTTCATTTGCCAAGTTGTAAGACCTGTTCTCCCTGAAAGGGCACTATTTCCTAATTTGCACAAAGGCATTATAATGCTAGCAAGAGATTGTCTCCTATCCTTCCATCTCTAATCTTTTCTCTGTATCCCAGACAAGAAGCAATATTGAAGAAAAATGGTCAACTAACAAAATCTTGAGAATTCTCACTAATAATAATTTGCAGACAGAATCAAGAATGAAAAGCAGAACTGAGAAAAGTTGAGGAACAAAATCATTAAAAGGGAAAGTCTTTACAAGACCATCAGTTAAGGTAGAAAGGATCACCTGGATTTGCTCTCTAACAGAACACTGTGCTAGCCAAAGTCCACACTAGTGGGATACATCTCTGGCTAGGTTAAGTAGACCCAGATATAAGATAAATAACAAGAACTCAATAGAGAGATATCAAAGTCAAGTTCCTAAGTAAGGATCTCAGCCCTAGTGGATCTCTAGTCTTCAACCACCCTCATGCCTCAGGCTAGAAAGAAGTGGCAAGGGCCAGCACAGTGCCTCATGCCTGTAATCCCAGCACTTTGGGAGGCTGAGGTGGGAGGACTGTTTGAGGCCAGGAGTTCAAGACCAGCCTGGGCAACACAGTGAAACCCTGTCTCTACAAAAAATTTTAAAATGAGCTGGGCGTGGTGGTATGAACTTTTAGTTCCAGCTACTCTGGAGGCTGAGGAGGGAGGATCACTTGAGCCCAGGAAGTCAAGGCTTCAGTGACTATGACTGCCCTACTGCATGACAGTGTGAGTGACAGAGTGAGACTCTGTCTCAAAACAAAACAGAACAAAGGTGGCAAGAACACAACACATAGCCTTCAAATTTTAGACTAGAGAAAACAAAGTAGTTGTACTAGGTAGAAAGAGTGCCAAGGAGAATTAGTTCTTGTATTAACAGAACAGAGTTTGAACAGAGTTGACATGAACAACAGTTCAGTATGAGCAAGATATCAAGAAAGAGCATATGCCTTATTAAAGTACATCCCAGGGCCAGGTGTGGTGGCTCACGCTTCTAATCCCAGCACTTTGGGAGGCCGAGGGGGGTGAATCATGAGGTCAGGAGTTAAGAGACCAGCCTGGCCAACATAATGAAACCCTATCTCTACTAAAAAATACAAAAATTAGCCAGGCATGGTGGCACATGCCTGTAATCTCAGCTACTCAGGAGGCTGAGGCAGCAGAATTGCTTGAACCCGGGAGGCAAAGGTTGCGGTGAGCCAATATCACGGCCACTGCACTCCAGCCTGGGTGACAGAGCAACACTCCGTCTCGGGGGAAAAAGAAAAAAAGTACATCCCAGGAAAAAGAAGATAAGAGAGTGAAGAATTCAGTCAGAAGAAAACATCAGCTACAAATAGACAGACTCCTCGTAAGTGCTTCACATGATACAATTGTTTAAGAATGTCGCTCCTGGCCAGGCACGGTGTCTCATGCCTGTAATCCTAGCACTTTGGGAAGCTATGGCGGGTGGATCACCTGAGGTCAAGAGTTCAAGACCAGTCTGGCCAACATGGTGAAACCTCATCTCTACTAAAAATTACAAAAATTAGCTGGGCGTTGTGGTGGGCACATGTAATCCCACCCACTTGGGAGGCTGAGGCAGGGAGAACCGCTTGAACCCGGGACGGGGAGGTTGCAGTGAGCCGAGATCATGCCACTGCACTCCAGCTTGGGCAAAAGAGCGAGACTCCACCTCAAAAAAAAAAAAAAAAAAACACAAAAAACAATGTAGGTCCTGCAAAACAAGAGCTCAAATACAGATGAGATGCATTGCTAAGAAAACAAAGTAAGAAATGAAATGACAGTATTGTAGAGTTAATAAATTAGAAACAATAGATATGACTGAAAATCAAATTACTGATGTGGAGGAAAAGCTTGAGAAAATAATTGTGAATAGAGAGAAAAAATACTGTAACATTAGAAGATGATAAATATGAATGACAAAGAAGTTCCAATAAAAGGAAGAAGACTACCAAATGAAACATTTAAAGTATTTTTATTTATTTATTTATTTATTTAGAGACAGAGTCTAGCTCTGTCGCCCAGGCTGGAGTGCAGTGGTGCGATCTCAGCTCCCTGAAAGCTCCACCTCCTGGGTTCACACCATTCTCCTGCCTCAGCCTTCCGAGTAGCTAGGACTACAGGCACCCACCCCCACGCCTGGCTAATTTTTGTATTTATAGTAGAGACAGGGTTTCACTGTGTTAGCCAGAATGGTCTCAATCTCCTGACCTCGTGATCTGCCTGCCTCAGCCTCCCAAAGTGCTGGGATTACAGGTGTGAGCCACCGTGCCCGGCCTTGAAACATTTAAAGTATTTAGAAATTTCACATAAGAAAATTTCCCCAAAATGAAGGAAAAACTAAAATTTCAAAGAGAAAAGATATATGGCAGTCTAATGAAAAAATGATCAACTTCAAAACAAATCAAGAATAATGAAAGAGAATTCCTTAGATATTCAATCAGAAAAATCAAGTCATGGCCAGGTGCAGCGGCTCACGCCTGTAATCCCAGCACTTTGGGAGGCCGAGGTGGGCAGATCACAAGGTCAGGAGTTCGAGAACAGCCTGGCCAATATGGTGAAACCCCATCTCTACTAAAAATACAAAAATTAGCCGGGCATAGTGGTGCACGCCTGTAGTCCCCAGCTACTCAGAAGGCTGAGGCAGAAGAATTGCTTGAACCCAGCAGGCAGAAGTTGCAGTGAGCTGAGATCACACCACTGACTCCAGCCTGGGTGACAAAGTAAGACTTCATCTCAAAAAAACATAAATAAATAAATAAATAAATAAATAAGCAAGTCATTAAAAAAAAAAACCCCAAAATCCAAACTATGCCTTACAAAATTTGAGGAGAGGAGACATAGGAGAATCATTATAATTAAAGAATATTGGCCAGGCATGGTGGCTCACGCCTGAGCACTTTGGGAGGCCGAGGCAGACGGATCACCTGAGGTCAGGAGTTCAAAACCAGCCTGGCCAATATGGCGAAACCCCGTCTCTACTAAAAATACAAAAATTAGTCGGGTGTGGCGGTGGGCATCTGTAATCCCAGCTACTCGGGAGGCTGAGGCAGGAGAATCGATTGAACCTGGGAGGCGGAGGTTGTAGTGAGCCGAGATCACGCCATTGCATTCCAGCCTGGGAGACAGAGTAAGACTCCGTCTCAAAAAAAAAAAACAGTATTATGCCCACCCAAATTGGTGTGAAATTTAAAAAGCAACACATAGAAATTCTCAAATATGAAGGAATTCAGGAAACACAGTAATCATGAGGCTTTCTTTAAAAAAGCACTTGATGATGAAATCCAGCCAACCAAAACAATGCATATTAAAAAAAATCATCAATGAAAAGACCATGGTCAAAAAGCTGGTAGAGAACATCAAATCCATTTAAATTCAAAACTAAAAGGACAGAGCTAGGGGAATCATGACTACAAATATATATATAAATAAGGGCTATACACCTTGACACAAAAAAAGGAGTGGAAAGAAAAATAAAAATGCTAATTACCTAATTTTTCTTAGCAAAAAGTTGATACTGTTTAAAATTGAAATACAATTTGAAACTATGATTCTTTTAATGATTTTCATCTTTTGTCCTTAATTCTACATGAACCTTTTAGAATAAATATTTCTTGGGACAAGGGAACATAAATCTGAAATTAGTTATTACTTCAGTTTCTTCTTTTGTTAACTTATAGCAAGATTTAGGTAAATTTTTTGTATTATAAATAATATGTATAAAATTATTTTTATTTTTATTCTTTTCTTCCTTATTTTTTTTTCTTTGAGACAAGAGTCTTGCTCTGTTGCTCAGGCTGGAGTGCACTGGCACAGTCATAGCACACTGCAGCCTCAAACTCCTGAGCTCAAGTGATCCTCCCCCATCGGCCTCCCACCAAGTAGCTGGGACTACTAGTAGGCACCACCATGCCAGGGTAATTTTAAATTATTTACTTATTTATTTATTTAGATACAGAATCTCACTCTATCGCCCAGGCTGGAGCGCAGTGGTGAGATCTCGGCTCACTGCAACCTCTGCCTCCTGGGTTCAAGCAATTCTCCTGCCTCAGCTTCCTGAGTGGCTGGGAATACAGACATGCACCACCACACCTGGCTATTTTTTTTTCTTTGAGACAGAGTCCTGCTCTGTTGCCAGGTGGGAGTGCAGTGGCACAAACTCAGCTCATACCAACCTCCACCTCCCAGGTTCAAGCAATTCTCCTGCCTCAGCCTCCCAAGTAGCTGGGACTACAGGTGTGTGCCACCACACCCAGCTAATTTTTATATTTTTAGTAGAGACAGGATTTCACCATGTTGGCCAGGCTGGTCTAGAACTCCTGACCTCAGGTGATCTGCCTGCCTTGGCCTCCCAAAGTGCTGGGATTACAGGCGTGAGCCACTGTGCCCAGCCTAATTTTATTTGCTTTTATTTTGAGATGGAGTCTTGCTTTGTAACCCAGGCTCCAGTGCAGTGGTGCGATCTCAGCTCACTGTAACCTCAACCTCCTGGGTTCAAGTGATTCTCCTGCCTCAGCCTCCAGAGTAGCAGGGACTACAGGCACATGCCACCACGCCCAGCTAATTTTTGTATTTTTAGTAGAGACAGAGTTTCACCATATTGGCCAGGCTGGTCTCGAACTCCTGACCTCAAGGGATCCACCTGCCTCTGCCTCCCAAAGTGCTGGGATTAAAGGCATGAGACACCACACCCAGCAACTAATTTTAAATGTTGTTTTTGTAGAAACAAGGTCTTGCTTTATTTTTTATCTTATTTTATTTTTTATTGATTTAATTTTGCTTTTTTTTTTTTTTTTTTTTTTTTGAGACAGGGTCTCATTCTCTAACCCAGGCTGGAGTGAAGTGGCATGATCACAGCTCACTGCAGCCTCGACCTCCTTGGCTCAATTGATCCTCCTAGCTGGGACTATATGCAAGCACCACCAGACCTGGCTATTTTTTTTTTTTTTTTTTTTTTTTTGTGAGATAGAGTCTTGCTCTGTCGCCAGGCTGGAGTGCAGTGGTGCGATCTTGGCTCACTGCCACCTCCGCCTCCTCGGTTCAAGCAATTCTCCTGCCTCAGCCTCTCGAGTAGCTGGGACTACAGATGCGTGACACCACACCAGGCCACGCCTGGCTAATTTTTAAAAAAAATTTTTTTGTAGGCCAGGCGCGGTGTCTCACGCCTGTAATCCCAGCACTTTGGGAGGCCAAGGAGGGTGGATCATGAGGTCAGGAGATCAAGACCATCCTGGCTAACATGGTGAAACCCTGTCTCTACTAAAAATACAAAAAATTATCCGGGCGTGGTGGCACAGGCCTGCAGTCCCAGCTACTGGGGAGGCTGAGGCAGGAGAATCACTTGAACCCAGGAGGCGGAGGTTGCAGTGAGCCGAAATCACACCACTGCGTTCTAGCTTCAGTGACAGAGCGAGACTCCATCTCAAAAAAAAAAAAAAAAATTTTTTTTTGTAGAGACAGGGTCTCACTATGTTCAGCCCAGGCTAGTCTCAAACTCCTGGTCTCAAGTGATCATCCCGCCTTGGCCTCCCAAAGTGTTGGAATTACAGTTGTGACCACCACGCCGAGCCTATTGTTGTTTTTATATTTCTGTATTACCTAAACTTTTTATAATAAGCATATTCCATTTAAAGATAAGTAAAATCATTCTCTAAAATATAAGAAACAGACATATAATCAAATATCTAATAATATTAAATTGCCTAAATTATTTCAGTTGTAAGTACAATAATATATATACTATGGAAAAAAATCTACGCATTTCATGTAATATAACTTAACCATTTAAGATTTTGCTCCCTCTGAATTTTATAGTCTCATTTTTCTACACAAGTTGCTTATATTTTCTCCAATATGATCAAAGAGGAAAAGTTTCAAAGTTGAAAAATATTATGGTTGCCTTAAAAAAAAATCAATTTACTTCTCCCTTGATCGTTGCAGTATTTTCCTTCACTGAAATACCACTAGATGATAACTACTGGGCATGCTTAAAAAACACTTCGGGACTTGAATTAGACACTCTCACTGTGTCTAATTTTAAATTATAAATTATAATTTTAAAAGGCTGTAGGAGGCGGGCGCGGTGGCTCATGACTGTAATCCCAGCACTTTGGGAGGCCAAGGAGGGTGGATCAAGAGGTCAGGAGATCGAGACCATCCTGGCTAACATGGTGAAACCCCGTCTCTGCTAAAAATACAAAAAAAAAATTAGCCGGGCGTGGTGGCGGGCGCCCGTAGTCCCAGCTACACGGAAGGCTGAGGCAGGAGAACGGCATGAACCCGGGAGGCGGAGGTTGCAGTGAGCCGAGATCGCGCCACTGCACTCCAGCCTGGGCGACAGAGCGAGACTCCATCTCAAAAAAAAAAAAAAAAAAGAAAAAGCTGTAGGAAAACATGTCCCATTTCTAGGGGACACTGCCTTGCTCCTAGCAGAAGAAATTTCTGTTAGTACTCTGTGTCTGCTACACTTGGAAAAACCAACTCAGTCATGAAAGCTTTTGTCCCACTCCTAAATTCTCACCTGATTCATGCCAATGTGTGTCTGGATAATTTCTCTCCCTTGTTTAAACATTTAAATAGTGTATTCCTATACACAATTAAATAAGGAATAAGATGTATTCCTTATTTGTGAATATACCTACTTGCTAAAATGTATTTGTAACCCCAAAATTAATATAGTAGTCCCCTTATCTGCAGTTTTACTTTCCATGATTTCAATTACCCATTAATATTTCCAAAATATTAAGTGGAAATTCCAGAAATAAACAATTCTTTTTTTTTTTTTTTTTTTTTGAGACAGGGTCTGGCTCTGCCACCCAGGCTAGAGTACGGTGGTACAATCTTGGCTCACTGCAGCCTCAGCTTCCTGGGTTCAAGTGACCTTCCCACCTCAGCCCCATGAATAGCTGGGTCTACAAGCACATGCCACCATCCCCAGCCAATTTTTCTATTTTTTGTAGACACAGGTTTCACCATGTTGCCCAGGCTGGTCTTGAACTCCTAGGCTCAAGTGATCTGCCCACCTCATCCTCCCAAAGTGCGGGGATTACAGGCATGAGCCACCGTGCCTGGCCCAGAAATACACAGTTCTTAAGTTTTACATTAGTTTTGATTAACAGCCTAACACTGTAACACAATGCCTAGGTCATTCACCTCATTTCATCTTATCACATAGGTACTTTATCATCTCATATCATCACCAGAAGGGTAAGGACAGTATAATAAGATATTTTAAGATAAAGTACATCCACATAACTTTTATTACAAATATGAACATAATTGTTCTACTTTATTATTAGCTATTATTAATCTCTTACTGTCTCTAATTTATAAATTAAACTTTATCATAGGTATGTATTTATAGGAAAAAACATAATGTACATTAGGTTCATTATCACCTACAGTTTCAGGCATCCACTGGGGGGTTCTTAGAATGTATCCCCCATGGATAAAGGGGGACTACTGCACTTGTTCTTTTGCAGTCATTCACAGACATGCACAGAGTGGCAAAAAATTTAAATCACCCTACATGTACTTTCTGGGTGAGGTCAAAGTTTCACTCTGTCTTCTCATTTCAGCTCTTATGCTATAAACAAGTATCCTTTTCCACAGTCTATTTAGTGTCATTTTTTTTTTTGCATTTTTGTGCTTTTTGTTGGTAATTTTGCTGTTTAAAATGGCCCCTAACCATAATGTTCAGTTGTTACCTAGTGTCCCTAAGTGCAAGAAAGCTATGAAGTGCCTTACAGAGAAAATACCTATGTTAGATAGAGTTTCATTCAGGGATGAGTTATAGACTGGTGGCCATGAGTTCATTGTTAATGAATCAATAATATATATTAAATAAGGTGGTTTTAGACAAAAACCTATATAGGCCGGGCGTAGTGGCTCACACCTACAATCCCAGCACTTTGGGAGGCCGAAGCGGGTGGATCACGAGGTCAGGAGATCGAGACCATCCTGGCTAACACGGTGAAACCCTGTCTCTACTAAAAATACAAAAAATTAGCCGGGCATGGTGGCGGGCGCCTGTAGTCCCAGCTACTTGGGAGGCTGAGGCAGGAGAATGGTGTGAACCCAGGAGGCGGAGCTTGCAGTGAGCCGAGATTGTGCCACTGCACTCCAGCCTGGGTGACAGAGCAAGACTCCATCTCAAAAAAAAAAAAAAAAAAAAAAAAAACAAGAAAAAAATCTATATAAAACAAGGCTCTATTGACTATGTGACAAAAATGTTGTGACTATAGGCTTGCAGGAACCTAAACCTGTATTTCCCCTAGGAGCAATTGTTCAGTATTTGCTAATTCCGTGTTTGCAGCAGACTTATACAACATAGCTACTGCAAATAACAATCAACTATATCTGTAGTAAAACAAGATATCACTCAGAAAAACCTACAAAATTATGTTAACATTGCTAAGAGTGGAGAAAAACTAATAACTCATTATTTTAAATTATGTATTTACAGAATTACACCGTTAATGCTTAGTAGTGTATTTAACTTGTAATAAAATCATTTGTAATTCAATAGCAACCTAATCTTTCAGTGCATGACAAGAGTAAAAACTTCAAATCTCAAAACCAGGTCTAAAGTAGGCTGGAGAGCAATGGCACAATCCTGGCTCAATGTAGCCTTGACCTCCTGGACTCAGGTGATCCTCCCACCTCAGCCTCCCAGGTAGCAGTGACTATAAGTGCATGCCACCGTGCTGGGCTAATTTTTTGCCTTTTTTTTTTTTTTTTTTTTTTTTTTGTAGAGACAGGGTTTCACCATGTTGCCCAGGCTGGTCTTGAATTCTTGTGCTAAAGCGATCTGCCTGCCTTGGCCTGCTAAAGTGCCAGAATTATAGGCGTGAACCATTGCACCTGGCCTAAAGTAATTCTTAGAAATAAATTTAAACATCATTTTTCTAATATAAACATAAAAACTATTTTATACTATGGTAAAACATATTTTCAGAATTAAGTTTAGAATCTAAAGATGATTCAAAGGCTACTCAGAGGCCATAATTGTATATCAATACCAAATTTATTTTATAATGAAAGGATTTACAGGATTCATTGAATTTTTTTATTTTTAGTGTATGCATTTTCTCCAAGTGTTAGGTTTTGCTTAATTTTTCAGAGTAGCAAGAGGAAATCTTTTTTTTTTTTTTTTTAATTGATCATTCTTGGGTGTTTCTCGTAGAGGGGGATTTGGCAGGGTCATAGGACAATAGTGGAGGGAAGGTCAGCAGATAAACAAGTGAACAAAGGTCTCTGGTTTTCTAGGCAGAGGACCCTGCGGCCTTCCGCAGTGTTTGTGTCCCTGGGTACTTGAGATTAGGGAGTGGTGATGACTCTTAACGAGCATGCTGCCTTCAAGCATCTGTTTAACAAAGCACATCTTGCACCGCCCTTAATCCATTTAACCCTGAGTGGACACAGCCCATTTTTCAGAGAGCACAGGGTTGGGGGTAAGGTCATAGATCAACAGGATCCCAAGGCAGAAGAATTTTTCTTAGCACAGAACAAAATGAAAAGTCTCCCATGTCTACCTCTTTCTACACAGACACAGCAACCATCCGATTTCTCAATCTTTTCCCCACCTTTCCCCCTTTTCTATTCCACAAAACCGCCATTGTCATCATGGCCCGTTCTCAATGAGCTGTTGGGTACACCTCCCAGACAGGGTGGTGGCTGGGCAGAGGGGCTCCTCACTTCCCAGTAGGGGCGGCCGGGCAGAGGCGCCCCTCACCTCCCGGACGGGGCGGCTGGCCGGGCGGGGGGCTGAACCCCCCATCTCCCTCCCGAACGGGGCGGCTGGCCGGGCGGGGGGCTGACCCCCCCACCTCCCTCCCAGACAGGGCGGCTGGCCGGGCGGGGGGCTGACCCCCCCTAGGAAATCTTAACTGAAATAATTGGTTCTGTCAACAGCAGTGGTATGTTAGTAGCTCTGTCAGTAATTTTTATCTATAACACTAATCTGCCTTAGTAATCAATCTCAAGAAAGATTTTGATAAAAATAGTGGGTAGAAATATTAAAATACTACTGCCCACCCACAGAACACAAAAGTTGTATCTTAATCATTCAATACATTTTAAAAAAAGAAAAAAAAAGAGTAATCATTCAATAAATGTCTGTTACTGAACCAAAAAATGAAAACACTCTCCCACATTTCAGAGAACACATCACTGGATAATTAATCAACTAATTCGATATATAGCAAAAAAGTTACCTTCTATATACTTTAAAAGTCTCTGAGGAGGTAATAAAGGGAATCGAATTGGGTCTAGCACTTCCACCACATGTTTTCTTCTTTTTCCCAAATCTTTCAGAATCCATTGCATTGCAGCTAAGAAGACCTGGTATTCATCCTCAATGCTAAGCTCTTCACTTCGCAAAATTTTGATCAGCTGATCTTTCGTAAGTGCCAGGAACTCTTCTCCACTATGAACCTCCAAGAAATGGACATGAATGTAGTTTTCTGAGAATTCCAAGAGATCATGGCAGGCAATTTGCTCAGAGAACTGAAAAATTCCAATGCAGTTCAGTGGATCAATTTGTCCTTTCAGAAATTCACAGCAAAGATGAACAACTTCAGTCAACTGTAGCATGTCTGCTGCAATAATCAACTCCTGGACATTATTCACACCTATGTTCACTATACCTAGAGAAGTAGGAAGACAAAATGGCCAATAAAATAAAAACAAACATTGGCTTACCATATTCAAAAAGTATTATACTTGATTTCACTGATAGTTTGATGCCTGCAGAGTAGACAGACACTAAAAAAGGCAATCAAGGATTTGAGTAAAGAGCACAAAATTTAAACGATAACGATACCTAACACATTTATGAAAAACTTACAATGAACCAGGTGCAGTATTAATTGCTTTATATGCTAATTTAACCCTTATTATAATCCCATGTGGTAGATATTATTATTTTTCTTATTTTCTTTTTTTTTTTTTTTTTTTTTTTGAGACGGAGTCCCGCTCTTTAGCCCAGGCCGGATTGCAGTGGCACAATCTTGGCTCACTGCAAGCTCCGCCTCCCAGGTTCACGCCATTCTCCTGCCTCAGCCTCCCGAGTAGCTGGGACTACAGGCGCCCGCCACTGCGCCCGGCTAATTTTTTGTATTTTTAGTAGAGACGGGGTTTCACCGTGTTAGCCAAGATGGTCTCGATCTCCTGACCTTGTGATCCGCCCGCCTCGGCCTCCCAAAGTGCTGGGATTACAGGCGTGAGCCACCGCGCCCAGCCTTATTTTCATATTAAAGAAACAGAATCAAAGTTTAAGTCACTTGTCCACAAGTTGCATGGTAAAGCAAGTTGCAAGGTAGGGGTTGACATCAAAGTCCATGCTTTTGCCATAAAAAAGAAGGAAATCATGTGCTTTACAGCAACACAGATGGAGCTGGAGGCCATGATTCTAAGCAAATTAACACAAGTACAGAAAACCAAATATCATATGTTCTCACTCATAAATGGGAGCTAAACATTGCATACACGTGGACACCAAGAAGACATGGATACACATTCGGGCCTACTTGAGAGTGGAGGGTAGGAGGAGGGTAAAGATTGAAAAACTACCTATCAGGTATTATACTGATTAACTGGGGGACAAAATTATCTACATACCAAGCCCCCAAGACACACAATTTACCCATGGAACAAACCCGCATATGTACCTCTTGAACCTAAAAGTTGGAAAGAAAAAAAACAAACAACAACAGCAACAACAACAAATAAAGTCTATGCTTTTAACATAAGGTTATATGCATGTAACAGACATTTACTGAGGCACTGGGGAGAGTAAGACAAGGTCTCTATCTTCAATTATGATAAAACGCCACATAATGTTCATTTTTTGTTTGTGCTTGTTTTGAGACAGTGTCTCATTCTGTTGTCCAGGCTGGAGTGCAGTGGCGCAATCTTGGCCCACTGCAACCTCTGCCTCCCACGCTCAGGTGAGCCTCCCACCTCAACCTCCCGAGTAGCTGGTACTACAGACACTCACCACCATGATCGGCTAATTTTCTGTGGTTTTTTTTTTAGAGACAGGGTTTTGCCGCATTGCCCAGGCTGATCTCAAACTCCTGGGCTCAAGCAATCCACCCACCTCAGCCTCCCAAAGTGCAGGGATTATACACAATGCTAGTTTTTAATATTAGGAATAACCAATAATCTATAACATAAGAGAAACTATTAAATACTTAACTACGTATACCACTTTCTTTTCCAAGGGCTTCACTTTCTTTTTTTTATTTTTTTATTTTTTTATTTTTTTCGAGACAGAGTCTCACTATGTCACCCAGGTTGGAGTATAGTGGTGCATCCTCGGCCCACTACAACCAACACCTCCTGGGTTCAAGTGATTTTCCTGCCTCAGCCTCCTAAGTAGCCAGGATTACAGATGCGCACCACCATAACCAGCTAATTTTTGTATTTTCAGTAGGGACGAGGTTTCACCATGTTGGTCAGGCTGGTCTCGAACTCCTGGCCTCAGGTGATCCACCCACCTCAGCCTCCCAAAGTGCTGGGATTACAGGCGTGAGCCACCACACCCATCTTTTTTTTTTTTTTTTTCTGAGACAGGCTCTTGCTCTGTTGCCCAGGCTAGAGTACAGTGGCATGGTCTCTGCTCACTGCAACCTCTGCCTCCCAGGTTCAAGCAATTCTCCTGGCTCAGCCTCCTGAGTAGCTGGGACTACAGGTGTGCGCCACTAAGCCCAGCAAGACTCCGCCTCAAAAAAAAAAAAATTAGCCAGGTGTGGTAGCATGTGCGCCTGTAGTCTCAGCTACTAGGGAGGCTGAGGTGGGAGGATTGCTTGAGCCTAGGAGTTTGAGACCAGTCTGGGCAACATAGCTAGACATAATCTCTACAAAAAAAATTTAAAAATTAGCCAGGCATGGTGGTGTGTGTTGTGGTCCTACAGGTACTCAGGAGGCTGAGGTGGGAGGATAGCTTGAGCCCTGGAGGTCAAGCTGCAATGATTTTGCCACTGCATTCCAGCGTGGGTGACAAAGCAAGACTCTGTCTCACAAAATAAAAAATAAAAGAGGCTGGGCACAGTGGCTCTCCCCTGTAATCCCAGAACTTTAGGAAGCTGAGGTGAGTGGATCACTTGAGGTCAGGAGTTTGAGACCAGCCGGGCCAACATGGTGAAAACCCGTCTCTACTAAAAAAAAAAATACAAAAATTAGCTGGGCATGTTAGTGCAAGCCTATAATCCCAGCTACTTGGGAGGCTGAAGCAGGAGAATCGCTTGAAACTGGGAGGCAGACGTTGCAGTGAGCCAAGATTGTGCCACTATACTCCAGCCTGGGCGACAAAGTGAAACCCCGTCACCAAAAAAAAAAAAAAGAGTAATATATATTCACTGTGGAAAAAGAACTTTAAGACAGAAAAACTAAAATGAAAAACATATTTTTCCATACACAGACATACATTGTATTAACACTGTAGTGTCTTTCTTCACATAGTTTTTCTCTCTCTCTTTTTGAGACAGTGTCTTGTTCTGTTGCCCAGGCTGGAGTGCAGTAGCATGATCATCACTCACTGAAGCCGCAGCATCCTGGGCTCAAGTGATCATCCCATCTCAGCCTTTCAAATCTTTTTTCTATGCATATTTATTGCATATCCTGTAAGACTATACATCGTTTTGGTGTGCCTTCTCTTTCTTTCCCCTTCCCCTACTCCCCTCTTCATCATTCCAGTTGTTTTATTTTATTCAGAGATGGGGTCTCACTCTGTCTCCCAGTCCAGGGTGCAGCAGCTTGATCATAGCTCACTGCAGCCTCAAACTCCTGGATCCTCCCACATCAGCCTCCCGTTAGCTGGGACTAAAGACACAAGCCACACACCCAGCTAATTAAAAAAAATTTTTTTTTGGCTAGGCGTAGTGGCTCACGCCTGCAATCCCAGTACTTTGGGAGGCCGAGGCAGGTGGATCACGAAGTCAAGAGATCGAGACCATCCTGGCCAACATGGTGAAACCCCGTCTATACTAAAAATATAAAAATTAGCTGGGCATGGTGGCACGTGCCTGTAGTCCCAGCTACTCGGGAGGCTGAGGCAGGAGAATCACTTGAACCTGGGAGGCGGAGGTTGCAGTGAGCCGAGACCACGCCACTACACTCCAGCCTGGTGACAGAGCGAGACTCTGTCTCAAAAAAAAAAAAAAATTTTTTTTTAGCCTGGGCAATGTAGTGAGACCCTGTCTCTACAAAAAATTTGTTTTACATTAGTCAGGCATGGTGGCACATACCTGTAGTCACAGCTATGCAGGGTGGTGAGATGGTAGCACTACTTGAGCCCAGGAGATTAAGGCTGCATTGAAGTGTGAGTGCACCACCACACTCCAGCCTAGACAACAGAGAGAGACCCTGTCTCAAACAAAATTTTTTTTGTTTTAGAAATGGGGTCTTGCTATGTTGTCCTGCATAGTCTTGAGCTCCTGGCCTCAAGCAATCCTCTCACATTGGCCTCCCGAAGTGCTGGGATTACAGGCATGAACCACTGTGCCCCTGTGTACATTCTCTAATGTTATTAAAACTCTTCAAAAACATTTAAGAGATAGTTTTGAGTAAAATAACATATGCTGATTATAAACACTTTGTGGAAAAAAATTACCTACAGATAAATGCTATCAAACATTCTGGCTGCTTTCTCATGTGTAAATACATATAAGTTTTTTTGGGTTGTGTTTCAAACAAAATAGGGGTTTATTTATATCCTGATTTTTAAAATTTTATATATTGTAAACATTCTTCCATAATAGTATACATATATTTTAAGATTTGTTAGATCTCATTTGTGAGATCTATACATGTATCATAATTTATTTAGCCATAAAACCTACTGAGACAAGATTTTATTCAATTATATACTACTATAAATAAAGTCACAGGCCAGGCGCAGTGGCTCACGCCTGTAATCCCAGCACTTTGGGAGGCCAAGGCGGGCGGATCATGAGGTCAGGAGATCGAGACAATCCTGGCTAACACAGTGAAATCCTGTCTCTACTAAAAATTAAAAAAAAAAAAAAATTAGCCAGGTGTGGTGGCATGCGCCTGTGTCCCAGCTACTCAGGAGGCTGAGGCAGGAGAATCGCTTGAACCTGGGAGGCAGAGGTTGCCATGAGCCAAGATCGCCCCACTGCACTCCAGCTTGGGCGACAGAGAGAGACTCCATCTCAAAAAAAGAATAAAATAAAATAATAATAATAATGTTACAATAAAATCCTGGTTTGTAAATATGTGCCTGCATCACTAATTAATTCCTTCAGATTCCTAGAAAAGGAGCACCGGGTCATAAGATATGAATTTTCAGTCACATAATAACATGTTGCTAAATTACCTTCTAGATAAGTTAGATCAATTTATATTTCCACATTAGTGCATGAGTGATTGAATCATTCTTCAGTCAAAGCAACAGACTCATGTAACATACCTGTGTAAATGAAATCTAGAAGTATCTGAAAGATTCCTGCTTCAATTCCTAGAATCGGTACAACATCTTTTGAGGACTCTTTCATTCCTCCAGTGAACAAAGCTGCAAAGTAAGGACTGCTGGCAGCCAAAACCAGCCGATGAGCTTTAAAACTTTCCTGTCCAACTTGCAGCTGCACATCACAGAAATGCTGTCCATTTCTCATCTTATTGATTTGGGCCAAGATGAGTTGGGCATGTTTATCTGATGAAAAAGGACTATCAGCAGCCTTGGGACAGTCCTCATTAGCCATGATGACGGTAGATTAATTAAAAGGACTGTTGCCCATAATCTGTTACTACCCTGAAAAACAAAATACAAAGAGATCAAGCAACAAAATTTTTTTAACATGCTTTCTATTCACACATAAGAAGCATTCTCTATACTTAAAATCTACTTAAGGACATAAAACAAATAAGGACTAAAGTGTGGTACTATTACTATTTCTAATATGGTTTCAGAGAATGAAATAAGTAGGGAAGCTAAAATAATTGGAGAATGCTTCACACAAGAAATGGGACCTGCACTAGAAACTGAAAGATAAACAGTTAATATTAAGGTATGAGGAGAGGACACTTCTTGATGGAGTAAAAAAAATAATAATAAAACACAAAGACAGAAAGTTAACAAAGCACACATCACAGAGCACACATCACAGACAACAGCAACTTTCGAAAAGCAGTTGTGATCAGTCTAACTGCTTAAAATCATTCAATGTGTACACTTCCCGTAGCACACAAAGCCCTTCGGGATTCTTGTTATAATTTAAGACTCTGTTCAAATATAACTTCCTCCAGGAACCTTTCCCCATTGCTCCTCTGGAATTGTGGAAATATGTTCCCAAACTCATCTGAGTTTGTTGCTCACCCTAAGCTTATTGGTTTTACATTCTATAGCACAGGTCTACCTTATCAAATACCCTACCACCCTACTCTTAGTGCGCGCATGCGCGCGCACACGAGCGCGCGCGCGCGCTTCAGAGCTCCTTGAAACACAGCCCTTTAAAGGCAGGTACTATCTTTCATAGCTTTAGCACCAGTATATAACATATGTTAGGTTTCCAATGTTTGTGAAATGAATGAGAACAAGGAGAAATAACAACAGCTTAGGTTGGGTTTTTTTTTTAACTTTTAACTTCTCCACATATTATGTCAATGGTAACTCTCACAATAATTAAGAGGTGAGAAGAAAAGATAATCTTATCTAAAATGAGAGAAAAGGAAACTGAAGCTCAAAGTTTCCCCAAGGATACAATGTTAGTATGACAGTCTCAGTATCTGAATCCAGGCCTTCTTACTCTAAATCCAGGACTGTTCCACCATATCACACTGCATAGGAATTATTAGGCCACCGGACACGTTCTAAATTACTTTTTAAATAAAGAAACTGCTGGGCACAGTGGCTCACGCCTGTAATCCCAGCACGTTGGGATGCTGAGGCGTGAGGATCACTTGAATCCAGGAGTTCGAGACCAACCTGACCAACATGACAAAACCCCGTCTCTTCTAAAAATATAAAAATTAGCCAGGCGTGGTGGATCAGGGCTATAATCCCAGCTACTTGGGAGGCTGAGGCACAAGAATCACCTGAGCCCAGGAGATGGAGGTTGCAGTGAGCTGAGATCACACCACTGCCCTCCGCTCTCCAGCCTGGGTAACAGAGCAAGACTCTGTCTCAAAAAAAAAAAAAAAAAAAAAAAAAAAAAAAAACCATGAGATCCTGTAATATAAGACATATGGAATAGCACAGGGAAATTTAAGATGACTAAGATTTTGTAATTTAGGTATCAATGACAATGGGTAATAAGACTTATAGTGTGGGCTGATGTTAGAAAAAAAATGGTTACGTTTATAGCATTTAAACTTATCAAAGTCAAAATAACAAGGCTGATTATCATCACTTTCTAGGAATTAACTTATTGAGAAATTTGATTGAGAGATTCGAAGGTAGCTGCTAAAACTTCATATCACCATCTACAGAATATCAACATATTACATATAACTAGCATATAATAGCAAGAAGTGTTTGAGGTGATGAATATGGTAATTACCCTGATTTGATAATTATACATTATATACATGTATCAAAATATCACACTGTACCTCATAAATGTAAATATAAAACAATTATTATGTGCCAATTTAAAAAATATCTATTTTGGGGGACAGGGTCTCACTCTGTCACCCAAATTGAAGTGAAAAATAAATTTTTTAAAGAGGGTGAAAGGGGCTGGGCACAGTGGCTCATACCTGTAAGCCCAGATTTTTAGGAGGCTGAGGCAGGCAGATCGCTTGAGTCCAGGAGTTTGAGACCAGTCTGGGCAACATGGCTAAACCCTGTCTCTACTAAAAATACAAAAAAATTAGCCAGGCATGATAGCACAGGCCTGTAGTCCCAGCTACTCAGGGGAGGCTGAGGTGGGAGGACCACCTGAGCCAGGGAAGTCCAGGCTGCAGTGAGCTGAGATGGTGCCACTGCACTCCAGCCTGGACAACAGAGCAAGACCGTGTCTCAACAACAACAACAACAAAAAGCAGGTGCGGTGACTCACGCCTTTAATCCCAGCACTTTGGAAGGCTGAGGCGGGTGGATCACCAGAGGTCAGGCGTTCAGGACCAGCCTGGCCAACATGGTGACCCCATCTCTACTAAAAAATACAAAAAATTACCCAGTCATGGTGGTGGGCGCCTGTAATCCCAGTGACGTGGGCGGCTGAGGCAGGAGAATCGCTTGAACCTGGGAGGCAGAGGTTGCAGTGAGTGGAGATGGAGCCACTGCATTCCAGCCTGGGCAACAGAGAGACTCCGTCTCAAAAAAAAAAAAGGAAAAAAAGGGGGTGGGGGCGGAGAAACCATGTATTTGGCCCTACACAGAAATGTGACCTGGAACTATTATCAACATGACATGACTGTCAGGCCTTTTCTGTTTTACATTTCTGTCAGCACATTTTGAACCCTAGTGGTTTAATTACAAGGTACCTCCTCTGTCCCCTACTTCAAGGCATCAAGCACAGCCACTGAGCTAAAATGCTGCCTCCTGCTACAAGAAAGAGTTGACTGAATATCCATTCGGGTGGCAGACAACAGAAATACTAGTCTGTTACCATGCTTCTCAGTAACTGCTGATACCATCCCACTGTCAGTGGAGTAGGAACGTCATCCCAAAAGGTGGCATGTGGAGTGACCATATTTCCAAAGGAAAAGAGCACAATTCTGTGACGTTGCATGCCTCACGTGCCCCAAACTTGAAAAGCAGATTGTTGACTGGGCAAGGTGGCTCACACCTATAACCCCAGCACTTTGGGATGTCCTGTCGGGAGGATCGCTTGATTTTTTGTTTTTTTTTTTTGTTTTGTTTTTGTTTTTTGTTTTTTTTTTTTTGAGACGGAGTCTCGCTCTGTCGCCCAGGCTGGAGTGCAGTGGCACGATCTCGGCTCACTGCAAGCTCCGCCTCCCGGGTTCACGCCATTCTCCTGCCTCAGCCTCCCGAGCAGCTGGGACTACAGGCGCCCGCCACCACGCCCGGCTAATTTTTTGCATTTTTAGTAGAGACGGGGTTTCACCGTGTTAGCCAGGATGGTCTCGATCTCCTGACCTCGTGATCCGCCCGCCTCGGCCTCCCAAAGTGCTGGGATTACAGGCGTGAGCCACCGCGCCCGGCCAGGGAGGATCGCTTGAGTCCTAGAGTTCAAGACCAGCCTGGGCAATACAGCGAGCCCCCCGCCGCAAAAAAAATTGTTTTAACATTAGCTGGCTGTGATGGGGCAAGCCTGTACTTCCGGCTACTTGGGAGGCTGAGGTGAGAGGATCGCTAGAGCCTGAGAAGTCGAGGCTGCAGTGAGTTGTGATCGCACCACTGCATTCCAGCCTAGGAGAAGGGGCGAGACTGTCTCAAAAAAAAAAGCAGATTATTAGGAAACGGTAGAAATGCCCAGAGGAACTAAAGCGGACCTATGTTTGCTGGCTTTGAATTCACTGCTGGGAACATGTGGAAACTGCTTCAGCAAAGGGGTGTCAGAAAGAATCCCCGGAACAAGTGTCAAAACACCCGTGGTTCTTTGTGCTTGAGTTGGGGGCCCGGCCTAGAGAGCTAGCCCTAAACTGCTGCTACACTAAAAGCTAATAATCGTTCCTGCGCTACCTAAAGGTCAGGGAAGGGATCTCAGACAAACGAGGCGACAACAGAGGGACTGGGGACACAGCCTCAGGATTCCCCAGTTGGGGCGGGGGAGGCAGGAGCGGTCCGGACGAGAAGGTCTGGGGAGGGCGACACTTAGACTGTCGGAGGAAGGCCTGCGGCGGCAGAAGGAAAGACAAGGAAATACACAGTTCTAGAGGCTTCTCTCACTCCAGTCCTCAGGGGTCCGGAAAGCCGGAGGGAGTAGAAGAGGAAGTTCCCAACCCCGTCACAGACGCGCCCGAACGCAGGCCCTCCTTACCCGCCGCTTCCCCTTCCCTCCGGCGCCCGCTCAGGCCCTGCGCGCGCAGTCGCGACCAGCCCCGGCCGGAGAGGGCGGGGGAAACCTGGCGGGGGTGACGAGGCGGGAGTGACTGGGCCGTACAGTTCCCCGAGAACTGGAGGCGAAGCCGGGCGGTGGGAAGGGACTTCGGACGCTTCGCGGGCCCTGGGTTTTCACTGCGCGTGCGCGAGGTTCTTCCGCTCGCGGGAGACTGGGCCGCTGGCGCCTCTCAGTGCCCACTGATGGGGCCCAGGGCTTGGGCTTGCTTCCCCAAGGATCAACAGCTTAGCTGCAAGCCTCTGCTTCTGCCTGCTGGGGCCGGCTGGCTCGCCCTTTCCATTCCGCTTGCACTCTGATTCTTGTGGTGTCCCAAGAAGGCCGCGGATCTCAGTTAAGCAGAGACGAGCCGAACACCTGGCACGGTCCTTCTCTACTGTTCTCTCGAATCGTTTTCTGAGTGCATGACTGAGCCTGGCACTGAAGGGATACTTATTTTGGGGAAGGAAGAACTCAAAAGTCCAGTTTTTTTCACTGTTGACCCTCATGTGTCACATTAGTGGCTTTCAAACTGTTTTGATCCCAGCCTACGGTGAACAAAAATATTTTACATCAAACTCAATACCACATACTTGTGAGTATATATATAGAAGTATATATCTAACATAAAATCTCATTTCTTTATTTTTATTTTTATTTTTTATTTTTTGAGACGGAATTTCGCTCTTGTTGCCCAGGCTAGAATGAATGCAATGGCCGGATCTCGGCTCACCGCAACCTCCGCCTCCTGGGTTCAAGCGATTCTCCTGCCTCAGCCTCTCAAGTAGCTGGGATTGCAGGCATGCGCCACCATGCCCGGCTAATTTTGTATTTTTAGTACAGACTGAGTTTCTCCATGTTGGTCAGGCTGGTCTCAAACTCCCCACCTCAGGTGATCCGCCCGACTCGGCCTCCCAAAGTGTATTTCTTTCTCTTTTTATGAGACAGGGCCTGGCTTTGTCGCCCAGGCTGGAGTGCAGTGGTGCCATCTCGGCTCACTGCAGCCTCGACTTCCTGGGCTCTGGTAGTCCTCCCACCTCAGCCTCCTGAGTAGCTGGGACTACAGGCCTGTGCCACCACCGCCAGGCTAATTTTTTGTATTTTTAGTAGAGACAAGATTTCGCCATGTTGACCAGGCTGGTCTCCAACTCCTGGGCTCGAGTGATCCGCCCGCCTCGGCCTCCCAAAGTGCTGGGAGGTGTGAGCCACTGTGCCTGGCCTGAAACAAAATCTTCACAAAACTATGTTTACACTTACGACCCGCAGTGCACTAAATTTTTATTTCTTCTTTTCTACTTCATTACCAAAAACTGCTAACAGGGACCTATTGTCAGCAAACATTGTCAAAGACTTGGAAATGAGGAAAAGAGAATTCTGTGTGCCCTTTCAGTGTAAGGCTGGACGGATTTGCATCCATAGGGAGCTCTGACTTTCTATTGACTAAAGTATTTCACCAGAAAACTGGTAGTACTTAAAATAATTCTTGCCCGTCTGTAGAAAAGATACACCAAAACATTGTTTTATTGACCTGTAGCATATTAAGCCATTTTTACCCTTCTCAGCAAATTCATTTAAACATTCCTGATTCTTAGCAAATTCATGCTACATTCCTAAATATCTTACTGGCTCCCTTATAAGTTAATGAGATAAATAAAATATTTGATACTTTTTTTTTATATTTGTAAGAGAGTCATGGTTTTACTCTTCAGAAAATTATACTTCAGCACTACTAAAATCAATTTCATGACTTACTCTGGATTACACTTGTGAAAGTTAAGCATACAGATTGGGCCATTCTTCTCATACCCACCGAAAATGGTGGGAGGGGAAACACTGAGGGCACATTTCATTGCTCAAAGAATGTAATTCTCTGCAACCCTGTCTGCTGAAACTGCCTGTTGTAACCTGAAACCAGTTTTACCCAATAGCTATTGAAACAAACTGCCATGACTCAAAGACTAGTTTGGTTTTTTGGTGGTTTTTGTTGTTGTTGTTGGTTGTTGTTTTGTTTTTGACAGGGTCTCTCTCCCTGTCACCCAGGCTGAAGTGCAGTGGTGTGATTGGGGCGGGGCTCACTGCAGCCTTGACTTCCTGGGCTCAATCAATCCTCCCACTTTAGCTTCCCAAATAGTTGGAACTACAGCTGCATACCAGCAAGCCCAGTTAATTTTTGTCTTTTTTGTAGAGACAGGGTTTCATCATGTTGCCAGGCTGGCCTTGAACTCCCAGGCTTAAGTGATCCACTCACCTAAACCTCCCAAAGTCCTGGGATTACAGGCTTGAGCCACTGAGCCCAGCCTCAAAGGACTAGTTTTACCCACTGCAGTCACTCACCAATCAGAGCTTGCCAGCAACCTAAAACTTTCCTAGTGCCAATGAACTTTCTTTCAAAGCCATATGTAACATTTCTCCTTTTTGTAAAACCTCAAAGTGAACCAAAGAACACCCAGTCTGTGTATATGCTTTGAATTGCAATTCTTGCCTCCCAAATAAAATGTTAACTTTAGAATTGCTTGGACCTGGGAGGCAGAGATTGCAGTGAACTGAGATCATGCCACTGCACTCCAGCCTGGGCAAAACAGCAAGACTTTGTCTCAAAAAAAAAAAAATGCTTATAGGCTGCTATAGACTAAATTGTGTCCTCCCCATAATTTACATGTTGAAGCCCTAGCCTCCAATGTAATGGTATTTGGAGCTACCACAGTGAGGCAGTGGGATGCGTCTCCCCATAAAAGATAATCGCTAGCCCCTCCCGAAGGAGAACAGGATCCCAGACGAGCCCCCAAATTTATTGGAAACAAGTGCTTGGCGTAGCCAAAAGAAACCCACACTTAGACAGAAAATTTCTCAGTAAGGCACCTTTACTTCTGCAGGATGGTGCTGCTTGCGCCTGTTAAAATCACAAGAGCACACCAAACAAAGGAGGGAAGGAGTTTTTAATCCTAATGCAGTTCCTGTTTTTGTGTCCTTCCCCTATTGACTGGGGTTGGACTGCACAATCTAAGCTGATCCTGATTGGCTAAGACTTAAACTTTTCCAAATATGGTAAACGCACAATTTGCAAAAAGAAGAAGAAGGGGGGCAGGTAGGATTGATTTACAACTTTTACAACTTACGAGCGGAAAGTTGAGTCTTTGAAGAGGCACTTAGTTGTCCCAACAATTTCCCCTCTTCTGTTCTATAGCTCTTCCTCTTCAGATTTCTTCAACAGGATTTGGCTTTGTTGTTCTTCTTGATTATCTAGGAGCAAGAACTTATCTGAGTACAGAGGGGGAGACGTAGGGGAGGATTTTGTGAGAGCTGCTTCTATGAGCCTTTGGGTTAACCCACGAATATAGGGTATGATACAGCAGCCCACAAGGATGAGTACACCTGTAACAATTGCAAGGGAGGTAATGATTGAGGTCATGAGTCCTTTCCATTTTCCAAACCACCTTTCCATCAGGCCCATAAAGGGATCTTCTATTCCAGAGTTTTCGGCTAATTCATTTGCTGGGGTGGTAAGGCCTTGTAAGGTTTTTGAGATTGTCCCATCGGGTGGTGTATTATTAGGGATAAAAGTACAACACTGGACCCCAATCATGACACAGACTCCGCCTTTTTTGGCTAACATCATGTCAAGCGCTATTCTATTTTCCCAGGCCATCTGGCTGGTAGGGCCTAATTGTTCAGCTATTCCTTTTATGGCATCTCTGGTATAATTGATGAATCGCTGCTGATTGTAGTATATATAATTTATCCAGTCTACATTTTTATTTATAGTGTACCACCAGAATAAGATACACTCGATCCCAGCAGCTATTTGGTTTCAAGTGTTGAATTCATTTGGTACCCCCGGCAGGACCCCAATGCTGTCTATGTAAACGTGGGGGTCAAAGGACCCGTTAATTGGGACTTCTCTTTTTCTTCAGGTTACCTGCTTCCTGTCTGGTTGATGAAATGCCAAGGTGAAAGGGATGGCCAATTGGATCAGAGCGCAAGTGCCACTCCAGTCGTTTGGCAGTGTACCCAATATTGGTCCCCCACAATACCACCACACATCCACTCAGGGATGGATAGGGCCGACTGACTGAAAAAAGTTTGAAAAAGTTTAGTGTCACTACATCCTATTATGTTTCCAAGGAATGTCAAATTTTCCCCTTGCCATGAGAGACATGAGGTAAAATTGGCATCAAGAGCTGGAAGTTGAATGGCCCTTGGGGGCTGTCCCATAGGGCTCCTGACCTTTGGGAAAAGTAAGAGTGGCACATGACTTGTTTCCTCAAGCTGTGGGGTGCTAGAAGAGAGCTACCATACAGTCCATGCCGGGTTGGTTGGCCCATCCGAGTGGGAGGGGAACAATTTGGATTTCTGGCCTGCCCGTTGCACAAGCATAACAATCGCTTTTATTTAGTGTGTCAACAGAATATTTAATCCATTTCAGCCAGGCATTTACATCTTGATACCCGGTTTCTATGGCTA
This sequence comes from Homo sapiens, assembly GCF_000001405.40. Classification (NCBI taxonomy): domain Eukaryota; kingdom Metazoa; phylum Chordata; class Mammalia; order Primates; family Hominidae; genus Homo; species Homo sapiens. Next base: position 45,755,115 of record NC_000001.11, read on the forward strand.
TGGTTTGGTTTAAGTCCTTGACTTCTACTCTAGCTACTTTGGTTTTGTCATTGGGCATGAAGAGAGAAATGGTTTGATTTTGTGGGTTTGGGGAGGGCGTAATGGTGGAAGATGGAGGAGGAGGAACAAAGTGCGTTTCGAAGAAGCCTATAGGGTCCTTTCCAGTGACATCTGCTCCTAGGCCATAAAAGCACTCTAAAGTGGGTGTAGGGCTGGTGGAGGTAGGGGTATTAATAAAGATAAGTACTGGGTTGCAATGGTAAGATTGGCAACTAGAGAGGGTGGTTCCTTTGATGAAGTGGAGGTAGGATTTAGGGCGGTGCAACCCTCTGAGGAGGTCCAGCCCTGATACTTAGTAGTCCATATAACATCTCCCCAAGTATAGCAAAACCATCAATGCTAAGTTCGTGCCCATTCAGTGCAAGAGTTAGTTTTGTAGGCAGTGTAATTTATCCTAGAGGGACAAAGGTACTTTTCTGAAGAGGCTAGCTATCTTTGACTTTGGAGATCCCCACAGGGCATGACAAGACAGGCATTGAATATAATTGTTTGGGGGGAGGGTGATTGGGTTACACTGATGATTAGATGTCCTTGGGTAGCTAAAGGCAGAAGAAAAAGACAGATTAAACCCTTTTGAATGTTAGTTTGGAGACTGTAGGTCCTGGAGTGAAAGTCCATGACTCTCCAAGGGGTGGGGCCTTTTTTACTCAAGTGTTGTGGGTCCATCCTTTTTCAGCCGTTGGGATTGCTGTTTCAGTGGTTAGGAGTACTAGATAAGGTCCCTCCCAGGTTGGTTTGAGCTTTCCCTCTTTCCAACTTTTGATAAGGACGTGATCTCCGGGCTGGTGTTGGTGAACTGGGAATTCGAGGGGTGGAGTTTGCGCTAGGAGGCCTTGAGTCCTGAGGGAGGAAAGGGTGGAAGACAGACCAAGTATATAGTTTTTGAGAAGCTGACCTTTTGTTTCAAATGTGGGAAGGTCAGTAGTGGAATTTAGATAAGGCAGCCCGCAGAGCATTTCATAAGGGGACAGGCCAAGATCTTTTCAAGGGACAGTTTGGATTCTTAGTAAGGCCATGGGAAGGCATTTTGTCCATGGTAACTGGGTTTCCGAGATTAATTTGGTTAGGTGATTTTTTTTTTTTTGAGACAGAGTCTCACTCTGTTGGCCAGGCTGGAGTGCAGTGGCACGATCTCGGCTCACTGTAACCTCTGTCTCCCAGTCTCAAGCAATTCTTCTTGCCTCAGCCTCCTGAGAAGCTGGGATTACACCGCACCTGGCCTGGTTAGGTGATTTTTTAGAGTTTGATTCATTCTTTCTACCCTCCCTGATGAGGGGAAGTGCCAGGGAGTATGATATTCCCATTTTATTCCTGTTGCTTGGGTTAGCCCCTTAATGATGTGTGCAGTAAAGTGGGTCCCATTGTCTGAATCAATGTTCTCTGTTAGTCCAAACCTGGGTGATATGTTCCAACAGGGCTTTGACTACATTGCTGGCTATTGTGCTTGGGAAGGGGATGGCTTCTACCCAGTGGATGCTAGTCTACTATGACTAGCAAATACTTGAGACAGCCTATTGGGGGCATTTCAGTGTGGTCAACTTGGACGCTTTAGAACGGCCTCAGCCCTGGGTTTCTTCCCCCGGGAGGCTTGCCTCTTTAGGGTTTGCTTATTAGTTTTTCTGCACACTATGCAACCATCCGCCACTTTATCGAGGGTATATATCCCTATACACCCATAGACCCTAAGGGCTGCATTGCATATAGCTCGAGGACCCCAGTGAGTTCCTTGATAAAGCTGTGACAATACTTCCCTCATGAGGGGTTTAGACAGCATTTCCCTTCCATCTGTTAGTACCCACTTGCCCTTTGGGCTCTCCTTAGCTCCTGTTTTCTTTAGTTTCTCTTGGTCTGCGTGGGAGAAGATGGGGATTGCAGCTGGAGGGGGAAGAGAAGAAGTTAGATGGAAAATGGGTGACACTTGGGAAGAGGCAGCTTGCTTAGCTACTTGATCTGCGAGGTTATTTCCCCAGCTTTCAAAAGATGAGTTCTTTTGGTGTTGGTGTTGTGGGACATGGACAACCGCAATCTCTTCCGGCAGCTGAAGATTTTCTAATACTTGCATAATTAATTCCTTGGGGACCAAATCTTGGCCCTTACTATCGATGAGGCCTTGTTCAATCCAGATCTTTCCAAAGGTATGGACTACTCAGAAGGCATACTTGGAGTCAATGTAAATAGTTCCTTCCTGATTCTGCAGGTATTTTAAGGCTTGGTTTAATGCAAAGAGTTAACATGCTTGGGCAAACCAGTTATTTGGCAGTCTTCCTGACTCTACCTCTGTGAGGGTTTCCCCACCAACTATGGAGTACCCGTTGTGCCTTTTTGCTTCAATGACCTAGGAGGAGCCATCTATAAAGAGATGACCCTCTATTTGGAAAGGGGTTTCACTTAGATCCACTCTGACTCTAGTTTGATAACTGATTAAATCTAAGCATTTATGCTCAGGTTCTTCCTGGTTTGGATTTCCTGTTAGGAAAGCAGTGGGGTTGAGTGAATTGTCAGTGGTTAGTGTTAGGTTATCCCTCTCTAATAAGATAGCTTCATATTTTAAAATTCTTGAGTCAATGAGCCATCTCCCTGCCTTCTGATTAAGAACGGTTCTCACTTGATGAGGGACACTTATGATGAGGTTTCCTCCAAAGGTTATTTTCCTGCTTTCTTCTGTTAGCAAGGGAGTTGCTGCTATGGATTGGACACATTCGGGCCATCCACAGGTTACTGGGTCAAGGATTTTTGACAGGAAGGCTATGGGCTGCCCGTGGCCTCCGTGTTTTTGGGTGAGTACCCCTAAGGCCACTCCTTTGCTTACATTAACAAAAAGGTGGAATGGCTGTTCTAAGGAGGGCAAGGCTAGAATGGGGGCAGTTACAAGCAGGTGTTTTAATTATTTTACCTATTGGATCTCTGATAGGGTCCAAAGGAGCAGGTCTGCTCCTTCTTGAGTGAGTTTTTATATAGGGGCTTTGTTTTTAAGGCATAAGAGTCAATCCACAGATGGCAATATCTGACCAATCCTAAGAATTTCCTAAGTTCCTGCTTTGTTTCAGGTAAAGGCAAAGATATGATATCTTCAATTCGTTTGGGCTCTATCTTTTGCTTACCTTTGCTGATTAGGTGTCCTAGATATTTTACCTCAGGTCCTACGACTTGAAGTTTGTTCTTTGAGACCTGTAACCCTTGTTCCCTCAGGAAATTTAGGAAGTTAACTGAAATTGCTGTTACTTGATCCTTGTTATCTCCTGAAATGAGCAGGTCATCTACATATTGGCATATGGATGAAGGCAGGGAGAAGTTTCCAAGACTTGTTCTAAAATTTGACCAAATAGATTTGGGGACTTTGTAAACCCTTGGGGCAAGACTGTCCATTGGTACTGCTGTTTTTGACCGGAGTGAGGGTCCTCCCACTCACAGGCAAACATGTCCTGGCTGTCCTCTGCTAAAAGGCAAGCGCAAAAGGCATCTTTTAAATCTACCACCGTGAACCGCTGGTGGTTGTGAGGGATTCTACTGACATTGGTGTAAGGATTGGGAACAACAGTGTGGGTGGTCTGAACTATTTGATTAATAGCCCGGAGATCTTGCACTAGCCAGTATGACCCGTCTGGCTTCCTTACAGTGTTATAAGGGGACATACAGGGTTTAAGGAGTCCGTCATGGACAAGGCTTTCAATTAGAGGTTTTAAACCTATCCTGGCTTCCAAGGGAATAGGGTATTGTTCTCTTCTCACTACTTCCCCAGGAGTTTTTAATTTGACATGGATTAGAGTAACCCGTAGCTTTCCTCGATTTCCTTCCTTCGACCATATGTTGGGATGGATGTGGCTTTCTTCTGAAGTGGTGAGCAGGTTTAAGGAAGTAAGGAGCTTTTCCTGATTAACATATAGGCCTATGCCTAATCTTAACATTAAGTCCCTTCCTAATAAATTAGTTCCTGCTTCAGGAATTAACAAGAACTTAGTAGTAACCAACTTATTCTTATATTTGACTTCGGTTTCCTCTAGAGTTTTTGCCCTGAACCCTCCCCTTTAACTCCTGAGACAGTATGGTCTTCTGCTGACCAGGCTAAACCTGATGGGAGAAAACATAGCGGGAAGCAAGCCGCTCCCGAATCTACTAAGAAAGTGACTGTCTCCGATTTGGGTCCCACTGTTAAACTTATCAAGGGCTCTTGGTGGGACACGAGATGGAAGATGTAGAGCCCCTGACCCCCCTATTCTTCAAACGTCATGAGTGGAAGGACTTTCTTTTCCCTCTCCCATTTGGGACATTTCCTCTTAGAATGTCCTGGCTTTCCACACCTGAAACATCTGTTTTCCCTTCTTCCCCTCCCTGTTCCCTGACTCTTGGTTTTCATCCCTTTGCTTCCTGTATAGGGTCTGGCAGCCAGGGTACTTAGAAGGTTTACAAGTTCTAGTTCCCTGGGCTCCCTGTTGAAGAGTTCCCTGTTGTAGGGTGTACAGCATAATTTTTGCATCTTGCTTCTGCCTTTCCTCATCCCTTCATACATATACCTCTTGGGCCTCTCTTAAAAGTTCTTCTATGGGACGGTCTTTCCAATATTCTATCTTTTATAATTTCTTTGTAATGTCTGGCCAACTATTGGTGACAAAGTGGAGCTTTAACATCCCTTGTCCCATTGGATCCTCTATGTCCAAACTTGCATATTTCCTTATCTGTTCCTTAAATCTGTTCAAGAATTCCATGGGTCCTTCATCTTTCCCTTGTTGTATATTAAATGCTCGGGAAATATCTTGGGTTTGAGGAATGGCTTCCCAAATCCCTTTAATTATCATATCTCTGAGATCTCTCATGTTTTCTTGGTGGGCCGCACTGTTATTATTCCATTGAGGATCCTGGGCTGGGAATTTATGCTCCACTGCAAGGACATTTTGACAAGAGGGGTGCTTGTGCTCCTAGACTATCACAGCGGCCCTGCGGATCATGGTTCTTTCCTAAGAAAAGAATACCTAGAATAGACATTACTTCAGCCCAAGTGTACAGTTGTGGCCCCAGAAATTGGTAAATTTGATCTGCGACTCCAAAAGAGTCATCTAACTGGTTTGAGTTCCTTTTCTTTAGATTTCTAACCTCTGAACTGGTTAAGGGGGCATTTATGAAGCCAATATCCCCTCCTCCTAGTGGTTATTTCCCTTAAGGGAAAAAGAGTTGGGGCACACTTCTTTGAGGAAGAGGGGAAACGAAAGTTTTGAATATCCCTTGGCATTGTTCTATTTCCCGTTGGAACTTTCCTGAGGAAGGGGCATGTTCGGGTGGCTGTCCAATGGGGGTGTGGGGTGTCAAGGCCCATGGGGCAGGGTTATATGGGGGAGGGACTGAGTGTTCAGCTTGGGGCAGAGGGTTAGGCGGGAGAAGGTGGTCTAGAGGATCCCATGCATCTTTAGATAGGGGATATGACTTAGCTAGGTCGTCTTTGGGGGATTTTAAGTTTGGCTTTGCTTTTTCGTCCTTTAGGGGATAGAGAAGGAGAGGTCCTTGTCTCCAACATAGAGCATAATCTATCTCCTCTTGAGAAACTGGACTTTTATCATTGACATATTGGATCAGGAGTTGGCATATCCAGTCCTTGTTCAACCCAAACTTTGGCCAAAAGACCAAAGGTCTGAGGATGGGTTCCTTAGTCCAAATAAAACAGCAATACTTTATCATTTGTTGTCTTTTCTTGTGTTTGGTCCTTTCATTATCCTTGCAGTATTTTAACATAAGGCCTAGGGGCCTGTCGGGGGAATTTTATTGTCTGCTTGGCCTCTTATAGTCCCTGTCTTACTTGGGGTATTTCCCATCCTGGGGGCTGATGAGGCTCAATCTCTTGTATTAGAGATTTCTTGCACTCCCATATCCTAAAGGTTCAACCTCCCCTTTTCCCACTGGAGGTTTCTTTCTTTTTTTCTTTTTTTTGAAGACGGAGTCTCACTCTGTCACCCAGGCTGGGGTGTGGAGTGCAGCGGCGATCTCGACTCACTACAACCTCTGCCTCCCGGGTTCAAGCCATTCTCCTCCCTCAGCCTCCCGAGTAGCTGGGACTACAGATGCATGACAACATGCCCGGCTAATTTTTTTGTATTTTTATTTATTTTTTAAATTTTATTTATTTTTTTTTTGAGATGGAGTCTTGCTCTGTCGCCCAGGCTGGAGTGCAGTGGCACAATCTTGGCTCACTGCAAACTCCGCCTCCCGGGTTCACACCATTCTTCTGCCTCAGCCTCCTGAGTAGCTGGGACTATAGGCACCTGCCACCATGCCTGGCTATTTTTTTGTATTTTTAGTAGACGGGGTTTCACCATGTTATGCAGGATGGTCTCGATCTCCTGACCTTGTGATCCAAAGTGCTGCCTCGGCCTCCCAAAGTGCTGGGATTACAGGCGTGAGCCACCGTGCTCAGCCTTTTTTTGTATTTTTAGTAGAAACGGGGTTTCACCGTGTTGCCCTGGCTGGTTTCAACTGCCTGAGCTCAGGAAATCTGCCCACCTCGGCCTCCCAAAGTGCTGGGATTACAGACGTGAACCACCATGCCCGGTCCCCACTGGAGGTTTCTTGCACTCTCGTGAGCACTCACTTCGTCCTTATTGGCTAATTCCCTTGTGAGAATTTTAGGCCCCTGTTAGCATTGGCAGGTCAGTATAATCCCCCAACTGGAAAACGGCCCTAAGCCGTATGAGGTGACCATGGAACCAAGTCTGGACTCTGCACTCGCATCACCCGCAATGGCGCATCTCACTTACACACTTTCAACCTCCAGAGACCCTGACTACCAAGGAATACTTTGTTGCCCCAGTAGGGACATTTCTTACCTTGGTCTGTGCACAGAGTTATCTGGTCACCATGGAGTTCTTAAGGATCCTCCCTACTGCCCACGTTGCTGAGAGTCTGTATTTATTTGTCACTTCCTGGGGGAATCAATCCTCCACTCCTGGGGCCACCACAATGAGGCAGTGGGATGCATCTCCCCATAAAAGATAATTGCTAGCCACTCCCAAAGGAGAATGGGATCCCAGATGAGCCCCCAAATTTGTTGGAAACAAGTGGTTGGCATAGCCAAAAGAAACCTGCACTTAGACAGAAAATTTCTCAGCAAGGCATCTTTACTTCTGCAAAAGGGTGCTGCTTGCACCTGTTACAATCACAAGAGCACACCAAACAAAGGAGGGAAGGAGTTTTTAATCCTAATGCAGTCCCTGTGTCTGTGTCCTTCCCGTATTGGCTGGGGTTGGACCACAAAATCTAAGCTGATCCTAATTGGCTAACACTTAAACTTTTCCAAATAGCATAAATGCATGATTTGTGAAAAGAAGAAGGAAATGGGGGGTAGGATTGATTTACAACTTCTGTAACTTGTGACCGGGAAGTTGAGTCTTTGAAGAAGAACTTAGTTGTCCCAACGTTGCCAGTATATTCTTCCAATTTGTGGTTTATCTATACCTTTTATTTATTGTCTCTTGTTGAACAAAAGTTCATAATTTTAGCAATTTATCAGACTATTTATGTTTTGCACTTTTGGTGTGTGCTTAAGAATGTCTTCCCTCCCCGATATCATAGAAATGTTATATTTTCTTCTAAAAGTATTATATTCCATCACATTTAATTCTTTCAGTCACTAGGGATTAATTTTTGTGTACAGATTGGGATAGGGATCCAATTTCTTTTTTTGTTTTTCCTTATGTATAATCTGTTGTCATAACACTCACTATGTATTCAATAGATCATATTTCCCAGCTGATCTGCAGTATCAGCTCTCCCATGTAATGTTTTCCTTTGGGCTAGGATCAATTCTCTATTTAATTCTATTGCTCTATTCACCCATGCCTTACTGTTTTAATTGCTGTAGCTTTGTGATAAGTCTTGATATCTGGTAGGACAAGTTTCCCTATCTTGTTCTTCGTCTTCAGTGGTGTCTTAGCTATTCTTGGTACTCTTGGTTCTTTCACATAGATTTTAGAATCAGCCTGTTAAATTTTACACACATACACACACACACACACACACACGTGGGGTTTTATTAGAGTTCCTATAAATCTATATGAGAATTTGGAGAGAACAACTTCATAATATTGAGTGTTCTTATCCATTAACAAAATTAAATTTTAGACATTTTAAGTTTCAGAAGTTTATCCATAATAATATTATATAGCTTTTATTCAATTTATTCCTGAATATTTTTTTCTTTGTGCCATTGTAAATTATATCTTTTTAAGGATTACAGTGGGGCACGGTGACTCATGCCTGTAATCCCAGCACTTTGGGAGGCCGAGGTGGGCAGATAGCCTGAGGTCGGCAGTTCAAGACCAGCCTGGCCAACATGGTGAAACCTCGTCTCTACTAAAAATACAAAAATTAGCCAGGCGTGTGGCAGGTGCCTGTAATCCCAGCTGCTCAGGAGGCTGAGGCAGGAGAATCGCTAGAACCCAGGAGGCAGAGGTTGCAGTGAGCCAAGGATGTGCCATTGCACTCCAGCCTGGGCGACAAGAGCGAGACTTCATCTTAAAAAAAAAAAAACGGTATTTAGGGCCAGGCCTGGTGACTCACACCTGTAATCTCAGCACTTTGGGAGGCCGAGGTGGGCAGATAAACTGAAGTCAGGAGTTCAAGACCAGCCTGGCCAACATGGCGAAAACCCATCTCTACTAAAAATACAAAAATTAGCTGGATGTGGTGGCAGGTGCCTGTAATCTCAGCTACTCAGGAGGCTGAAACAGGAGAATCATTTCAACCCAGGAGGTGGAGGTTGCAGTGAGTTGAGATCACACCACTGCACTCCAGCCTGGGAGACAGACTCTGTCTCAAAAAAAAAAAACAAAAAAAAAAAACGGTATTTAGATACAAAAAGTAGCCAGGTGTGATGGCGCATTCTTGTAATCCCAGCTACTTGGGAGGCTGAGGTGGGAGGATTGCTTGAACCCGGGAGGTGGAGGTTGCAGTGAGCCAAGATTGTGCCACTGCACTCCAGCCTGGGCGACAGATTGAGACTCCATCTCAAAAAAAAGAAAGAAAGAAAATGGTTTTTAGAGACCATAGTTTGGGCATAAGAGGGGGTTAACAGCTACAGTGTTAGAACATATATCATCTTAAGAAGAATCTGGGCCGGGTGTGGTGGCTCACGCCTGTAATCCCAGCACTTTGGAAGGCCAAGGCGGGCGGATCACGAGGTCAGGAGATGGAGACCATCCTGGCTAACACGGTGAAACCCCGTCTCTACTAAAAATACCAAAAATTAGCTGGGTATGGTGGTGGGCACCTGTAGTCCCAGCTACTTGGGAGGCTGAGGCAGGAGAATCGCTTGAACCTATGAGGTGGAGCTTGCAGTGAGCCAAGATCGCCCCACTGCACTCCAGCCTGGGCAACAGAACGAGACTCCATATCAAAAAAAAAAAAAAAGAAGAGTCTGAGTTGTTAACACAGTTTGGATAATAGAGCTATTTTCCTTGGAAGATTATGTTAAAGACTAGAGAATGGACACTTTCCAATTAAGCAATCTGTTTCACAAAGAAATAGCCAGAATATAATAATCAGAAACTCATTTTTTTTAAATTTCTTTTCTTTTTTTTTTTGGGATGGAGTTTTGCTCTTGTTGTCCAGGCTGGAGTGCAATGGCGCAATCTTGGCTTACTGCAACTTCTGCCTCCTGAGTTCAAGCAATTCTCCTGTCTCAGCCTCTTGAGTAGCTGGGATTACAGGTGCCTGCCACCAGGCCAGGCTAATTTTTGGTATTTTTAGCAGAGACAGGGATTTACCGTGTTGGCCAGGCTGGTCTCAAACTCCCCACCTCAAGTGATGTGCCTGCCTTGGTCTCCCAAAGTGCTGGGATTACAGGCGTGAGCCACCATGCCTGGGTATTTCTTCTTGTTTTGTTTTTTTTTTTTTCTGTTTTTTTTTTTTTTTTAGTATTTATTGATCATTCTTGGGTGTTTCTCGGAGAGGGGGATTTGGCAGGGTCATAGGACAATAGTGGAGGGAAGGCCAGCAGATAAACATGTGAACAAGGGTCTCTGGTTTTCCTAGGCAGAGGACCCTGCAGCCTTCCGCAGTGTTTGTGTCCCTGGGTACTTGAGATTAGGGAGTGGTGATGACTTTTAAGGAGCATGCTGCCTTCAAGCATCTGTTTAACAAAGCACATCTTGCACCGCCCTTAATCCATTTAACCCTGAGTGGACACAGCACGTGTTTCAGAGAGCACGGGGTTGGGGGTAAGGTTATAGATTAACAGCATCCCAAGGCAGAAGAATTTTTCTTAGTACAGAACAAAATGGAGTCTCCCATGTCTACTTCTTTCTACACAGACACAGTAACAATCTGATCTCTCTTTCTTTTCCCCACATTTCCCCCTTTTCTATTCGACAAAACCGCCATCGTCATCATGGCCCGTTCTCAATGAGCTGTTGGGTACACCTCCCAGATGGGGTGGCGGCCAGGCAGAGGGGCTCCTCACTTCCCAGACGGGGCGGCCGGGCAGAGGCGCCCCCCACCTCCCTCCCGGACGGGGCGGCTGGCCGGGCGGGGGCTGCCCCCCACCTCCCTCCCGGGTTTGTTGTGAGACAGAGTCTCACTCTGTCGCCCAGGCTGGAGTGCAGTGGCATGATCTTGGCTCATTGCAACCTCTGTCTCCTGGGTTCAAGCAATTCTCCTGCCTTAGTTTCCCAAGTACCTGGGATTACAGGCATGCGCCACCATGCCTAGCTAATTTTTTTATATTTAGTAGAGACAGGGTTTTGCCATGTTGCCCAGACTGGTCTCAAACTCTTTACCTCAAATGATCCACCTGCCTTGGCCTCCCAAAGTGCTGGGATTACAGGCATGAGCCACCATGCCCGGCCATGCTTTTTATTTCTTCTTAAAAATAATAGTTTGGGCTGGAAATGAGAGTTAAGAAAGAAAGGCAATTTAATTTAAAAACCTGCTTTGGCTGGGCATGGTGGCTCACGCCTGTAATCCCAGCACTTTTGGAGGCTTAGCCAGGCAGATCATCTGAGGTCAGGATTTCGAAACCAGCCTGGCAAACATGATAAAACCCCGTCTCCACTAAAAATACATGCACGCGCGCGCACACACACACACACACACACACAAATTAGCTGGGTGTGGTGGTGCGCACCTGCAGTCCCAGCTACTCTCGAGGCTGAGGCACGAGAATCACTTCAACCTGGGGGGTGGAGGTTGCAGTGAGCCAAGATTGGGCCACTGCACTCCAGCCTGGGTGACAGAGCGAGATGCTATCTCAAAAAAAATAAAATTAAATTAAAAATAAAAAGCCTACTTTTAGCTTTGGACAAAAAAATTTCTGTAGAATTACCAGAGGCAAAAACAAAGCAGAAATTCTGATGTTAGCCAAAGAAATGTATAACCCTGAAATGCAGGGGAGATAGAAAACAATTCAGTCATTCCTTTAGGAAGACAGTAAAGGAAAGCAATGAGAGTCAGCAAATTATATGGAGTAACTACTGCTTAGTTGGGTTGTTTGGTTTTGTTTAGAGACAAGGCCTCACTCTCTCGCCCAGGCTGGAGAGTAGTAGCATGATCATAGCTCACATATCCTCAAACTTCTAGGCTCAAGGGAGCCTCCCGCCTCAGCCTCCCAAGCACATGCATCTGCACCAGGCTAATTTTTGTTAATTTTATTTTATCTTATTTTATTCTATTTTATTTTATTTTATTCTGAGACGAAGTCTCTTTCTGTTGCCCAGGCTAGAGTACAGTGGCACGATTTTGGCTCACCACAACCTCTGCCTCCCAGGTTCAAGTGATTCTCCTGCCTTGGCCTCTCAAGTAGGCGGGTACCTGTAATCCCAGCTATTTGGGAGGCTGAGGCAGGAGAATTGCTTGAAGCCGGGAGGTGGAAGTTGTGGTGAGCTGAGATCACGCCAGGGCGCTCCAGCCTGGGCAACGGAGCGAGACTTCATCTCAAAAAAAAAAAAAAAAAAAAAGCCATTTTGCATCTAAAACATGTGTTGGTTTTTATCTTTACTTAATACAGCTTTATTTTAGTAAAGAGGAGAGAAGTGAATGCTGGCTGGACATCTTGAGATCTGGATTATATTTCCTTTAGGGGTCAGTTTCAGGGCTTCCAGGAGTTCGGTTGAGTGAATCACACCCCAAACAGGATGTCTTTCCAACTGAGTCTTTTTTTCACCGAGTACTTTCCAAAGATAATTGTCTATTTCAAAGTCAGTTCTCAACCCTGGCCACCCATTAGAAATCACCTGAGGAGTTATAGAAACAATACCATGCCTGACCCCCAGAGATACTGACTAAATTCGTTTAGGGTAGGGCACACGCTTCTCAGTAGGGCACACGCTTCTCACTGACACAAAAATAAAATCCTTGGATGGGTGTGGTGGCTCATACCTGTAATTCCAGCAGTTTGGGAGGCCGAGGCAGACAGATCATGAGGTCAGGAGTTCGAGACCAGCCTGGCCAATATGGTGAAACCCCATCTCTATTAAATATACAAAAATTAGCCAGGCATGGTGGCACATTCCTATTGTCCCAGCTACTCCGGAGGCTGAGGCAGAAGAATTGCTTGAACCCAGGAGGCAGAGGTTGCAGTGAGCTAAGATTGAGCCACTGCACTCCAGCCTGAGCGACAGAGCAAGACTCTGTCTCAAAAAAAAAAAAAAAAAAAAATATATATATATATATATATCTCCTCATGTGTTTCTAATATACAGCTAGAGATGAGAACAACTGTTCTAAATAGAGTAAAAAACTTGGAGGCTTTTGATAATTGGGCAAAAAAAAGTATACATAGAAAACTGTACATGCCAGCCTGTTTGATTATATACTCTACCAGCAAAATACATTAAGTGACTTCCAAATATATGTATATTTATTTTTGTTTGTTTGTTTGTTTTTTGAGACAAGATCTCACTCTGTTACCCAGGCTGGAGTACAGTGGCTCGATCTCGGCTCACTGCAATCTCTACCTCCTGGGTTCAAGTGATTCTCATGCCTCAGCCTCCCAAGTATCTGGGATTACAGGCGCATGCCACCACGTTCTGCTCACTTTTTTTTGTATTTTTAGTAGAGATAGGTTTTCGCCATGTTGGCCAGGCTGGTCTTGAATTCCTGACCTCAAATGATCTGCCCTCCTTGGCCTCCCCAAGTGTTGGAATTGTAGGTGTGAGCCACCACGCCCAGCCATGTATATTTATTTTTGTATAAATTATAAATAAACTATAACATTAAAATATGGGGACTGGATGCAGTGGCTCAGGCTGGGTACAGTGGCTCACGCCTATAATCCCATCACTTTGGGAGGCTGAGGCAGATGGATCACTTGAGCTCAGGAGTTGAGACCAGCCTGGCTAACATGGCAAAACGCTGTCTCTACTAAAAATATAAAAATTACCTGGGCGTGGTGGCGTACACCTGTAATCCCAGCTACTCATGAGGCTGAGGCAAAAGAGTTGCTTGAACCTGGAAGGCAGAGTTTGCAGTGAGCCGATATCCTGCCACTGCACTCCAGTGTGGGCAACAGAGTGAGACTTCGTCTGAAAATAATAATAATAATAATAACAATAATAAAGTAAAATATGGGGCTGGGCGTGGTGGTTCATATTTCTCTTCCCAGCACTTCAGTAAGCTGAGATGGTAGACTGCTTGAGTTCGGGAGTTAGAGACCAGCCTGGTCAACATAGTGAAACCCTGCCTCTACAAAAAATACAAAAATTAGCCTGGCGTGGTGGCTCATGCACCTGTGGTCCTAGCTACTTGAGAGGCTGAGGTGGGCAGATCACTTGGGCCAGGGAGATAGAGGCTGCAGTGAGCCACGTTTGAGCCCTTGGATCACTTGGGCTGAGGAGGTAGAGGCTGCAGTGAGCCACGTTTGAGCCCTTGCACTCCAGCCTTGGTAACACAGTGAGACCCTGTCTCAAAAAAAAAAAAAAAAAAAAAAAAGTTGCCTTAATATCTTGTGAAACAGTACTATGAAGATATCATTCTAAATCCAGTTCCTTTCTATACTTGACTTTAATGGATATTATAGTTTAAAAAGATAACTTGGAAAAAGATCCATGAATCCTTTCAGTCCTGATACTAAAAGATGTGAGTAACTAACTGCTATTAGCTATCTACTGCTATGTAACAATAATACCACAAATGTAATGGTTTAAAACAACACATCTTTACTATCTCAGTGAGTCAGGAGTCCTAGCATGCCTTAACTTGGTCCTCTGCTTCAGGGTCTCACAAAGCTATAAACAGCTTGTCTGCCAGGGCTGCTAGCTCATCTGAGGCACGACTGGATACAGATTCACTTTCAAGCACTTGTGGTTGTTGGCAGCATTGAGTTCCTTGCAGGCTGTGGGATTGAGGGCTCCTGTTTCTTGCTGGCTGTCAGCAGGAGGCTGCCCTCAGCTCTGCCACGTGGCCCTATGGCAGCACATAACATGGCATCTTGCTTCTTCCAGGCCAGCAAAGGAGAGATAGAATCTCCTAGCAAGATATTTAGAATTTTATGTAATATAATCACATACAGAAGACCACATACATTCAGTCACCTTTGCCATGTTCTATTGGTTGGAAGAAAGTCAGAGGTCCCACCCACACTCAAAGGGAGGGAACCACATAAGGCAGTGAACACTGAGATAAGGCAGGGATCATGGAGACGACCCTAGAGTCTGTCCCCGACACTAACTATAAAGACTTAAATACATAAATAACAGAGGAAAAAGGAAAAGCTATTTTTCATGGTAACAGGCCAACTAACAAATGAAGAAGAAATAATAGAAAAAAAATCACTATTTTTCAACCATCATACCAATAAATGATATAAATAAGAGTTATCAATGGATGCTTAAAGCCATTGCATAAAAATAGGGCCAGGCATGGTGGCTCATGCCTGTAATCCCAGCAATTTGAGAGGCTGAGGCGGGCAGATCACCTGAGGTCAGGGGTTCGAGACCAGTCTGGCCAACATGGTGAAACCCCGTCTCTGCTAAAAATACAAAAATTAGCCAGGCGTAGTGGCACGCGCCTGTTAATCCCAGATACTCAGGAGGCTTAGGCAGGAGAATCTTTTGAACCTAGGGGAGGTTGCTGTGAGCCAAGATTGCACCACTGCACTCCAGCCTGGGCAATAGAGACAGACTCTGTCTCAAAAAATAAATAAATAAATAAATAAATAAATAAATAAATAAATAAAAATAAAAATATATTGGAGAACAGATATTTACAAAATCTTGAAGTATTCCCCCACAGACCTTCACTTCCAACCACAATTTACCGGTACTCTTACATAAAACGTCTAAAAAACTGGACAAAATATTTGAGGAAACATTTTTCAAATGCTGGGAAACAGAGAGCACAAGAGGGTGATCCCTGACATAAGGGAAACCAATGAGGTGAGCCCTAGAGTTGCCCCAGCTTACTGCATGGAGAGAATTTCCTGGCCACAGTTCAAGGAGCAAGAAAAACAGAGTTCAGCATTCTCCCTGAGTTGAGGAGAGAGAGCTGAGAATTTGAGAAGGCCAAGGTGGATCAAATTTTTAGGGCAAAGTACCAGAGAGGAGAGAGCAGCACACAGAAGAGAGAGCTGGACAGAGGGAGCACTGTGAGATCTGCAGAAGGTTCCCCTCCTGTGTTCTGTTGGATACCGATCAGTACAAGGGTGTGAAAAAACTATCCAGATCTTGGGAAAGCAGATGGGAAAAATCCTATCTTCATATAGGCCAGAAATAGTTAACGTTCCCAAGAGGCAGAGTAGGTCATCAGGTAGAGTACTATGCTCAGTACTCTTCAGTAGTACTTTAGTAGTGTAGCAAAATTAGCCATAGACTAACTGCTGCACTGATTCCATTGAACAGAGCTTAAAAGCAAGGCTTAGAGGATCAAACTGTTTCCTGGAACAAAGCTCAAGAATATTTATAGGAATATAAAAATATCTAGCACCTAACAATCGACAATGTAAGGCATCTAATATCAAAAACAATCAGACATGCAAAGAACATAACCTATAATGAGGAGTAACATCCATCAGTAGACAACAGATCCAGAAATGAAACGAGTGATAGAATTAAGACAAGGACATTAAAATAATTTGTTCCAACTGCATTTCATATGTTTAAGAAAGTAGGCCGGGCACGGTGGCTCATGCCTGTAATCCCAGCACTTTGGGAGGCTGAGATGGGCGGGTCACCTGGGGTCAGGGGTTCAAGACCAGCCTGGGCAACATGGCGAAACCCCGTCTCTACTGAAAATACAAAACTTAGCCAGATGTGGTGGTGAACAACTGTAATCCCAGCTACTTGGGAGGCTGAGGCAGGAGAATCATTTGAACCCAGGAGGCAGAGATTTTGGTAAGTAGAGATTGCCCCACTGCACTCCAGCCTGGGCAACAGAGCAAGACTCTGTCTCTTGAAAAAAAAAAAAAAAGAAGAAAGAAAATAGAAGGAAGCATGTGCATGCTAAAGAGAAACCTGGAAGATATTTTGTAAATCCCAAATAAAACTTCTAGAGGCAAAAAAATAAATTAAAAATATATTGAATGAGATTTACAGAAGATTAAATACTGCAGTTCAGTTAACCTGAAGACATAGCAATAGAAACTATCCAAAATGAAACAAAGAGTAAAAAGGCTGGAAAAATAATGGCCACAGGCACAGTTGGAACCCACGAAGATGGACTGAAATCTGTGTCAGTTCTCATTGTCTCCGACCTTGATGGCATGTGTATCCTGCAGAAGCCTTGAACATTATCAACCACTTGACCTAACTGACATTTATAGAACTCTATAACCAATATCAGGAATAGATACTATTTTCTAGTATAGATACAATATTCACTTAGATAGATTATATTATTCTGGGCTTTTAAACAAGTCACAATAAATGTAAAAGGATTCATATAAAAAATGTGTTCTCTGATCACAAATACAGCTCACTACAACCTCTGTCTGCCAGGTTCAGGTGATTTTTGTGCTTCAAGTTCTCAAGTAGCTGAGATTACAGGCGCATGCCACCATGCCTGGCTAATTTTTGTATTTTTAGTAGAGACGGGGTTTTGCCATGTTGGCCAGACTGGTCTTGAACTCCGGGCCTCAAGTGATCCATCCACCTTGGGCTTCCCAAGTGCTGGGATTATAGGTATGAGCTACCATGCCTGGCCACACAAATAACATTAAATTAAAAATTGTGACATTCAAATAAATTTATATATGGATGAAAACATATACGTATTTTTTTAGTACCCAGCTGAATAATATACAGGTTTTCGTCCATAGATCCTGGCTATTAACTTCCATAGCCCTTATAACAGTTTGCAGAATCTCTCTCTCTGACCTTCTCCTCTCTCCTCTTTTCACCTGCCCAAGGCAGGACTATAACCTGATTGTGGGTCTTAAGACTCTCATTTCGAAAAGGGTCCTGCCCCATACTCTGGAGGAAGGAATGCTTCACAGGGAGGCCAAGAAGAATCTAAACAGACAGGCCTTGCTGGGTTTAGATTATACTCTTTTTGTCCAATCACATTTCTACATGGTTGTCAACCACACATATGTAATGAAGCCTCCATAAAAACCCAAAGGACAGAGTTCAGAGAGCTTTTGAATAGCTGAACACGTGGAGGCTCCTGGGCAGTGGCATGCCCAGGGAGGGCATGGAAGTTCTGTGCCCCTTCCACCATACCTCACCCTATGCATCTCTTCCTTTATAATATCCTTTATAATAAACCAGTAAACACAAGTGTTTCCCTGAGTCCTGTGAGATGCTTTAGCAAATTAATTGAACCCAAACAGGGAGATGTGGGAACCCTAACTTGAAGCCAGTCAGTCAGAAGTTCCAGAGGCCCGAACTTGTGACTAGGATCTGAAGCAGGAAGCAGTTTTGGGGACTCCAAGTAGATAGTGTCAGAAATGAATTGGAGGACACCCAGTTGGTGGCTACTGAAGAATTGATTGCTTGCTTGGTGGTGGGGGGAAATTCTCCCTCACACATTTGGTCACAGAAATCTTCTGTGTTGATGATTGTTGTGGTGTGAGAGCAGAAGAGTGTCTGGAAAATCCCCTACTATTTGTTAACTAAGTAAGATGCTTCTAAGTGACACATGAAGCCGGGTGTGGTGTCTTATGCTTGTAATTCGAGCACTTTGGGAGGCCAAAGTGGGAGTATCGCTTAAGGCCAGGAGTTCAAGACTAGCCTGAGAAATGTAGCAAGACCCCTTACTCCATTTAAAAAAAAAAAAAAAGCCATGCATGGTGGCGTGCACCTGTAGTCCTAGGTACTTCGGAGCGTGAGGCAGGAGGATCACTTGAGTCCAGAATTCAAGGGTACAGTGAGCTAAGATCCTGCCAATGCACTCCAGCCTGGGTAAGAGAAAGAGAGCTTGTCTCTAAGAAACAGAACAAAAAAAAAAAAAACAAAAAATTCTGATTCAAAGAGGAACTCAAAAAGGAAATTAGTTCAGAAGAGGTGGCTCATGCCTATAGTCTTAACATTTTGGGAGGCCAAGGCAGGAGGATCACTTGAGCCCAGGAGTTTGAGACCAGTCTGGGCAACATAGCGAGACCCCCGCCCCACCCCACCATTATAAATTTTCTTATTTTTAAAAAAATATAAATATAAATATAAATAAATGAGCTGGGCATGGTGGTGCACACCTACAGTCCCAGTTACTCCAGAGGCTGAGGTGAGAGGATCGCTTGAGACCAGGAGTTCAAGGCTGCAGTGAGCTGTGATAGTGACACTGCACTGCAGCCTAGGTGACAGAGCAAGACCCTATCTTAAAAAAAAAAAATAGAGAGATAAATTGGAAAATAATTTGGCCTTAATCAAAATGAAAACAACATATTGACATGTGTGAGATATAGCTAAGGCAGTCCATAGGGAAGTTTGTAGCATTAAATGTGTATGTTAGAAAAAAAGAAAATGTGGCTGGGTGTGGGGGCTCATGCATGTAATCCCAGCACTTTGGGAGGCCGAGGCGGGCGGATCACGAGATCAGGAGTCAAGACCATCCTGGCTAACATGGTGAAACCCCATCTCTACAAAAAATACAAAAACAAAATTAGCTGTGCGTGGTGGCGGGCACCTGTAGTCCCAGCTACTCGGGAGGCTGAGGCAGGAGAATGGCATGAACCCAGGAGGTGGAGCTTGCAGTGAGCTGAGATTGTGCCACTGCACTCCAGACTGGGTGACAGAGCGAGACTCTGTCTCAAAAAAAAAAAAAAAAGAAAAAGAAAAAAAAAATGTCCCAAATCAATGACCTAAGCTTCTGCCTTAAGAAATTAGGAAAAGGGGCCAGGCATGCAGTGGCTCACGCCTATAATCCCAACACTTTGGGAGTCCAAGAAGTTTGAGACCAGCCTGGGCAATATACGGAGACCTTGTCTCTATGAAAATTTTTTCTAAAAATTAGCCAGACGTGGTGGCTCCTGCCTGTGGTCCCAGCTATTTGGGAGGCTAATGGAGGGGGATCGCTTGAGCCCAGAAGGGTCAAGCCTACAGTGAGCTATGATTGCACTACTATGCTCCAGCCTGGGTAACAGAGGGAGACTCTGTCTCAAAAAGCAAAAAAAAAAAAAAAAGAGAGAGAGAGAGAGGAGACATCTCTACAATGTCCCATAGATATTACAACCGTAATAAGGGAATAGCATGAAGAACTTTATGCCAAAAAATTCACCAACTTTGATGAAATGCATACATCTTTTGAAATACATAAACTACCAAGACTCACTTAATAAGAAACATATAGCCTGGATAGTCATGTATCTATTAAAGAAAACCAACATTTGGTTAAAAACCCTCCCATGAAGGAAACGCCCGTCCAAAATGTCTTCACTGATTAATTCTACCAAACATTTAAGGAAGAAATAATACTAATTCACAAACAACACACAAAGTATTCCAAAAAGTTAAAGAAGACATACATCCCAACTCCATCTATGAGACCAGCATTACACTGATGTTATGCTCATGTCAGAAAGTTATTACAACTATGTCTCTTATAGCTGTTTTTGTTTTGTCAAACCAATATCCCATTAAAGTTCATCCATTGGGTTTAGTTTTACCTCATTAGTGTTTTTGTTTTTGTTTTTGTTTTTTTATGCGGAGTCTCACTCTATCATCCAGACTGGAGTGCTGTGGTGTAATCTCCGCTCACTGCAACCTCTGCCCCACAGGCTGAAACAATTCTCGTGCCTCGGCCTCCTGGGTAGCTGGGATTACAGGCCCATGCCGCCATGCCTGGCTAATTTTTGTATTTTTAGTGGAGACAGGGTTTCACCGTGATGGCCAGGCTGGCCTTGAACTCCTGGCCTCAAGTGATCCACCAGCCTCGGCCTCCCAAAGTTCTGGGATTAGAGGCATGAGCCACCATGCCCGGCCTTTTTTTTTTTTTTTTTTTTTTTTGAGACATAGTCTCCTTTGTCGCCCAGGCTGGAGTGCAGTGGCACGATCTTGGCGCACTGCAACCTCTGCAGGGCTCAAGCGATTCTCCTGCCTCAGCTGCTGAGTCCCAACATGGGATTTTGCCTTGTTTGTCAGGCTGGTCTCGAACTCCTGACTTCAAGTGATCTGTCCACCTCGGCCTCCCAAAGTGCTGGGGTTACAGGTATAAGCCACCTTGCCTGGCCACATTAGTGTATTTTAATCTAGAACAGTTCTTCTACCTTTTATTTTCTCTCATGACGTCAGTTCTTTGAGGAGAGATTACATCAGTTATCTTCTGAATGTCCTATATTCTCAATTTGTCTTATTTGTTCTTTAGTGATATAATTTACCTGTTCTTTGTGTTTCCTGTAAATTAGAAGTTTGGTCTAAAAGTTTTATTACATTCAATTAACAGACGGTGTACAGTAGCTCTCGCCAGTAATCCCAGCTCTTTGGGAGGCCAAAGCTGGAAGATGGCTTGGGGCCAGGAGTTTGACATCACAGTGAGCTATGATGTCACTGCACTCAAGCCTGGGTGACAGCAAGACCCTGTCTAAAATAACTAAATAAATAAATTCAATTAAGCATTTAGGCAGGAATGTTTAATAGGTTTTGCTGTGTACTTCATACTGTATCATATCATGAGGCACATAATGTTATGTTTTTCATGAACAGCAATGCTAAATTGGATGACTTGATTTCAATAGCAAACCCCAGATCTCTAAATTGTAAAGATTTGTGGTTTATTTTTTCAGGTTTTTCTTTTTTTGAGACTGAGTTTCGCTCTTGTTGCCCAGGCTGGAGTGCAATGGTGCAATCTCAGCTCACTGCAACCTCTGCCTCCCAGGTTCAAGCAATTCTCCTGCCTCAGCCTCCCGAGTAGCTGGGATTACAGGCATGCGCCACCACGCCCAGCTAATTTTCTATTTTTAGTAGAGACGTGTTTTCTCCATGTTGGTAAGGCTGGTCTCAAACTCCCGACCTCAGGTGATCCACCCGCCTCGGCCTCCCAAAGTGCTGGGATTACAGTCATGAGCCCCAGCTGTTTGTTTTTTTTTTTTTTTTGAGACAGAGTTTCACTCTTGTTGCCCAGGCTGGAGTGTAATGGTGCAATGTCCGCTCACTACAACCTCTGTCTCCCAGGTTCAAGTGATTCTCCTGCCTCAGCCTCCTGAGTAGCTGGGATTATAGGCGCCCACACCACGCCTGGCTAATTTTTTGTATATTCAATAGAGATGGGTTTCACCATGTTGGCCAGGCTGGTCTTGAACTCCTGACTTCAGGTGATCCACCCACCTTGGCCTCCCAAAGTGTTGGGATTACAGGCGTGAGCCACCACACCCGGCCTGACCATTTTTGTATTTTTAGTAGAGATGGGGTTTCACCATGTTGACCTGGCTGGTCTCAAACTTCTGGTCTCAAGTGATCCGCCTGCCTCAGTCTCCCAAAATGCTGGCATTATTGGCGTGAGGCATCATGCCCGCCCAAAGATTTGTTTTTCTCTTTGCAAGTAGCAACAAAATAATCTCTGGGTGATGCTTTGGCACAGTGCAGATACTCTGTTCCCTCAAAGCCTTTCACCCAGTGGTTTTAGCATCTAATGATTGCTCTTGCCTTAATTAATTACAGTCATGTGACACATAAACATACCATATGCATGATGGTGGTCCCGTAAGATTATAAAGGAGCTGAAAAATGTCTATTGCCTAATGACATTGTAGGCCATTGTAATTTTTTTTTTAATCCAGAATTTTTTTATTATACTTTAAGTTTTAGGGTACATGTGCACAAAGTGCAGGTTTGTTACATATGTATACATGTCCCATGTTGGTGTGCTGCACCCACAAACTCGTCATTTACATTAGGTATATCTCCTAATGCTATCCCTCCCCCCTCCCCCCACCCCACAACAGGCCCCGGTGTGTGATGTTCCCCAACCTGTGTCCAAGTGTTCTCATTGTTCAATTCTCACCTATGAGTGAGAACATGCGGTGTTTGGTTTTTTGTCCTTGTGATAGTTTGCTGAGGCCATTGTAATGTTGTAGCACAAGTACTTTATTATTTATTTATTTGTTTGTTTATTTATTTATTTTGAGATGGAGTCTCGCTCTGTCCCCCAGGCTGGAGTACAGCAGCACGAACTCAGCTCACTGCAAGCTCCGCCTCCCAGGTTCATGCCATTCTCCTGCTTCAGCCTCCTGAGTAGCTGGGACTACAGGCGCCCGCCACCACACCCGGCTAATTTTTTGTATTTTTAGCAGAGACAGGGTTTCACCGTGTTAGCCAGGATGGTCTTCACCTCCTGACCTTGTGATCCGCCCACCTCGGCCTCCCAAAGTGCTGGGATTACAGGTGTGAGCCACCACGCCCGGCCACAAGTACTTTATTTTTAAAGTAAATTTAGTGTAGCTTAAGTGTATATTATTTATAAAGACTACAGTAGTATACAGTAATGTTCTAGGCCCTCACATTCACTTGCCACTCACTAACTGACTCATGCAGAGCAATTTCCAGTCCTACAAGCTCATTCATGGTACGTACCCTATACACATGTGCCATTTTTAATCTTTAAAAAATTTTTTTGAAACAGGGTCTCACTGTTGCCCAGGCTGGAATGCAGTGGCATAATGAGGGCTCACTGCAGCCTTGACCTCCTGGGCTCAAGCAATCCTCCCACCTCAGCCTCCAAAGTAGCTGGGACCATAGGCACATGCCACCATGCCCAGCTAATTTTTTTTTTTTTTTTAGACAGAGTTACGCTTTTGTTGCTCAGGCTGGAGTGCAATGGCACAATTTTGGCTCACTGCAACCTCCACCTCCCGGGTTCAAGCGATTCTCCTGCCTCAGCCTCCCGAGTAGCTAGGTGCCACCACACCCAGTTAATTTTTGTATTTTTAGTAGAGACAGGGTTTTGCCATATTGGCCAGGTTGGTCTTGAATTCCTGACCTCAAGTGATCCACCCACCTAGGTCTTCCAAAGTGCTGAGATTACAGGTGTGATCCACCGTGCTGGGTCCGTCATACCTGCTTTGTTCATTGTTCTGTTGACCTTTGAGTTTGGATGTATCTGAAGGAACTCAGTAGAAGATTTCATCTGGTCTGACTGACGTCTGCAGATTCAACCACCTGCAGACTTTTTATTCTTAAGGTTTTTAAAGTTACCCAGTATAGTTTCTTGTATATAGCAGGTGTTTAACAAATTATTTTTGAAGAGATGGATGAATTTCAGCGGCAAGTCTTTTTCAAAAGCAAGTGGATAAAACGGCTAGAGCAGAGGTGAGTTTGAAGGTTCTGTTGTCATTTGAAGGAAGACCGATAATGAAGTAGGTCAAATAAATGGGGTGTGAATGTATTTGGTTTGAAAACAACCCTAATTGCTTGGGGACTGACAAGGATTCTGTCTGGGCCTGAAATTTCCTGTCTGTCCCAATATCAGCTCTGAAGACCTAGTCATGGGAACAGATCCACCCAGATGTGCTGGATGTCTAGTTCTCTGGATTATTTCAGATCAGGCCCAGTGATCAAGGTTTGGTGCAAAGAACATGTTCTCTCTCTAACAGAGAGCTGAAAAGGCCCTTTAATATCTTTGAATCCATCTCCTCAGGGCAGAAAAAGGCAATCCATATAGTATAATGGTTATAACATTAGAGGAGAGGCTCCAATGACAGAATTGCTTTAATACTTTTTTTTTTTTTGAGATGGAATTTCGCTCTTGTTGCCCAAGCTGGAGTGCAATGGCGTGATCTCGGCTCACTGCAACCTCCACCTCCCGGGTTCAAGTGATTCTCCTGCCTCAGCATCCAGAGTAGCTGGGATTACAGGTGCCCGCCACCATACCTGGCTAATTTTTTGTATTTTTAGTAGAGATGGGGTTTCACTATGTTGGCAAGGCTGGTCTCGAACTCCTGACCTCAGGTGATCCACCTGCCTCAGCTTCCCAAAGTGCTGGGATTACAGGAGTGAGCCACCACGCGCGACTTGCTTTAATACTTCATAGCTGTGTAAACTAATGCTCTTTTACTGCCCATCAAGCTTTCCTACCCCATTTGTTTGGATAATAACTTGCCCCTCTTTGTCATAGGACACGTAACTCAGCCACATCTGTCATAGTATTTCATCTCCCTGGTGCAGTAATGGGTCCACAGGGCACATGTAACCCAAGAGAGCTAATCAGAATCTTTTATTGGCTTAATCTATATACTGCGAGAGAGAATCCCTCTCCTTTTTCATTGCAGGATCTTGTCTGAGATAATGTAAGCCTGGGGCTGCTGGCTACCATCTTTCCTACGGTGGAGAGAAACCAAGTAAATGAGAGAGTATTGAATAAGACAGATGCCTAGTAGTTAGTAGGCACTTAGAAAATGTTAGATTCCTTTCACCATAAGCCTTGTAAATTCAGGGCTCAGTTAAAAAATCTTACTGTTCTAGGCCAGGCACAGTGGCTTACACCTGTAATCCCAGTACTGTGGGAGGCTGAGGCGGATGGATCACCTGAGGCCAGGAGTTCACAACCAGCCTGGCCAACATGGCAAAACCCTGTCTCTACTAAAAATACGAAAATTAGCCAGACGTGGTGGCACATGCCTGTAGTCCCAGCTACTTGGGAGGCTGAAGCACTAGAATCACTTGAACCTGGGAAGCAGAGGAAGCAGAGCTGAGATTGTGCCACTGCACTCCAGCCTGAGCAACAGAGTGAGACTTGGTCTCAAAAACAAAACAAAACAAACTTACTGCTCTTGTTATTTAGCTTTGTAGATGACAAATGGTTCTTCTTGAACCTCTATTCTACCTATAGCCTTTATTTTTTATTTTCCCCAGTGAGGGAGCTAATCTAAGAGGATCCAAGGAAGTGTTAGCAGAGGAAATCTAGGAGAGGAATTTAATAGTACTGAAGACGCAGAGATAAACAAGGTAGACATAGTCCCTGTCCTCAAGGAGTTGGTCCTTTTTTTTTTTTTGAGATGAAGTCTCGCTCTGTCTCCCAGGCTGGAGTGCAGTGGTGCAATCTCAGCACACTGCAACCTCCGCCTCCCGGGTTCAAGCGATTCTCCTGCCTCAGCCTCCCAAGTAGCTGGGATTACAGGCGCCTGCCACCGTGCCCAGCTAATTTTTTTGTATTTTTAGTAGAGATGGGGTTTCGCCATGTTGGTCAGGCTCATCTCGAACTCCTGATGTCAGATGATCCACCCGTCTCAGCCTCCCAAAGTGTTGGGATTACAGGCGTGAGCCACCACACCCGGCCGGAGTTAGTACTTTAAGGGGGAGATAGATAATGACAACACCATACACAAAATGCAATGATTGAATTGTGTATTGGAGTCTGTGGGTGGGGCGGGTGAAATCATGGAGAGATGCAGGGCAGGAGAATGAAACTTTGGTCTGCATAACTGCATGCTCTATCTGCAGCACTAGCAAAGAAAAGTTCTCCAGGCAGCTGATGCTTTGATACCACATGTAAGTGCCCAGCTTCTGTTCTGCAATATAGACTGCTGCGGTGTTGACTCCTGCTAATGAGGACCTCTGAACTTTCTCTACAAATATTGTCTTTCCAGAAAACAGAGCTGGGAGACCTGTATAGCCCAAAGGCAGCTATGGCTCCCAGGGAGGAGAAGAGGACCAGAAGAACTGGTGGCAGGGCAGAGAGGGGAACCAGGCAGGAGACAGCAGTGGCTGGAGAACAGGTGTGGGCAGACTGGAAGAAATGCAGACACTTGTTTCCCATCTTGCAAGATGGTGGGTGAAAAAGTTGAGAAGCCAGATGCTAAAGAGAAGAAACCCAAAGCCAAGAAGGCTGATGTTGGTGGCAAGGTGAAAAAGGGTAACCTCAAGGCTAAAAAGCCCAAGAAGGGAAAGCCCCATTGCAGCCGCAACCCTGTCCTTGTCAGAGGAATTGGCAGGTATTGCCGATCTGCCATGTATTCCAGAAAGGCCATGTACAAGAGGAAGTACTCAGCCGCTAAATCTAAGGTTGAAAAGAAAAAGAAGGAGAAGGTTCTTGCAACTGTTACAAAACCAGTTGGTTGTGACAAGAATGGCGGTGCCCGGGTGGTTAAACTTCGCAAAATGCCTAGATATTATCCTACTGAAGATGTGCCTCGAAAGCTGTTGAGCCATGGCAAAAAATCCTTCAGTCAGCACGTGAGAAAACTGCGAGCCAGCATCACTCCCGGGACCATTCTCATCATCCTCGCTGGATGCCATAGGGGCAAGAAGGTGGTTTTCCTGAAGCAGCTGGCTAGTGGTTTGTTACTTGTGACTGGACCTCTGGTCCTCAATCGAATTCCTCTACGAAGAACATACCAGAAATTTGTCATTGCCACCTCAACCAAAATTGATATCGGCAATGTAAAAATCCCCAAACATCTTATTGATACTTACTTCAAGAAGAAGAAGCTGTGGAAGCCCAGACACCTGATGTTGTTGGTGGATAGGAATGCTAGTGCTTTCTGCTAGTGATTGATTTTGTATCCTGAAACTTTGCTGAAGTTGTTTATCAGCTTAAGAAGCTTTTGGGGCCAAGCGAGGTGGCTCACACCTGTAATTCCAGCACTTTGGGAAGCCGAAGTGGGCGGATCACGAGGTCAGGAGATCGAGACCATCCTGGCTAGCATGGTGAAACCCCGTCTCTACTAAAAATACAAAAAATTACCTGGGCATGGTGGTGGGCGCCTGTAGTCCCAGCTACTCAGGAGGCTGAGGCAGGAGAATGGCATGAACCTGGGAGGTGGAGCTTGCAGTGAGCTGAGATAGCACCCCTGCACTCCAGCCTGGGTGACAGAGCGAGACTCCATCTCAAAAAAAAAAAAAAAAAAAAAGTAGATTGGAGCTGAGCGTAGTGGCTCACATCTGTAATCCCAGCACTTTGGGAGGCCGAGGTGGGAGAACCACTTGAGACCGGGAGTTCCAGACCAGCCTGGCTAGCATCGTGAAACCCTGTCTCTCCTAAAAATACAAAAAATAAGCTGGGGGTGGGGGGGTGTAAACCTGTAATCCCAGCTATATGGGGGATGCTGAGGCGTGAGAATCGCTTGAACCTGGGAGACAGAGGCTGTAGTGAGCTGAGATCATGCCACTGCACTCTAGCCTGGGCATCAGAGTAAGACTGTGTCTCAAAAAAAATAAATAAATAAAAAATAAAAGTAGATTGGAAAGCAATTGGTCTTCAAATGCTCATATCATTTGACCTAATAATTTCACTTAATCTATCCATTCTAAGAAGAGAAATTGACACATGGAGGCTATAGTAGACATCTCTTGGGGTATCTTCTCAGCTCACAAATGATTCACCATTTTTTGAGAATAGTGGAACTGATTCACATCACCACCTTTCTTATTCAAGCCTCAGAAGCAGAACCTTGATCCACTGACCACTGTTGATTAGACTGGGGTAGACACCTGGCCAAACTAGGTCAATTGTATTGTCTTTCTCACCTAGGAATTCTGGTTTAGTTTGGACTGATATCTAGAATGGAAGGAGTGTGAAAATTTAGGAACTGTATCACGGCTATTGTCCTCCAGATAGACTGAAAAACAGAGAAAGCCAGTCTGCAGAGAGAGGAGAATAGGGGCAGAGATGTGGAGAGAAGCAGAGATAAGATGTAGAGACAAAATATTCTCTGGAGCATTTCACCTACATTCTAGTCACTTTTTGTATTCCTACTTCTGCATCCTGAGAAACACTTCAGTATCCTTATAGCAGCTTATATCTTTTCCTTAAGCTAGCTTGGGTGAGTTTTGATTATTTGCATCCAAAATTGTATCATACTTTACTGATAATAATGGGAATATTGAGTACATACTTACAAGTTATTTGCATAGTACATTATCAAACTGCCATTTAATGTTTTAGAGAACTATTAATGACATGGAAAATTTTTGACACACGAAGAGTAAAAGTATTGAGATATACAATTTTGTGTGCATAGAAAAATTTTGCAGACACACAAAACTTCTAGTAATAATTACCCTGAAGTGAATTTTCATTTATTACTTCATATGCTTTGGGTTTATTTGAATTTATACATGGAACATTGCTAATATAATTAAGGTTACATTGAAAGTATTTTCTTTCTCTCTTTTTTTTTTTGAGATGGAGTCTCGCTCTGTCACCCAGTGGTGCAATCTCAGCTCACTGCAACCTCCACCTCCCGGATTCAAGCAATTCTTCTGCCTCAGCCTCCCTAGTAGCTGGGACTACAAGTGCACGCCACCATGCCTGGCTAATTTTTGTATTTTTAGTAGAGACAGGGTTTCACCATATTGGCCAGGCTGGTTCGAACTCCTGACTTTGTGATCCACCCACCTCAGCCTCCCAAAGTGCTGGGATTATAGGCATGAGCCACCGCACCCGGCCAAAAGCATTTTCTGTGTTGCTATATCCTTTTTATTTGGTATCATTTTAATGGTTGCATAAGGTTGCATTGTAACAGGATATCATAATTTATTAGGCCAGTACTTAACTATTAGGTTTTTGTTGTTGTTGTTGTTGTTGTTGTTGTTGTTTTTTGAGACAGAGTCTCGCTCTGTTGCCCACGCTGGAGTGCAGTGGCGGGATCTCGGCTCACTGCAAGCTCCGCCTTCCGGGTTCATGCCATTCTCCTACCTCAGCCTCCTGAGTAGCTGGGACCGCAGGCGCCCGCCACCAGGCCCAGCTAATTTTTGTATTTTTAGTAGAGATGGGGTTTCACCGTGTTAGCCAGGATGGTCTCGATCTCCTGACCTCGTGATCAGCCCTCATTGGCTTCCCAAAGTGCTGGGATTACAGGTGTGAGCCACCGCACCCGGCCAACTATTAGTTTGTAAATTATTTTTACTCTTTTAAGCAATGCTGTGAAAAACATCTTTAATACATAGGGCTTTTTTTCCACAGTTTGGATTATTTGCTTAGGATCTTTTTTCAGTGGTGAAATCATGGGAGTGGAACATCTCTATGGTTCATGAATAACTCTGGCCACAATACTTACTCTAAAGGCTGTGCCTATTGCCTTTGTCATCTGAAACACAGCTGAGCACCCAGGTCTAGCACATTGCCTCAGTAGCCAGCCCACTTGCTAATCTAATAAGCTTTTTAGAATGACTTACCTCCTTGTTTTGATTTACATTTCTTTGATCACTAGTAAGTTAGAACATTTTTCATGTTTGTTAACCCCTTTAATTTTTTTTTTTTTTTTTTTTGAGACAGAGTCTTGCTCTGTTGCCCACACTGTAGGGCAGTGGTGTGATCTTGGCTCACTGCAACCTCCACCTCCCAGGTTCAAGTGGTTCTGGTGCCTCAGCCTCCCAAGCAGCTGGGACTACAGGTGCGTGCCACCACGCCTGGCTAATTTTTTGCATTTTTAGTAGGGACTGGGTTTTGCCGTGCTGGCCAGACTGGTCTTGAACTCCTGGACTTAAGTGATCTGCCCACCTCAGCCTCCCAAAGTGCTGGGATTACAGGTGTGAGCCACCGTGCCCAGCGACTTCTTTAATTTCATCCTTTGTGAACTACCTATTCCCTGCTTTCTGCTCCTTCATTCATTGGAAGCTTTGTGATTTTTTTTTTTTTTTTTGAGACGGAGTTTTGCACTGTCACCCAGGCTGGAGTGCAGTGTCGCAATCTTGGCTCACTGCAACCTCTGCCTCCCGGGTTCAGGCGATTCTCCTGCCTCAGCCTCCCGAGTAGCTGGGACTACAGGGGCGCACACCACCACACCCGGCTAATTTTTTTTGTATTTTTAGTAGAGACGGGGTTTCACTATGTTGGCCAGGATGGTCTCAAACTCCTGACCTCGTCATCTGCCTGCCTCAGCCTCCCAAAGTGCTGGGATTACAGGCATGAGCTACTACGCCCAGCAGCTTTGTGATTTTCATATTGACATGTGGAATCTTTAGGAACTAAGGTTAGAATCTGGTGTTAAAATCTGTGTGAAGTATGTAAAGAGAAGAACTGACAGCCAAAGTTACTGTTAATAATAATTCATTTTGATTCAATCAGTAATTCTTTTTTTTTCACAAGAAACAAAACCCTTGAAGTTGTTCTTAACTTTTCCTTCTTTTTCACTGCCCTCCCCCGAAACCAATCAGTCAACTATTGATTTCTCCCTAATTATTTTTTGAATCTGTCTTCTAACTCTGCTACCACCACCCTCGTTCAGGTTTTGTAGTAAGTATCTGTGGTTTTGTCTGTCAGGAGTCTTCCTTCCGGTGGGCACTGCCTCTCCTCCCATTCTATTCATGTGGTTCCTACTGGAGATTGCATGCCCATATTTGACCTACCCTATCTGTCTATGGTTGATAGGTCTGCAGGCAGTCATGTGGCCCGAAGTGGGACAGTGAGTTTCTTCTTACTTTTTAATATTTAGGACCAAGAGAGTGTGGTTAATCTCTCTTCAATGACTGTAGATATACAGTGTAAAACATAGAAGCTGTTGTTGGCCATGGCCATATTTTCTTTCTTTCTTTTTTTTTTTTTTTTTTGAGACGGAGTCTTGCTCTGTCACTCAGGCTGGAGTGCAGTGGCACGATCTTGGCTCACTGAAACCTCTGCCTCCTGGGTTCAAGCGACTCTCCCACCTCAGTCTCCTGAGTAGCTGGGACTATAGGCACGTGCCACCACACCTGGCTAATTTTTGTATTTTTAGTAGAGACAGGGTTTCACCATGTTAGCCAGACTGGTCTCAAACTCCTGACCTCGTGATCCGCCCGCCTCAGCCTCCCAAAGTGCTGGGATTACAGGCATGAACCACCTCGCCCAGCCAGCCATGGCCGTATTTTCTGCCATGTGGATCAAGGAGTAAAGAAAGCCAGATGAGTGCAAGAAAAGAAAATGAATCCAATATGCAAAAGACAGTAATGGGATTCAGTTTGAATAATCTGAGTTACTTTAGGATTTTTCCAACAAATTCTCTGTATCAGTTAGGGATGTGTTTGGCTGCAAGTAATTAACACGGCTTATCCATATAGGAGTTAATTTTCTTCCCATCAATAGATGGGGTGGGCACAGTGGCTCATGTATGTAATCCCAGCACTTTGGGAGGCCAAGGCCAGTGGATCACTTGAGGTCAGGAGTCTGAGACCAGCCTGGCCAACATGGCGAAACCCCATCTCTACTAAAATACAAAAATTAGTCCGGCATGGTGGTGGGCACCTGTAATCCTAGCTATTAGGGAGGCTGAGGAAGGAGAATTGCTTGAACCTAGGAGACAGAGGTTGTAGTGAGCCGTGATCACACCACTCACCACTGTATTGAATCCTGGGTGACAGAGTGAGACTCCGTCTCAAAAAAAAAAAAATGCTTAGAGGTAGGCATTCCAGGGTTAGAGCAGTTGCTCCAGGTTACAGGATGTCATAAAAGACCCAGGCTTCTATGTTTGCCTGCTCCACTATTCTCAGTGTGAGGCAAGATAGTGACTGTACATCCCAAATGGAGTCTGCTTTCTTAGCAAGAAGAGAGGGAAAAGATGAGGGACAAAGGGCTGAAAGAACAAGCATACCAGGCATGTACCTCTGCAAGCCTAACTTTGAAAATTCCTTTATTCTTCCAGTGGCCAGAACTGGGTCATATGGTCTCCCCTAAGTGCAGATTATCCCAACCTGCACTCTGGAAAGGTAAATATTTTAGCTACTACATATACTGCTGACCCATACTAAATTGGGCTTTTCTTAGTATGCAAGACAAGGAATGGATATTGGAGAGACAACTTGCAGGTTGTTCCATGTTCACTTTTGCTTGTCTGGTTAGGTTAGGTTTTGATCACTTGCAATCAAAAAGTTTTGACTAATACAGTCCTCCTCATCTCCCTTCTGGATTACTGCATTGGGTTCCCCACTAGCCTCTCTACCACCAATTTCCACCTTGCTTGGAATGATTATACAAGCACAACCAGCCTTCTCAAAGCATGTCTCTGAGCCTGGCTACTCCATTACCTAATATGGAGGTCAGCAAATGTTTTCTGTAAATGGCCAGACAGTAAATCTTTTAGGCTTCTATTTTTCTTTATTTCTTTTTTCTTTGTACTTTTTTAGAGACAGGTCTCACTCTGTCAACCAGGCTGAAGTGTGCAGTGGCACGATCATGGCTCACTGCAGCCTTGAACTCCTGGGCTCAAGTGATTCTCCCACCAGCTTCTTGAGTAGCTAGGACTACAGGTGTAAGCCATCATGCCTGGCTATTTTTTTTTTTTTTTTTTTGTAGAGACAGGGTCTCACTATGCTGCCCAGGCTGGTCTTGAACTCCTGACCACAAGTGATCCACCTGCCTCAGCCTCCCAAAGTGTTGGGATTACAGGCATGAGCCATGGCACCCGGCCTCTCCTTGTCTTTTGATGGTTGATTGAATGGCATTAATTCCCATGGTCCATATACACTACTTAGATTAATTACATCTGGGTCCAGTCAGAGAAACAGAAATGGAGTCTATGCCACGTTGTTAAATAGAAGGAATTTTATACAGGAGGGTAGTTACAAATGGGTTGGAAGTGAAATAGGGAATGGGGAAGCAATTCAGAAATTAGCAACAGCAGGAAGCCTCTACCACCCCGAGGGCTGGAGAATCAGCGGAGGAGGTAGTGGTTACAGAACCCATGAGCTGGGACCACTCAATGGGAACTGAAACCACTAAGGGAAGGACCACCCCGTGGAAGCAAGATAAGGAGGAAGAGACTCTGGTGAGATCAGAAAGACACAGTCAATGTTGAAGATGCTGGCTGAAGCAGAAATCCTCCAATATCCCTCCCATTAACCAAAAGTAACCAGGTGAAAGAACTTTAGAAATATAACTTGCGGGCCTGACGCAGTGGCTCATGCCTGTAATCCCAGCACTTTGGGAGGCCGAGGTGGGTGGATTGCCTGAAGTCAGGAAATCAAGACCAGCCTGACCAACATGGTGGAACCCCATCTCTACTAAAAATACAAAAATTAGCTGGACGTGGTGGCAGGCGCCTGCAGTCCCAGCTACTCGGGAAGCTGAGGCAGGACAATCACTTGAACCTGGGAGGAGGAGGTTACAGTGAGCCAAGATGGTGCCATTGCACTCCAGCCTGGGCAACAGAGCGAGACACTGTCAAAAAAAAAAAAAAAAAAAAAAGCAAGCAAGCAAGCAAGCCAGCCAGCCAGCCAGCCAGCCGGGCACAGTGGCCTATAATTCCAGCACTTTGGGAGGCCAAGGTGGGTGGATCACCTGAAGTCAGGAGATCAAGACCAGCCTGACCAACATAGTGAAACCCCCTCTCTACTAAAGATACAAATTAGCTGGGCATGGTGGTACATGCCTGTAATCCCAGCTACGTGGGAGGCTGAGGCAGGAGAATCGCTTGAACCTGGGAGGCAGAGGTTGCAGTGAGCGAAGATCACACCATTGGACTCCAGCCTAGGCAATAAGAGCAAATCTCTGTATCAAAAAAACAAAACAAAAACAAAAACAAAAAGAAAGACATATAACTTGTGGCCGGGCATAGTGGCTCATGCCTGTAATCCCAGAACTTTGGGAGGCCAAGGCAGGAGGATCACGAGGTCAGGAGTTTGAGACCAGCCTGACCGACATGGTGAAAACTCGTCTCTACTAAAAATAAAAAAATTAGCCAGAAGTAGTGGCGCACAGCTGTAATCCCAGCTACTCAGGAGGCTGAGGCAAGAGAATCGCTTAAACCTGGGAGGTGGAGGGTACAGTGAGCCGAGATTGTGTCACTGCACTCCAGCCTGGGTGACAGAGTGAGACTCTGTATCCAAAAAAAAAAAAGAAAGAAAAAAGAAACATAACTTGCACCAGCTAGTCCTCTGCAGTGTACAGCAGTGTAGAGGAAGGACAAGAAATGGATGGAGACAAGCATAATTAATAATGGCTGACGTTTTCAAAGATGTTCCCAAGTCTATCAGGATTTTTAAAAATCTAACCTCAAAATTATAAAATTTTAAAAACAGAAATAGAAATGTCAGGACCATGTGGGTTTTCTTATCTTATTATCCATTGATTGCTAAAATAGAAGCAGCATTTTAATTTGTTTCATTTTTAAACCATGGTTTTATGTTTTTCTGGAAATTCCTTTTTAAAAATTATTTTATTGTTTTTTAGAGACAGAGTCTAACTCTGTTTCCCAGGCTCGAGTGCAGTGACATGATCATAAATCACTGCAGCCTCAAACTCCTGGGGTTAAGGGATTCTCCTGCTTCAACCTCCCAAGTAGCTAGGACTACAGGTATGTGCCACCATGCCTGGCTAATTTTTAAATTTTTTGTAGAGACAGGATCTCGCTGTGTTGCCCAGGCTGGTCTATGAACTCCTGGCCTCAATTGCTCCTCCTGCCTAGGCCTCCCAAAGTGCTGGGATTATAGGCATGAGCCACTGTGCTAGCTAGGTAATTCTAATAGCCATTCTTTTAATCTTGTTAGAAGCTACTGTCTTTGTTGCCATATCAATAAAATCTTTCATCTTCATAAACATACTATCATTTAATTGGCATTTGTTCCATTTTAACTATTTAAAACATTAAAAAGGGTTTTTTGCTTTTATTATTTTTCACTGACACAATAATTATATATATTTACTGGGTACAGCGTGATATTTCTTTTTTTTCTTTTTTTTTTTTTTTTTGAGAGAGAGTCTCGCTCTTTTGCCCAGGCTGGAGTGCAGTGGCACTATCTTAGCTCACTGCAAGCTCCGCCTCCCGGGTTCAAGCCATTTTCCTGCCTCAGCCTCCCGAGTAGCTGAGATTACAGGTAACTTTTTCATGTTTTCACAGATGATAGGATTTTGTTCTTTTACCGATGAATAGTATCCCATTGTGTGTGTGAGGGAAATTAAGTGTATGTGTATATATATGCGTGCGTGCGTATATATATTCCATTGTGGGGGTGTGTGTGCGTATATATATATATAGTATTCCATTGTGTGTATATATATATTCCATTGTGTGTGTGCGTATGTGTGTATATAGATATAGTGTTCCATTGTGTGTGTGTCTATATATATTCCATTGTGTGTGTATATATATATATTCCATTGTATGTATTATATATGTGTGTATGTATGTATGTACATACACACATATGTGTATATATATGTGCATATGTGTATATACACACACACAATGGAGTATATACACACACACAATGGAGTATATATATATATATATATATACACATAAAGAAAATGTGATATCTATCTATATATATCTGTATATAACCTATAGATATACATAGGCTGTTGTGAATAGTGTTGCAAAAAACATGGGAGTGCAGATAACATAATTTCCTTTGGATATATGCTCAGTAGTGCAATTGCTGGCTCATCAGACAGCTCTGTTTTTCTTTTTTCTTTTCTTTTTTTTTTTTTTTTTTTGAGACGGAGTCTCACTCTGTCGCCAGGTTGGAGTGCAGTGGCGCAATCTTGGCTCACTGCAACCTCTGCCTCCCGAGTTCAAGCTATTCTCCTGCCTCAGCCTCCCAAGTAGCTGGGATTACAGGTACATGCCATCATGCCCAGCTAATTTTTTGTATTTTTAGTAGAGACGGGGTTTCACCATGTTAGCCAGGATGGTCTCAATCTCCTGACCTCGTGATCCGCCCACCTCAGCCTCCCAAAGTGCTGGGATTACAGGCGTGAGCAACTGTGCCCCGCTTTGTTTTTCATTTTTTGAGGAACCTCTATACTGTTTTCCATAATGGCTGTACTAATTTACATTCCCTCCAGCAATATGTAGAGTTCCCGTTTCTCCACATCTTCTCCAGAATTTGTTATTTTTTTGTCTTTCTGATAGTAGCCATTCTAACTGGAGTGAGATGTTATCTCATTGTGGTTTTGATTTGAATTTCCCTGGTGATTAGTGATGTTGAGCGTTCTTTTATATACCTGCTGGCCATTTGTATGTCTCATTTGAGAGATGTCTATTCAACTCATTTGCCCATTTAAAAAAATTGGATTCTTTGGGTGTTTTTGCTGTTGAATTGTTTGAGTTCCTTGTATATTCGTGGTATTAATCCTTTGCCAGATTAATATTTTGAAAATATTTTCTCCCATTCTACTGGTTGTCTCTTCACTCTGTTGATAGTTTCCTTTGCTGTGGAGAAGATTTTAGTTTGATATAGTAATAATCCCTTTTGTCTATTTTTGCTTCTTTTTTTTTGAGACAAAGTTTTGCTCTTATTGCCCAGGCTGGAGTGCAATGGCATGACCTCAGCTCACTGCAACCTCTGCCTCCCGGGTTCAAGCAATTCTCCTGCCTCAGCCTCCTGAGTAGCTGGGATTCCAGGTGCCCACCAACATGCCTGAATAATTTTTTGTATTTTTAGTAGAGATGGGGTTTCACCATTTTGGCCAGGCTTGTCTCAAACTCCTGACCTCAGGTAATCCACCTGCCTCGGCCTCCCAAAGTGCTGGGATTCCAGGCATGAGCCACTGGGCCCAGCTATTTTTGAGTTTGTTGCTTGTGCTTGTGAGGTATTATCTATAAAATCTTTGCCCAGTCCCATGTTTTGGAGTGTTTCTTTTATACTTTCTTTTAGTAGTTTCATAGTTTCAGGTCTTACATTTAAGTCTTTAGTCCATTTTGAGTTGATTTTTGTATATTGTGAGAGATAAAGGTCTGGTTTCATTCTACAGCATACAGATATCCAGTTTTCCTAGTACATTTATTGAAGAGACTTTACTTCCTCCAATGAATGTTCTTGGTGCCTTAGTCAAAAATCAGTTGGCTGTAAATACATGGATTTATTTCGCGTTCTCTATTCCATTCCATAGGTGTATATATCCATTTTTAGGTCAGTACTATGCTGTTTTAGTTACTATAGCCTTGTAGTATATTTTGAAGTCAGGTAGTGTGATGCATCCCACTTTGTTCTTTTTGCTCAGGATTGCTTTGGCTATTAGGAGTTTTCTGTAGTTCCATATGAATTTTAGGATTTTTTTCTGTGAAACATTCTGAGAAGAATGTCACTGGTATTTTGATAGGGATTGCATTGAATCTATAGACAGCTTTTGGTAGTATGATCATTTTGACATTATTGGTTGTATGATCATTTTTATGTTACTGGTTCTTCCAATCCATGAACATGAGATGTGAGATGTCTTTCCATTTTTTTGTGTGTCCTCTCCAACTTCTTTCTTTTCTTTTCTTTTTTCTCTTCTTTTCTTTTCTC
Source organism: Homo sapiens (assembly GCF_000001405.40). NCBI lineage: Eukaryota > Metazoa > Chordata > Mammalia > Primates > Hominidae > Homo > Homo sapiens. Next base: position 45,792,656 of record NC_000001.11, read on the forward strand.
TTGTCTTGTCTTGTCTCCCCTCCCCTCCCCTCCCCTCTCCTCTTCTCTTCTTTTATTTTTTTAAGACAGAGTCTTGCTCTGTTGCCCAGGATGGAGTGTAGTGGTGCGATCATGGCTCACTGCAGTCCCCCACTCCCAGGTTCAAGCAATTCTTGTGCCTTAGCCTCCCAATTAGCTGAGACTACAGGCACGTACTACCATGCCTGGCTAACTTCTGTATTTTTAGTAGAGACAAGATTTCACCATGTTGGCCAGGCTGGTCTCAAATTCCTGACCTCAAGTTATCCTCCCGCCTTGGCCACCCAAAGTGCTAGGATTACAGGCGTGAACCACTGCACCCAACCTCCTCTTCAATTTCTTTCATCAGTGTCCTATGGTTTTCCTTGTAGAGATCTTTCACTTCTCTGGTTAAACTTATTCCTAGGTATTTTACTTTTTTGTAGCTATGTTAAATGAGATTGCTTTTTATATTTGTTTGTTGTTTGTGTATAGAAATGTTACTAAATTTTTGTATGTTGATTTTGTATTCTGCAATGTTACTGAATTTGTTTATGAATTTTAGGAGTGTTTTGGTAGAGATTTTAGGGTTTTCCACATGTAAGATCATGTCATTTGCAAACAGGAACAATTTGACTACTTCCTTTCCAGTTTAGAGATCCTTTATTTCTTTTCTTGACTAATTTCTCTGGCTAGGACCCATTTTAACTTTTGACTTATTTATTTATTTATTTTGAGACGGAGTTTTGCTCTGTCACCAGGCTGGAGTGCAGTGGCGCGATGTCAGCTCACTGCAACCTCTGCCTCCTGGGTTCAAGCAATTCTCCTGCCTCAGCCTTCCGAGTAGCTGGGACTACAGGTGCGTGCCACCACGCCTGGCTAATTTTTTGTATTTTTAGTAGAGACGGGGTTTTACCATATTAGCCAGGATGGTCTCGATCTCCTGACCTTGTTATCCTCATGCCTTGGCCTCCCAAAGTGCTGGGATTACAGGCGTAAGCCACCGCGCCCGGTCCAACTTTTGACTTTTTATTCTAATTTGGAACAATTACACTTTAGGCTTGTTGTGTAGCTAAATCTTGATATTTCTTTTCATTGTATTTTTATATTAGGTCAATTGTTTCTCCCCATATCAACCTTTTTTTTTAAAAGATTTATTTATATTTTTTGCTGGAATACACACTTGTAATGAATTTTTTTTTCAAGAAGAGTACATGGAAGATGAAGTTTCTGAACAACTAAATTTCCAAAAGTGTAACTGATAAGTTTGATGTTTGGGCTTGTTTTCAAAGGAAAATAAATAATTATAATGGGGAAGGAATTAGTTAATAAAATTTCCCCCACCCAAATACCAAAATAAGGAGCCTTAGGGCACCAAATCTCCTAGGGTGATTCTTCCATTTATTCTCAGGATATATTTAGAAGTATCAGGGGAGTTTGTGGCTGTCTATGGTTAGAGAGAAGGATGTCAAGTAGTGCAGCTGTTCCAAAGACTGCTCCGATTTATTATTTTGATCTTTGTTTCCCTTCTCAGATGTTCTCTGTTCGTGCTAACTTCAATTTAGAAATTCTCTCTCCCAGGAAGTCTATTTCCACTCCCATTTTAGCCTTTTCTGTGCATAATCTGGACCAGGGGTCCCTAACCCCTGGACCACTTGGTACCGGTCTGCAGCCCGTTAGGAACCAGGCTGCATGGCAGAAGGTGAGTGGCAGGCACATGAGCATTACTGTCTGAGCTCCACCTCCTGTTAGATCAGCGGCATTAGATTTTCATAAGAGCACAAACCCTATTGTGAACTGGGCATGCAACAGGTCTAGGTTGTGCCTGCCTTGTAAGAATCTAACAAATGCCTGATGAACTGAGGTGGAACAGTTTCATCCTGAAACCACCCCCACCCCCCGGAAAAATTTTCTTCTACGAAACCAGTCCCTGGTACCAAAAAGTTTGGGGACTGCTGTTCTGGACTGTGGCTTTTTCAACTCTAGTTTATCCATCATTATGATCCTATCTCTGTAAAAAAAATGTGTCTTCTTTTTTTAATAATTGTATGGGATTAGATATTGTATTTGTCTGCTTTTAGTCTTTTAGGAATTTATCACAGACTGGATTTATTTTATTTATTTTTGGTACAAATTCCATGGGACTTTTGGAAGGGAAGTTGTAAAAACACGTGCTTAGCTTTGTACATTAAACAAAGCCTCTTGACTTATATTTCTTAGAAACCAGTGCTGGATGAAGCATAGATTGGAGAAGACAAAAGTAGGAGTGGGGAATCCAATTATTTTAGTTGGAATGAGTTCCAGTCTGTCTAAACAAAAATATTATAATAATAAAAATAATTTAAAAAATTACATGAGTGTGGTGGCTCAAGCCTGTGGTTCCAGCTCCTCAGGAGGCTGAGGTAGAGGATCTCTTGAGCCCAGGAGTTCCAGGATACAGTGAGTTATGTCCATGCTACTGTACTCCAGCATGACAGAGTGAGACTTCATCTTAAAAATTTTTTTTTTGGCTGGGCACAGTGGCTCATGCTTGTAATCCCAACACTTTGGGAGGCCAAGGTGGGCAGATCACGAGGTCAGAAGTTCGAGAACAGCCTGACCAACATGGTGAAACCCCGTCTCTACTAAAAATACAAAAATTAGCCTGGCGTGGTGGCGGGCACCTGTACTACTCGCAGCTACTTGGGAGGCTGAGGCAGGAGGATCACTTGAGGTGGAGGTTGCAGTGAGCCGAGATTGCACCACTACACTCCAGCCTGGGTGACAGAGTGAGACTCTGTCTCAAAAAATAAATAAATAAATAAATAATTTTTTTTGTTTGTTTTGAGACAGAGCCTCGCTTTGTCACCCAGGCTAGAGCGCAGAGGCATGATCTCTGCTCACTTCAACCTCCACCTCCCAAGTTCAAGTGATCCTTGTGCCTCAGCCTCCCGAGTAGCAGGGATTACAGGCGTCTACCACCATGCCTGGCTAATTTTTGTATTTTTAGTAGAGACAGGGTTTCATCAAGTTTGCCAGGCTAGTCTCAAACTCCTGACCTCAGGTGATCTGCCCGCCTTGGCCTCCAAAAGTGCTGGGATTACAGGCATGAGCCACCACGCCCGGCCTAAAAAAATTTTTTTAAAGTCACGGCATGGCGGCTCATGGCTGTTATCTCAGCACTTTGGGAGGCTGAGGTGGGTGAATTGCTTGAGGCCAGGAGTTTGAGACCAGCCTGAGCAACACAGTGAGACCCTTGTCTCTACAAAACAAAGTTTTTAAAAAATTAAAATAAGTAAATAAAAAAAAAGTTGTGACCCACTAGCTTCTCTAGCAAAAGAGGAATCAGAATCATCATAGTAAATCATTAAGATAGAAATTTGGTTACTCATGGCCAGGCATGGTGGCTCATTCCTGTAATCCCAGTACTTTGGGAGGCCAAGGCGGGCAGATCACTTGAGGTCAGGAGTTGGACACCAGCCTGGCCAACATGGTGAAACCCTGTCTCTACTAAAAATACAAAAAACAGCTAGGCACGGTGGTGCATGTCTGTAATCCCAGCTACTCAGGAGGCTGAGGCACAAAAATCACTTAAACCTGGAATGCGGAGGTTAGTTAGCCGAGATGGCACCACTGCACTCCAGCCTGGGTGACAGAGTGAGACTGTCTCAAAAAAAAAAAAAAAAGAAAGAAAGAAAAGTTTGGCTACTTGTTACGGATACCCAAAGTAACTGACTTCAACGAGATAGGAGTGTATTTCTCTCTCACATATAGTACAGAAGGCAAGTATGGCAGTTCTGCTCTGTCAGTTCATCTAGGAACTTTCTTTACTGTTGCATTGTCATCCCTAGGATGTTTTTCCCATTCCTGTGGTCCAAGATCAATTTCTGCCATGATACTTTCTAAGAAACAGGATGAAAGAAGGGCCAAAAGAAGAAAGGGAAGATGTGTTTCTTTTTAAGAGCATAATTTAGAAGCTGCGCTCATCACTTATGCTCACATGTCACTGGCCACAGCTTAGTCACATGACTATATTTAGTCACAAAGAAGGCAAAGAAATTTGTCTTTATTCTCGGTGTCCATGTGTCCAACAATAAGAAGAAGGGGAGAATAGATACTGGGGGACAACTATCTGTTTTTTTCATTATTTCTGTAATAATACAGAAATCACTGAAGCTGGCTCTTTTTTTTTTTTTTTTTTTGAGACAGAGTCTTGTTCTGTCGCCCAGGCTGGAGTGCAATGGCATAATCTCAGCTCACTGCAACCTCCGCCTCCCAGGTTCAAGCGATTCTCCTGCCTCAGCCTGCTGAGTAGTTGGGATTACAGGTGGCTGCCACCACGCCCAGCCGGCTAGTTTTTGTATTTTTAGTAGAGACGGGGTTTCGCCATGTTGGCCAGGCTGACCTCAGGTGATCTGCTCACCTCGGCCTCCCTAAGTACTGGGATTACAGGCGTGAGCCTCTGTGCCCAGCGCAAAGCTGACTCTTCGAAGAGTAATATGGGCCCTTTTGAACTACCTAGGGAGTCTTAGAAGAGCAGGGAGTGTTAGAATCACTGAAAGCAGCCTTCTCCTGGAGGGTATGTGTAGATTCCCCAGCCCGCTAGGGTAATCTCCTTTAAGAGGATTAGCAAGTAATCATTGCCTAAGAAAAAGGAGCATAATTACCCCTTCTTTTTTTTTTTTTTTTTTGAGACAAAGTCTCACTCTGTTGCCAGGCTGGAGGGCAATGGCGTGATCTTGGCTTAACACAACCTCCGCCTCCCGGGTTCAAGTGATTCTCCTGCCTCAGCCTCCCGAGTAGCTGGAATTACAAGCATGGGCCATCTTGCCCAGCTAATTTTTGTATTTTTAGTACAGACGGGGTTTTACCATGTTGGCCAGGATAGTCTCAATCTCCTGACCTCGTGATCCACCAGCCTCTGCCTCCCAAAGTGCTGGGATTACAGGCGTGAGCCACTGCACCTGGCCTCCCCTTCTGTATTGAGTGTTTAACAGGAAGAGCAGAAAGTCCCTAGGAAGTGGACTTCTTGGGAGAATTTGTGCTGGGGCTGCTTGTTTCCCTGGGAGATGACTGTGCTTTGCATGGGACATGAAAAAGTGAAGGACTAAGCTTCAATTATGGGAACTCTGGCCTGGGCATCCTTGACTGAGCTTAGTACTGAGGGAAATTGTCCTCCTTCAAAAAAATCTCTGTTGAATCAGAAGGACCTTTCTTGAAAGTAATGTTATGTGGTTTGTGTTAGTCTGCTTGGGCTACCATAACAAAAGAACACAGATTAGGTGGCTTAAACAACAGAAATTTATTTTTTTCACAGTTCTAGAGGCTGAACATCCAAAATCAAGGTTCTAGCCAATTTGGATTCTGGTGGGGGCACTCTTCCTGGCCCATAGACAGCTGTCTTCTCACTATGTTCTCACATGGCCCTCCTCAGTACATGTGCCTCGAGAGAGGGTGAGTGCTCTGGTGTCTCCGCTTATAAGGACATTAATCTCATAGGATTAGGGCCCTACCCTTAAAACCTCATTTAAGTTTAATTACTTCCTTAGAGGCCTCATCTCCAAATACAGCCACACTAGGTGTTAGGACTTTGACGTACAAATCTGGGGGAGACACAAACATTCAGTCCATAATATGGTCCCAGGGAGCAAAGATGCCAATGGACTGATCTAATTATAGCTGAATTTGGCTATGGAAGTTGGACTGATCTTCCTGAAGTAGATTTCAAAGACAGCCACAAGTTCTTCCCCTCCCTGAATCTATTCCCCCTTGCCATGTAACTTTAGTCCCTGGCCACACTGACTTGCTTTGGCAATGACACAGTTGCTAATGTGGCATCAACAGAGATTTGAAAAGTGCTTTCACATTGCGGCTCGCTGTCTCTTCCTCCTCACAGGACCCCCTACCACTGCTGTCATGTGAAGAAGTCCAAGTAAGCCTGAAGGATGGTGAGAGCTATATGGGTTAGTCATTCCCACTGCCATGGCCAATGGCCTGCCAATTGCCATATGTGTGACAGAAGCCATTTTAGATGACTTAGCCACCAGCCAGCCAGCCCTCAGCCGACTGCAGATGCATAAGCAAGCCTAGCAGTGATTAGATAAACTGGACCAGACCATAAGAACTGCCCAGTTGGCTCACAAAAATGTCAGCTAAATAAATGGTTGTTGTTTTAAGCCACAAGTTTTGAGACAGTTTGTTATATGACAATAGATAACTGCTATACTTACCTTTTTTTTTTTGAGACAGGGTCGCATTCTGTCACCCAAGCTGGAGTGCAGTTGTGTGATCTTGGCTGACTACAACCTCCATCTCCCACGCTCAAGTGATCCTCCCACTTCAGCCTCCTGAGTAGCTGGGACTACAGGCATGTGCCACCATGCCCAGCTAGTTTTTGTATTTTTTGTAGAGATGGGGTTTTGCCATGTCACCTAGGCTGGTCTCAAAAATCTTGAGCTCAGGGGGGAGGGGGAAGGGATAGCATTAGGAGATATACCTAATGCTAAATGACGAGTTAATGGGTGCAGCACACCAGCATGGCACATGTATACATATGTAACTAACCTGCACATTGTGCACATGTACCCTAAAACTTAAAGTATAATAATAATAATAATTTTAAAAAAAATCTTGGGCTCAAGTGATCATCCCACCTTGGCCTCCTAAAGTTCTGGATTACAGGTGTGAGCCACGGTGCCCAGCCCATACTTAACTTTTAGAATATAAAACAATTTTGGAGTTCTTAGATAATTAAGGAGGAGATACTAGGCTTCCTAATAATATGACATAAGGGGCCTAACTAGAATAAGGAAAAGTAATGTGATCACATTTATATTCTAAGAGTATGGTATTGTTCATATCGGTTAAACATCTAACTATGGGTGGCCCTCAGTTCTGAGCTCTACACTGGTGTAACCAGTAGCTTACTAGACATCTTCACTTGGATATCTCACTGGCACTTCAGAGCAAACACATCTAAAATGGAATTGACCATAATCTGTTTCACACTTTTTTTCCCTCTTCTGTTCCCTACCTCAGTTGTCCAAGCCAGAAACTTGGAAATCATTCTTAGGGCTTTTTCTTTCTCTCTGCACCTTTGATGCAGTTAACAGGTCCTGTGGTTTCTACTTTCTGGATCTCTCTAAAGTCCACCTGTGTTCGTCCGTCCCCGTTATCATTGTCTCAGTACTAGTCACTAACACCTCTCCCTCAGCTAATTATAATATCCTACTAATTTGCACAGGATTTGCCAGTGGAGTGGATATGAAGTATGTGAGAAAGAGAGAACTCAGGGATCACTCCGAGGTTTTGGCCTGAGCAACTGAAAAAAAAAATTGACTTGTCACTTATTGAGCTGGTGAAGACAAGTATAAAAGTGGATGTGGGGCCGGGCGTGGTGGCTCACGCCTGTAATCCCAGCACGTTAGGAGGCCGAGGTGGGCAGATCACCTGAAGTCAGGAGTTCAAGACCAGCCTGGCCAACATGGAGAAACCCGTCTCTACTAAAAATACAAAAATTAGGCGGGTGCAGTGGCATGCGCCAGTAATCTTAGCTACTTGGAGGCTGAAGCAGGAGAATCACTTGAACCTGGGAGGCGGAGGTTGTGGTAAGTGGAGATTGAGCCATTGCACTTCCAGCCTGGGTGACAGAGTAAGACTCCATCACAAAAAAAAAAAAAGAAAAAAAAAGTGGATGTGGGCCACATTGTGTCACATTGCCATTTCTGGCTGATGGGAGGCTGAGAAAGTATCTGGCTGTATTAGTTTTGTATTAACATGTAATACAAATATATAATTACCACAAGCTTAGAAGCTTAACATAACATGCATTTATTATCTCACAGTTTCTGTCTAGATTTGTGTTAGCTCGGTTCTTTGCTTCAGGGTCTCATCAGGCTTCCACCAAGTTGTGTGGGCTGTGTTCCCATCTGGGTGCTCAACTGGAGAAGGGCCTGTTTCCAAGCTCAGTCTCACTGTTAGGAGAACTCATTTCCTCCTGCTTGTAGGATTGGACCTACAGAGTTTTTTGTTTTGTTTTGGTGCTGTTGGGCCGGAGGCTGTCCTAGAGGTTGCCTGGAGTTTACTGCCACATGGACCTCTCCATAGGCAGTTCAGAGAATGACAGCTTGCTTTGTCAAGGCCATTAGGAGTGCAAGAGTGAGTCTTCTAGCAAGATAGAGTCTTATATAATGTAACATAATCAAGGAAATGATATCCTGTTACTTTTTTTGTATTCTATTGGTTGGAAACAAGTCACAGTCCTCATCTCCATTCATGGGAAGGGATTACATAAACGTGTAAAATACTGGGAAGCAGGTAGAGCAGGAGGACTAGCTTAGAGTCTATCTGCCCAATAACTCTCGCAGTACCAGTATGGAAGGTGAGAAGGTAGAATGGGTTCTGGTCCTTAAGTTACCAAGGCTGAGTCAGTGGGTTCTCCTGCCAGAGACTGTTGATCTGTAATGATGATACAACTATGAAGAGAGGGTTAGAATTACTTTGCAGGGGTGCACAGTAGCAGCGCAGCTCATTGCCTGGTGGTTGTGACAGCAGTGTCCTGAGATTGTCCCTAAGGTTCAGTCTGTGGGGGCTCCTTGTTTCCTGCCAGCTACGTAAGCCTTTTTCTCCTATCTCTGTTCAGCTCTGTGATCCATTCTATGTAGCCTTCTAAGAAATTACCCCTTAGGCTTAAGATAGTCAGAGTTGTTTGTTATTTGTAACTAAGGATGTGACAGACCCTGTACATGTAGCTGGAATAATTATAATTAGTTGTCACCACATGGATTAATGGGAGAAGGAGAGGGAGGTAGAGGCCAGATTTGGATGGCCTTGCCAGCCATAGTAAGTTTACACTTCATCTTGAGATTCATTTAATTGCTTTTTTTTTTGAGATGGAATCTCGCTCTGTCGCCCAGGCTGGAGTTCAGTGGTGCGATCTTGGCTCACTGCCAGCTCCGCCTCCCGGGTTCACGCCATTCTCCTGCCTCAGCCTCCCGAGTAGCTGGGACTACAGGCGCCCGCCATCACGCCCAGCTAATTTTTTGTATTTTTAGCAGAGACAGGGTTTCACCGTGTTGGCCAGGATGGTCTTGATCTCCTGACCTCGTTATCCACCTGCCTTGGCCTCCCAAAGTGCTGGGATTACAGGAGTGAGCCACCGTGCCCGGCCTCATTTAACTGTTTTTTTTTTTTTTTTTTTTTTTTGAGACGGAGTCTTGCTCTGTCACCCAGGCTGGAGTGCGGTGGCACGATCTTGGCTCACTGCAAGCTCTGTCTCCCAGGTTCATGCAGTTCTCAGCCTCCTGAGTAGCTGGGACTACAGGCACCCACCACCACGCCTGGCTAATTTTTTTGTATTTTTAGTAGAGACGGGGTTTCACTGTGTTAGCCAGGATGGTCTCGATCTCCTGAATTCATGATCTGCCCGCCTTGGCCTCCCAAAGTGCTGGGATTATAGGCGTGAGCCACTGCACCCGGTCCATTTAATTGTTTTAAGCAAGCAAGTAACATATAGGAAGAGTCTTGTGAGGGCTTTTTGAAGGATGAGTTTAAAGACAATGAGACTGGCATAAGTGAACCCGTTGAAGGCTTTCTCAGTCAAGTAGGTGAGGGAAGATGAAACTTGAGGTGGTGCCAATGGGACGGAAAGAGGAGGCAGATTGGAGAAATAGTGAGGTTATAGAGGCAATAAGACTTGTTCATTTATTGGATGTGAGGAAAGGACAAGGAAGGAGTCCAGGATGATTTCCAGGTTTCTGGTTGAGGCAACTGGATGGGTGGTAAGGAACTGGGACAGGGAATAGAGGAGCAGGCTGGTGACAGGCCGTAGAGCACATTGGTTATGTGCATCCTCCCGGCCTCCCAGAAGGAATCCATCACTTTTTCCACTTTTATAGGTGTTTCCGCACTGTCTTTCTGTCCGGATCTGGCAGACCTGGGTTTGAGTCCTGGCTCTGGACTTATAAGCTGTGTGATGTTGAGCATATTATGTAATTTGAGCCTATTTCCTCAACTGTAAAATGGAAATACAACTTACTTCTTGTTTGTGTATGTCTGAATTGAATGCACAGTGTGTGGTATGCAGTGGGCACTCCATAGTGTTGGCTATTTTTATTACTCAGAAAGGGGTCAGGGAAGAGGCCCAGGACAAATGGGTGAAGGCTTTAAGCAAGGCTTCTAGGTCAAAAGAGGAAAAACACAACATGTGGCAGACCAGCTGAAGCCAGAGGGAGGCCAGAGCTGAGCTACCACCACATGTTGCTGAGCAGATGAGTCACTGCAGGCAGCAGGTCAGGCTACCCAGGCCACAGCAGACTGGGCTGGGCTCTACACGATGACTTCATTGTATGCCTTTTTTGTCCTCTCCTCCTCCCAGAAGGAATCCATCACTTTTTCCACTTTTATAGGCGTTTCCACACTGTCTTACTGTCCGGAAAGAGCAAACACGGTGGAAAGGGACAGAAGAGCCAGAATTCCGTCTAGTTTGATCACTGATTTGCTGGGTGACCTGGTGCATTTCACTTCGCCTCAGTCTCTTTATCTGTAATATGAGAATGCGCAGATTTGCCTCCTAAGTGTGATGTGAGAATTAGGTGAGAGTTGGCAGGCACTAAATAAAAAAGCATGCATTAGCCTTCTATTCATTAGTTGTGTTATTCTGTCTCCTTCCTGCTCCCGGCCCCTCTCTCCCTAGTTCTTTGAGGACACCGATCGACTCGAACTCATTTTTGGGTCCCCAGCACTGAGCTTGGCCCAGCAGTTTCATGAATGGATGAATGAAAGATTCAATGGGAGTCCGCAGCCGCTGACGGCGCGCCGAGAGCCCCGCTCGCTTCTGGTCCTCCGACTGCGCGCCAGGGCCACGGGCGGGTCCTTTGCGACCGTTCGCTGGCGCGTGCGCGGGAGGCGGCGCGCGGCCGGAGGTGGCGGGCGGGCTCCCGGTGCGCGCGCGTGAGGGGCGGGGCCGGCCGAAGGCTGGCTGTAGGCAGGCGGCTGAGCCGGCGGCGGGTGGCCTGCCCAACGTGTGCTGGGTGGGAGAAGGCGAGGCGTCAGCGATGCTGTCTCTTCCGTGAGGAGCGCAGAGGAGGTCGCGGCGCCGGAGGCCCCAGAAGGCTCGAAGGCGCCGCGGGCTGGGGTCGGTGGCTTAGGGAGCCCGTCCGGCCATGGTGGCCGCGGGTGGTGGTTGGCGCGGCTGCGCTGCGGCCCGGGGCAGTGCGGAGCCGGGACAGTCGCGGCGCTGACGCCCGCGGGCCCCAGCTGCAGATATGAAGCGGAGCCGCTGCCGCGACCGACCGCAGCCGCCGCCGCCCGACCGCCGGGAGGATGGAGTTCAGCGGGCAGCGGAGCTGTCTCAGTCTTTGCCGCCGCGCCGGCGAGCGCCGCCCGGGAGGCAGCGGCTGGAGGAGCGGACGGGCCCCGCGGGGCCCGAGGGCAAGGAGCAGGTAGGGCGGGTTGGGATCCGGGAGGGTGAACCTGAATGGAAGCCGTGGGGGAGGGGATCTTCGGCGGGAGGACCCGGGCTGGAGCTTTGGAGGGGTGGGGTCTGAGTAGTTCGCGGGGAGGAGTGGGAGGTCTGGGGAGGCCGAGAAATGGGGAGTGGAGAAATGGAAGTGGTGGCCTGGGGTTGTATTGGAAATGGGGGTGTAGAAGAATGAAAAATTGGTGCAAGAGATAGTCAGGGGTTCTGGATGGGGCGAAAGGACGCTGGAATGTGGGCTGAGTGTGTGAGCTGCAACGAGTAGGCTTACTAAAGAGGCGTTGAGGAGTTATCCATAGGAGTAAATAGAGTAAGATGTAAGTCAATTTGATGTAGTGTTATCCTGTTTTCTAGAGGTTGTCCTTAAAATTGTAAAAACGGATGACACTCCCAAGCATTCTCTGATTTGGCCATCATTATACTTTTGTACCAGTGTGTTCACAATCATTGTTAAGGCTCTCTTTACCAACCATCTATTTCACAAGAAAGCACTTGTGAAACACCTGCATGTGAGCAGTGTTAAGCCCAATTTTGTGAACAGAATTCGTAGATATATGGTTTGCCTGCTAGTTTTCCACTGAAAACACATTACTGGGAAAACACAGCAGCATACAAATATTCATGGAGTTTCTGAATGAACAGGATATGTTTATGTAATTTATTAGTCAAGAGTAGGTGTATTTATGAGTAGGGGATAAAGGTCAGTTTTATCAGGCAGGAGAAGCTGCCACTAGTAGCGGTAATAAGTTTAGTGAAAGGAGAATAAGTAATCCTTGGTCTTGTTGGATTTACAGAAAAATGTTCTGTAGTAATGAACTCTAGTGACAGCTTTCCTTTTGTTCAGCTCTATTCGGGATCCTACTGACTTCATCCATGAATGTTTTAAGACTTCTTATAGGTCTCTTACCTCTTTTCTCTCAGATAAATTAGCATTTTCCTTAGACATTTTTTTTTTTTTTTGAGACGAAGTCTCGCTCTGTCGCCCAGGGGAGAGTGCAGTGGCATTATTTCGGCTCACTGCAACCTCCACCTCCTGGGTTCAGCGATTCTCCTGCCTCAGCCTCCCGGCTAGCTGGGATTACAGGTGCCTACCACCATGTCCAGCTAATTTTTTTGTATTTTTAGCAGAGACAGGGTTTCACCATGTTGGCCAGGCTGGTCTGGAACTCTGACCTCAGGTAATCGGGATTACAGGCATGAGCCAGTGTGCCCGGCCCTTTAGACAGTTTAAAAATTATATACCATGCTAGGTAGCCCTTGGACTTTTCCCCCCTTTTGTTCTTCCACCTCTTATTCCCCACTGAGCCCTGAGGAGACTGCACCATTGACCATCTCTGCCCCGCTTCTAGCTGCTGAGCATTGTCCTCTTGCTGCAATTTACTCCCCCATGTGCCTAATACTTATCTTTTACATTCTCTGCAGTATCATCTAGTCAAAACTTGTACAATGAACTTCAAGTCCAGGTCCTTTCCTGTCTCAGTTTACCTGTCCAGTTGACCTTACTGCGTATTTCATGGTAGAGTTCAAGATTACTTGATTTTTCCCTCCTCTTTATTTTATGATTTTTGTGTTTTCTCATCCTTAGCTTCAGTCTCAGAGAAAAGTACTCATCCTCCTCTCCGAGGCTAATTTCTCTACTTATGTCCTTGATTTCATCCTCTTTTGTTTGCCTTAGACCCTTGTTACTCTCTTTGTTTTATATCACAAATAAAAACAAAACAACATAATTTCCCTGAATTGTGTAACCTACCCAAACTACTTTGTTATCTCTTCTTTGCTTCCCCAACAACCTTCTTGAAAAATGAGTTTGTATTCAGTGTCTTAGCTTCCTCACCTTGTATACATTTCTAATATGGTTTGGCTTCTTCACTTATGCTTTCCCAAAACTGATGTCTTTAAGGTCACCGAAAGCTTTTTTTGTGTGGGATTACTTTTTTATTGAGGTTTGACAAATCAAAGGTTCATTCAGTCCATGAAATATTACAGAATGAGTACCTGTATGATCACAACTCACATCAGGATGGAGAACATTCCCAGTACCCTAGAATGCTCCCTGTGCTTTCTCCTAGCACTACTCTTTTACAGATGTAACCTCCCTCACCACCTCTGTCACTATAGATTTGTTTTGAACTAATACTTCATATAAATGGAATCATAGTGTGTACTGTTTTGTGACCAGATTCTTTCATTCGGATCATGTCTTGAGACTCATCCATGTTGTTGCTTGTAGAAACAGTTCTTTTTCATTGCTGTGTAATTTTCCATTGTATGAATGTATTGTGATGGTTACTAAAACTTATTTTTGTTTTTGAGACAGGATCTCACTCTGTCACCCACGCTGGAGTGTAGTGGTGCCGTCATAGCTCACGGCAGCCTTGAACTCCCAGGCTCAAGTGATCCTCCTGCCTCAGCCTCCCAAGTAGCTGGGACCATAGGCACATACCACCATGCCCAGCTAATTTTTTAATTTCTTTTTCTTTTTCTTTTTGAGACAGAGTCTTGCTCTCTCGCCCAGGCTGGAGTGCAGCGGCACATTCTCAGCTCACTGCAACCTCTGCCTCCCGGATTCAAGCGATTCTCTTGCCTCAGCCTCCCGAGTAGCTGGGATTACAGGCATGCACCACCATGCCTGGCTAATTCTCTATTTTTAGTGGAGATGGGGTTTCACCATGTTGGCCAGGCTAGTCACGAGCTCCTAACCTCAGATGATCTGCCCGCCTTGGCCTCCCAAAGTGCTGGGATTACAGGCGTGAACTACCACGGCCTAATTTTTTATTTTTTGTAGAGGTGGTATCTTACCATGTTGCTCAGGCTAGCCTCGAACTCCTGGGCTCAAGTGATTCTCCCACCTTGACCTCCCAAAGTGCTGGGATTATGGGCATGAGTGCCCAGTTTGTTTTTCAAATTGAAATATAATTCATGGCTACTTGTGAAAAGTTTTCATTGTGAAATAGTTACAGAGAGAAATATGTAAAAGTCCTGGGAACCTTTAAATTACTAAATCTGATAGTCTTTTCCTCATCTTGTCTGACCTCTGTGAACTATTTGTCACTGTTGACTGTGTGTTCCTTGTTGACATTTTTTTCTTTTTTAATATTATAATATCCATTCTGTTACTGCTTCTCTAACTGCTCTCTTGTGTGTCTTTGTCTTGTGTTTTCTCTTCCTGTTCCTGAAATGTTCCTTGAGGACATGTCCTCTGTCCTTAGCTTGATCCTTTATTGTGCTCTATTTAGCAGGCTCATTCTGTTTGTAGATGTTGAGGATGTAGAACAAGGGTCTGCAGTCCTCTTTATTTATGGCATTGTGTCACAGAACATCCTTGTAAAGTGAGCTGAGTCTCTTTAGGTGTGACCTCTTTCCTTAGCTCTACATTTCCATTTTTGTGCTTAACATTTCCACCGTAGACTCATCATTTGTGTTCTTAACATTTGTGATTTTTTTTTTTTTTTGAGACAGGGTCTCACTTTGTTGCCCAGGCTGGAGTGCAGTGGTGGGACCTCAGCTCACTGCAACCTTCGCCTCCCAGGCTCAAGTGATTCTCCAGCTTCAGCCTCCCCAGTAGCTGGGATTGCAGGCGTCCGCCACCACGCCTGGCTAATTTTTGTATTTTTAGTAGAGACGGGGTTTCACCATGTTGGCCAGGCTGATCTCGAACTCCTGACCTCAGGTGATCCACCCACCTCGGCCTCCCAAAGTGCTGGGATTACAGGTGTGAGCCACTGTGCCCGGCCTAACATTTGTGAGTTTTATAATTTGATAGTGACCTTGAAAGTTCATAATTTGTAATAATTTATGATTTTAAAAAGGCCAAAATTTTCATTGTATGTGTCGAGACTGGTTGAATTCTATTTATTTGGGTAGTAAGAGCCCAGCTGATCAGCAAGCATCTACATCTCACACGTAACTTTTTTTTCCCTTTCTCATGACATGGAACAGTGCTTGTTACAGTTTTTATTATACTAGTATTTAAGAATACGTTCTAATCAGGATGTAGGACTTGGATCTCCAGAAGGTCAGTGGTTTACTGTATCATGAAAATAGAATAATTTCTGTGTTGAAATGTGCTTCTCTCTGTATCTTTCCTTTTTGTCATCCAACATGAAATTATATCCATGGCTTTTTTTGTTTGTTTTATTTTGAGATGGAGTCTTGCTCTGTCGCCCAGGCTGGAGTGCAGTGGCGCGATCTCGGCTTATTGTAACCTCTGCCTCCCAGGTTCAAGCGTTTCTCCTGTCTCAGCCTCCTGAGTAGCGCATGCCTGGCTAATTTTTTGTATTTAGTAGAGATGGGGTTTCACTGTGTTGCCCAGGCTGGTCTCGAACTCCTGAGCTCAGGCAATCCACCCGCCTTGGCCTCCCAAAGTATTAGGATTACAGGCGTGAGCCACCGTGCCTGGCCCACATCTGTAGTCTTTTACTTCTTCTCCTTTGACTCCCTTAGCCAGTCTGGCATTAGGTTCTCTCGATTCTGCCTTCATGAAATCTTTCAAACCATTATTCCCATTGTCACTACCTTAATTTCATATTTATAAACTTTAGTCTTGGTTGTTGCAGTATCTTAACTGTATTTACTCAGTCTTCAGTCTCTTAACCTCTAATATATTTCACGTTCTATTAACAAAAGATTGGAACTCATTGCCTCCCTGGCTAATGGTAAGTGCTTTATAAATACTCGTTAAATGTTCATTTCATTTCTCCTTATTCATATACCTTCATTAGCTTCTTATTACCCATAGAATTAAGCCTGAAGACCTTGGCATTCAAGATCTACTTGATACTTAGCACTTTTTGTTAGAAGAGTCAGTTAGTTGCCACTTCTCTTGGTTCCTTAGGACCGTCTGCTTTTCTCGATCATGGCATACAATATTAAAATTATCTTGTTTCTCTCATTAGTAAGTTCTTTGAGAGTCAGACTGTTCCATTTACTTCTGTATACCTAGGGCTTAGTATAGTACTTGAAACATAGTTATTTGTGTATTTATTAGAAACATAGATATTTGCTCAATGTCCTAATTGATTGTAAGTCAGTCAAATGAATTCCTCTGAGGCTGTCTTAATCATCATGGTATCTTCAGCCTCTAGTATTTTAACTGGTATGTAATAGACATTCAGTAAGTAATTGTTTATTGTTAGGCACTTTGATATACTTTAATTAGTCATCAGTTTGAGAAGCTCTTTATTCTCTGCTTCCGCATATTAAAATTCTACTCAGTTTTCCAGGCCTAACTCAAATGCCACAGAAACTTCTGTGAGGCCAGGTGTGGTGGCTCATACTTGTAATCCCAGCACTTTGGGAGGTTGAGCAGGCGGGTTGCTTGAGCTCAGGAGTTTGAGACCAGACTGAGCAACATGGTGAAACCCCATCTCTACAAAAAATACAAAAATTAGTCGGGGTTGGTGGTGCGCGCCTGTGGGCCCAGCTACTTGGGAGGCTGAGGTGGGACCCCTGGAAGTTGAGGCTGCAGTGAGCCAAGGTTGTACCACTGCACTCCAGTCTGGGTGACAGAATGAGACCGTGTCTCGTAAAGAAAGCAAAAAACAAACAAACAAAAAACAAAAACAAAACCACACACCCAAAAAGAAACTCTTCTGCAAAGTTGTTTTTCCACATGGGATCCTAGGAGGATCCTTAATTGGGCTTCAGGAAATCTGTGAATGTCCTGAAATTCCAGTTCTCAAAATTCTGTGGTTTAAAAGTGAAAGCTTAGGTTCCAAGAGATCAAATGCAAAAATGACTGGAAAGCACATAATAAGTAGGTGCTTAATAAGTAGTCTTATCTCATTTTGTTTCTGTAACATATTGTTTGATCCATTCCTGGTCATATAAAGTAGATGCTGAATAAATATTTGCTGAATGAAAGGATGAATCAGTGTTTTAGCACTTTCAACTTTCTGTGTTCATTTGTATTTCATTTTTGCTTTTAAGTTGCATGTTATTGAAGGTAAGAACTATGTCATCATTTTGTCTAACAATGCAGAGCTAAAGGCTTTGCTCACAATAGGTGCTCAGTCATTATTTATTGAATGAATGAATGGAGAATGATTCAAATATTTTGAATTTTGGTAATTTGAGTAATAATGGTTATATGATAGGAGTAGACAAAGGAAATAGAATATTTTTGAGGATGGCAGAAGATGAGTTCAACTTTAGTTCCTAAAATACCCTCAGTGTGACAGAAATTTTAAAAAATTATTTTAATGGAAATCAGAACCTCTTTCCTCTGCATTACAGGGTTAGTACATTGGGAAAAGCATAGGGCAGAAAGCACACAGAAGGGAAGCTGCGTAATATATATAGGGAACTATAATCGGTTTGTTATTGCCAGACCCAGAGCTTTACGTTGAAGGTGTAAATGCTAGGTTAGAGATTAAAGAAGCCTTGATTGTTGAGGGTCTTTAGTGTGATATAAAAGGATAATTGGCTGGGTGTGGTGGCTCACGCCTGTAATCCCAGCACTTTGGGAGACCAAGGTGGGTGGATCACCTAAGGTTAGGAGTTTGAGACCAGCCTGGCCAACATGATGAAACCCCATCTCTACTAAAAATACAAAAATAGCCAGGCGTCTTGGTGGGCGCCTGTAATCCCAGCTACTTGGGAGGCTGAGGCAGGAGAATTGCTTGAACCCGGGAGGTGGAGGTTGCGGTGAGCCAAGATCGCGCCACGGTACTCCATCCTGGGCGACAGAGCGAGACTCCATCTCAAAAAAAAAAAAAAAAAAAGGATAATAAGTAGGGGAGCAGTATATTCTTTTTTTTTTTTTTTGAGGCAGTCTTGCTCTGTGGCCCAGGCTGGAGTGCAGTGGCACGATCTCAGCTCACCGCAACTTCCACCTCCCAGGTTCAAGCTATTCTCCTGCCTCAGCCTCCCAAGTAGCTGGGATTACAGGCATTGGCCACCATGCCTGGCTAATTTTGTATTTTAGTAGAGACGGAGTTTTTCCATGTTGGTCAGGCTGGTCTCAAACTCCCGACCTCAAGTGATCCACCTGGCTCGGCCTCTCAAAGTGTTGGGATTACAGGCGTGGGCCACCGTGCCTAGCCGAGAGCAGTATATTTCTTTTTTTTTTTTTTTTTGAGACGAAGTCTCGCTCTTGTCTCCCAGGCTGGAGTGCGATGGCACGATCTCGGCTCACTGCAGCCTCCCCCTGTGGGGTTCAAGCAATTCTCCTGCCTCAGCCTCTCGAGTACCTGGGATGCCACCACGCCCAGCTAATTTTTGTATTTTTGTATTTTTTTTTTTTTTTTTTGAGACGGAGTCACGCTCTGTCGCCCAGACTCGAGTGCAGTGGCGCGATCTCGGCTCACTGCAAGCTCCGCCTCCCGGGTTCGCGCCATTCTCTTGCCTCAGCCTCTGGAGTAGCTGGGACTACAGGCGCCCACCACCACGCTCGGCTAATTTTTTTGTATTTTTAGTAGAGACGGGGTTTCACTATGTTAGTCAGGATGGTCTCGATCTCCTGACCTCGTGATCTGCCCTCCTTGGCCTCCCAAAGTGCTGGGATTATAGGCGTGAGCCACCGCACCCGGCTTTTTTTTTTTTTTGACACAGAGTCTCACTTTGTCACCCAGGCTGGAGTGCAGTGGCCTGATCTTGGCTCACTGCAAGCTCTGCCTCCCGGGTTCCCGCCGTTCTCCTGCCTCAGCCTCCCGAATAGCTGGGACTACAGGCGCCCGCCACCACGCCCAGCTAATTTTTTTGTATTTTTAGTAGAGACGGGGTTTCACTGTGTTAGCCAGGATGGTCTTGATCTCCTGACCTCGTGATCCGCCTGTCTCGGCCTCCCAAAGTGCTAGGATTACAGGCGTGAGCCACTGCGCCTGGCCTAATTTTTGTATTTTTAGTAAAGATGGGGTTTCACCATGTTGGCCAGGCTGGTCTGGACCTCCTGACCTCAGGTGATCTGCCCGCCTTGGCCTCCCAAAATGCTGGAATTACAGGTGTGAGCCACCGCGCGCGGCACAGGAGCAGTATATTCTTATTTGTGTTTTAGTTGGATTACTCTGGCAACTGTGTGGAGGATAGGATGCAGGACATGCTGTTTGAGACATGAGCATTTGAGAAATCTTCCGAGTTTTCAGTGCAAAAGTTTATTTGACCTCCTTTCCCTCTTATCCAGGGTATGGGTAAGGGCTAGCTCCTAAAAAGGTGTTAACTTTGAAATATTTAGTTTCATCAAAAGTACTGGGAGCAGAGAGTCTATGGTGGCTTGAAGCAGGTTGGCAAATGTTCCCTGATGAGGGTAGGACACATGTGATTACAGAGTTTTCCCATCATTGTTCTGGATGTCTCTTGGCCTAAAGATCAATCTGTAAGCCTTTTTTTTTTTTTTTTTTTTTAGACGGAGTCTCGCACTGTTGCCCGGGCTGGAGTACAGTGGTACCATCTTGGCTCACTGCAACCTCCGCCTCCCAGGTTCAAGTGATTCTCCTGCCTCAGCCTCCCAGTAGCTGGGATTACAGGCATGTGCCACCACGCCTGGGTAATTTTGTATTTTTAGTAGAGACTAGGTTTCTCCATGTTGGTCAGGCTGTCTCAAACTCTCGACCTCAGGTGATCCGTCCACCTCGGCCTCCCAAAGTGCTGGGATTACAAGCATCGGCCACTGTGCCTGGCCCTACTCCTATTTTTAATAGTCCGTGTAACATTTTCATTTGGATAGCTCAGAGACCTCTCAAACTTAACATGTCCAAAAATGAAGTCTTGATTTTCACTTTCTAGTCTGCTTCTTCCCCAGTCTGCCTCATGTCAATAGATGGCACTACTCATTTACCAGAACAAAACTGGAGGTTGTGTTTGATTTTTTTCTTAACCTTACCTGTATTCCACATTCAGCCCCTCAGGTCTGTTTGCTGCTACAGTTGTCCCTCAATATCTCTCGGGGATTGAGTACATGACCCCCTGCAGATACCAAACTCTGGTATGCTCAAGTTCTATCTATAAAATGGCATAGTATTTGCATGTAACCTATGTATATCCTCCCATGTACTTTAAATCATCTCCAGATTATTTATAATATATAATACAATGTAAATGCTATGTAAATAACTGTTACACTCTATTACTTAGGGAATAGTGACAAGAAAAAAATATCTATACATGTTCAGTATAGATGGAACTATTCATTTTCTTTTTCTCTGCATACAGTCATGTTCCGCATAATTATGTTTTAGTCAATGATGGATGACATACAAGATGGGGGTCCCATAAGATTATTATTATTATTATCATTTTTTTTTTGAGACCGAGTCTTGCTCTGTTGCTCAGGCTGGAGTGCAGTGGTGCGATCTCAGCTCACTGGAACCTCTGCCTCCTGGGTTCAAGCAATTCTCCTGCCTCAGCCTCCCAAGTAACTAGGATTACAGGCAGCCGCCACCACGCCTGGCCAATTTTTTTTTTTTTTTTTTTGAGACGAAGTTTTGCTCTTGTCCCCCAGTCTGGAGTGCAGTGGCACGATCTTGGCTCACTGCAACCTCTGCCTTCCGGATTCAAACAATTCTTCTGCCTCAGCCTCCCGAGTAGCTGGGATTACAGGCTTCTGCCACCACACCTGGCTAATTTTTATATTTTTAGTAGAGACAGTGTTTCACCATGTTGGCCAGGCTGGTCTCGAACTTCTGACGTCAGGTGAGCCGCCCACCTCGGCCTCCCAAAGTACTGGGATTATAGGCATGAACCACTGCGCCTGGCCAGATTATAATTTTTTTATTAAAATTTTTTTTTAAATAGAGATGAAGTCTTGCTATGTTGCCCAGGCTGGTCTTGAGCTCTTGGCCTCAAGCAATCCTTCTGCCTTGGCCTTCCAAAATGTTGGGATTATAAGCATGAACTATTATGCCTGGCTTCCCATAAGATTATAACAGAGTTGAAAAATTTCTATTGCCTAGTGACATCTAGCTATTACAACATTGTAGTGCAACACATTACATGTTCATGGTAATGCCTGTGTAAAACCTACTGCACTGCTGTGGTATAAAGGTACAGCACATAGAGTTAGTGCATGCACAGCACATAATACCTAATGATGATAATATACAACTATGTTACTTGCTTATGTATTTACCATACTATACTTTCTACTGTTATTTTAGAGTGTACCCCTACTTATTAAAAAAAAAAGTTAACTGTAAAACAGCCTCAGACAAGTCCTTCAGTGTAATTCCAGGGAAGGCATTGTTACCATAGGAGATGACAGCTCCATGTCACCTCCATTATTGCTCCATTATTGCCCCTGAATACCTTCCCATGGAACAAGATGTGGAGGTGGAAGACAGTGATATTGATGATCTCGACCCTGTGTAGGCCTAGGCTAGTGCGTATGTTTGTATCTTACTTTCTAACAAAACAGTTTAAAAAGTAAAAAAAGAAAATTTTTTTAATAGAAGAAAGCTTATATAATAAGGATAATGAAAGAAAATATTTTGTATAATGTAAACACATACACCAAGGCGGGTGTATCACCTGAGGTCAGGAGTTTGAGACCAGCCTGGCAAACATGGCAAAACCCCGTCACTACTAAAAATACAAAAATTAGCCCAGCGTGGTGGCGCACGCCTATAGTTCCAGCTACTTGGGAGGCTGAGGCAGGAGAATTGCTTGAACCCGGGAGTTGGAGGTTGCAGTGAGCCAAGATCACGCCATTGCACTCCAGCCTGGGCGACAAGAGCGAAACTCTATCTCAAAAATAAAAAGAAAAAGCTATCTTGACCTTTGATTTGTTGGTGTTATTAAACTGTTCTTTTATTTTATTCAGCTTGAAAGGAGACTTTAATTTGTGCATTTTCCCCTTCAGGGAAACTTTTATGGATTTTTTTATTAAGTAACTGGCTTAGAAGATAGAATAGTCTCCCTAGGTTTTAGAATGTAATTAAGAAAAATTCAGCCCAAGGGAAC
Source organism: Homo sapiens (assembly GCF_000001405.40). Taxonomy (NCBI): domain Eukaryota; kingdom Metazoa; phylum Chordata; class Mammalia; order Primates; family Hominidae; genus Homo; species Homo sapiens. The sequence goes on from NC_000001.11 coordinate 45,815,001, forward strand.
CATGTGTTAAAATTAGGTGATACCATCTTAGTTGTACCAGCTTGAGTGTAGGTTCCTTAAGAGTGAACCTGAGTAGTAGATGCATATATCCTTTAACCATTAATTTGTTGGAGATTAATAAGCTACATCGTTTCTTTGCCGTTATTTCAGCAAAGCAGAAGTAATATAGTTTTGTCAGATCTTCTTTTTTTTTTTTTTTGAAACTGTCTCCCAGTCTGGAGTGCAATGGCGTGATCTCGGTTCACTGCAACCTCTGCCTCCCAGGTTCAAGTGATTCTCCTGTCTCAGCCTCCTGAGTAGCTAGGACTACAGGCACATGCCATCACACCCAGCTAATTTTTATGTTTTTAGTAGAGATGGGGTTTCACCATGTTGGGCAGGCTAGTCTTGAACTCCTGACCTCAGGTGATCCACCCTCCTCAGCCTCCCTAAGTGCTGGGATTACAGGTGTGAGCCACCGTGACTGGTCAGACTTTCTATCTGTTAGGCTTTCAGGAATGTTTTGAAAAGCAGAGGATTTAGAAATAGTTGTTAATAGTTTTTTTTTAAAGTCCTTAAGTTATTTCATAGGGGTGTTACCAAGGTGATTTTTGTTTAAATGACCCAGGAACATTTAAGTTCTACCTTTAACCAGTAAGAGAAAGTGATACTTTGTGACTAGCTCAGTCTTTGGTCTTTTATATTAAAGAACATTACTTGCTGTAACTGATTCACAAGGACCCCTTGATTGAGGTGCTTCCATTTTCTACACATGGCTTCCAAGTTCAGCTGAGGAAAGTGGAGGATGGGCCAATCCTAGAAATGGATTAATCACTTCCACTCATATTCCATTGCCAGAACTCAGTTTCAGGGCCATGCCTAACTACTGGAGGGCTGGGAAATGTCATGTGGCCTGTGCCTAGGAGGAAGGTGAATCATGCTTGATCAACATCTAACTAGTCCCTGCCACAGGACTCAAACCCCAATGTAGTCCTTAGCTTAGAACCATACAGAAATCCATTTATTTTGGTTATAGACAGCCTGGAACCATAGCCTCCTCTTTTTCCTTGTAGACACACAGAGTTTTGAGTTATAACAATTTTGAATGCAAGTAAAGGCCTTTTTCCCAAGCACAGATAGGAGATCTGGAAAAGCTTTTCTGCAGCCTGTGGCAGAGGTAGTCTCTGGCAACCCCAAGAAAGGCAGCTTGGTATTGGGGGTGGGGGGGAGAGAGAGAGAGAAAGAGAGAGAGAGAGAGAGAGAGACCCAAGTCCCTTCAAATACCTGGAAAGTCTTCCCAAGAATAACAGATGCAAACAAGCCCAGATCGCAAAGGCTACAATGTATATTTAACTCTTCAATGCCCAGACACTGACAAATACCCACAAGCGTTAAGACCATTCAGGAAAACATGACATCACCAAACAAACTACGTAAGGCACCAGGGACCAATCCTGGAGAGATAGAGATACATGACCTTTCAGACAGAGAATTCAAAATACCCATTTTGAGGAAATTCAGAGAAATACAGGATAACACAGATAAGGAAATCAGAATCCCCTAAGGTAACTTCAGCAAAGAAATGGAAATAATTAAAAAGAACCAAGCTGAAATTTTGGAGTTGAAAAATGCAGTTGATATACTAAGGAATGCATCAGAGTCCTTTAATAGCAGAACTGATTAAGCAGAAGAAAGAATTTATTTATTTATTTATTTTTTGAGATGGAGTCTCGCTCTGTTGCCCAGGCTGTAGTGCAGTGGCGTAATGGCTCCCTGCAACCTCTGCCTCCCAGGTTCAAGCGATTCTCCTGGCTCAGCCTCCCAAGTAGCTGGGATTACAGGTGTGTGCCACCACACCTGGCTAATTTTTTTGTTTTTTAGTAGAGACGGGGTTTCACCGTGTCAACCAGGATGGTCTCGATCTCCTGACCTCGTGATCCACCTGCCTCGGCTTCCCAAAGTGTTGGGATTACAGGCGTGAGCCACAGTGCCTGGCCCCAGAAGAAAGAATTAGTGAGCTCGAAGACAGGCTATTTGAAAATACACAGCCAGAGGAGACAAAAGAAGAAAAAGATAAAAAGGAATAAAAAGCATGCCTACAAGATCTAGAAAATAGCCTCCAAAAGGCAAATCTAAGCGTTTTGGCCTTAAAGAGGAGGTAGAGAGATAGGGGTAGAAAGTTTATCGAAATGAATAACAACAGAGAACTTCCCAAACTTAGAGAAAGATTTCTATATTCAAGTATAAGGTTCTAGAATGCCAAGCAGATTTAGCCCAAAGAAGACTATCTCAAGGCATTTAATAATCAAACTTCTAAAGGTAAAAGATGAAGGATCCTAAAAGCAGTAAGAGAAAAAACACAAATAACATACAATGGAGCTTCAATATGTCTGGGACCAGACTTTTCAGTGGAAACCCCTTACAGGCCAAGAGAGAGAGGCATGACATATTTAAAGTGCTGAAGGAAAAAACTTCTACCCTAGAATAGTATATCTGGTGAAAATATTCTTCAAACATGAAGGAGAAATAACGACTTCATAAGACAGAGAAGTCGAGTAATTTCATCAACACCAGACCTGTCCCACACAAATGCTAAAGGGAGTTCTTCAATCTGAAAGAAAAGGATGTTAATGAGCAATAAGAAATCATCTGAAGGTACAAAACTGACTGGTAATAGTAAGTACACAGAAAAACACAGAATACTATATTAATAACAATAATTATGGTGTATAAACGACTCATATCATGAAAAGATGAATTGATCAAGAATAATAACTACAACAACTTTTCCAGACATAGTATGGTATTAGGTTGTTGCAAAAGTAATTGTGGTTTTGGACTGTGAATTTTAAATCATTATAACTAGGCTCAAACACATCTTTATTAATCAAAATAGGAACCATTACAATCAACACATTTTCGCCAATGAGAAATGTTTGTTCTTGTTGTGTAAAAATCCATGCTTTGGGATTTGACGAACTCTTGGAAAGAATGTTCTGCATCCTGCTGGTCATGGAAATGTTTTCTCTGCAAAACGTTGTCGAGATGCTTGAAGAAGTGGTAGTTGGTTGGTGAGAGGTTAGGTGAATATGGCGGGAGGGAAAACTTCATAGCCCAATTCGTTCACTTGTTGAAGCTTGGTTGTGTGATGTGCAGTTGGGTGTTGTTGTGGAGAATTGGGTCCTTTTTGTTGACCAATGCTGGTGTCAGGCGTTGCAGTTTTTGGTGCATCTCATTAAGATTGCTGAGCATACTTCTCAGATGTTATGCTTTCACTGGGGTTCAGAAAGCTGTAGTGGATCAGACTGACAGCAGACCACCAAACAGTGACCGTGACCTTTATTTGATGCAAGTTTGGCTTTGGGAAGTGCTTTGGAGCTTCTTCTCAGTCCAGCCACTGAGCTGGTTGTCACAGGTTGTCATATAAAGTCCACTTTTCCTTGCATGTCACAGTGTGATCGAGAAGTGGTTCATTGTTCTGTAGAATAAGAGAAGATGACACTTCAAAATGATGATTATTTGATTTTCACTCAGCTCATGAGGCACCCACTTAACGAGCTTTTTCACCTTTTCGATTTGCTTCAAATGCTGAATGACTGTAGGATGGTCGATGTTGAGTTCTTCGGCAACTTCTTGTGTAGTTCTAAGAGATGATTGCTCACAATTGGTCGTTGTGAACTTCCGATGGTCGGCCACTACACTCCTCACCTTCAAGGCTTGCCTCCTTTGCAAAACTTTTTGAACCACCACTGCACTGTACAGTTGTTAGCAGTTCCTCTCCAAATGCATTGTTGATGTTGTGAGTTGTCTCCTTTGCTTTACGACCCATTTTGAACTTATTCAAAAATTGCTCATATTTGCTTTTTATCTAACTTCATTCCCATAGTCTAAAACATAAACAGCAAGTAAATAAGTCTCTAGCCAAAAAACATAAAAAATGAACATTAAAATGATGTATAATATAATGACATTTATTTAAGAATGTATTCCAAGACCGGGCATAGTGGCTCATGCCTGTAATCCCAGCACTTTGGGAGGCTGAGGTGGGTGGATCACCAGAGTTCAGGAGTTCGAGACCAGCCTGACCAACATGGTGAAACCTTGTCTCTACTAAAAATACAAACTTAGCCAGGCATGGTGGCACACACCTGTAATCCCAGCTACTTGGGAGGCTGAGGCAGGAGAATCGCTTGAACCCAGGAGGCAGAGGTTGCAGTGAGCCGAGATCATGCCATTGCACTCCAGACTGGGCAACAAGAGCAAAGTCTGTCTCAAAAAAAAAAAAAAAAAGAATGTATTCCAATATCAGATGACAAATTCTAATCATGCAAACCACCGCAATTACGTTTGTACCAACCTAGTAGTACTGGAAGTCTTAACTATGGTAATTAGACAAGAAAAAGAAATAAAGGGTATCCAAATTGGAAAAGAAGTCAAATTATCCTTGTTTGCAGATGATTTGATCTTATATTTGGCAAAAGCTTAAAGACTTCACCAAAAAACTATTAGAACTGATAAATTTAGTAAAGTTGCAGGATCCAAAGTCAACACACAGAGATCAGTAGTGTTTCTGTATGCCAACAGTGAACAATCTGAAAAAATCAAAAAAGTAACCCCATTTACAGTAGCTGCAAATAAAATACCTAGGGATTAACCAAAGAGATGAAAGATCTCTCTAATGAAAACTATTAAACACTGATGCAAGAAATTGAAGAGGACATTAAAAAAATGAAAAGATATTTCATGTTCATGGATTGGAAAAATCACTATTAAAATGTCCATAGTACCCAAAGCAATCTACAGATTCAATACAATCCATATTCAAAATACCAATGACATTCTCCACAAAAATAGAAAAAACAATTCTAAAATTTACGTGGAACCACAGAGGACTCAGAATAGCCAAAGCTATCTTCAACATAAAGAAGAAAACTGGAGAAATGACATTACCTGACTTGAAATGATACTAGAAAGCTATGGTAACCAAAACAACATGGTACTGACATAAAAACAAACAGAGACCAATAGAACGGAATAGAGAACCCATTAATAAATCCATACATTTACAGTGAACTGGTTTTTGACAGAGGTGCCAAGAACATACTTTGGTAAAAGGACAGTCTGTACAATAAATGGTTCTCGGAAAACTGGAAATCTATATGCAGATATCTACATGCAGAAGAGTGAAACTAGATCCCTATCTCTTCCCATATACAAAAATCAAAAATGTATTAAAGATTTAAATCTTAAACTGCAAACTCTGAAACTACTAAAAGAAAACTTTGGGGAAACTTGCTAGGACATTGGTTTGGGCAAAAATTTCTTGAGCAATAAATACCCCACATGCAGAGGCAACCAAAGCAAAACTGGATCAAGGGGATCTTTTCTCACTTCCTTTTGTGTGTGTTTTTTAGAATTTTTTTTTGGTTGCTATGGGGATTACATGTAACATACTAAATTTATAACAGTCTAGTTTGAAATGGTACCAGTTTAACTTCTGTAGTATACAAAAACTTTATTCCTGTATAGCTCCATTTCCTTGATAAGTTGTTTTTGTGGCAGATTACATCTTTATTCATTGTGTGCTAAATATCATAGATTTATAATTTTTTAATGCTTTTGTCTTTTAAGTCATATAGGGAAAAAAGGTGGAGCTGAAAAACAAAAATAGAATAATACTGGCTGTGATATTTGTCCATATGGTTACCTTTGCTGGGGATCTTTATTTTTTATTTTTTGGATCTTCATTTTTTCAGATGGCCTTAAGTTTCTGTTTAGTGTCCTTTCATTTCAACTTGAAGATGCCTTTTAGGATTTGATGTAGAACATATGTAGTGGTGATGGACTCTGTCTGCTTTTTTTTTTTTTTTTCTTAATCTGAAAATGCCTCGATTTCAATTTCTCTTTCTTTCTCTTTTTTTTTTTTTTTTTTTTTTTTGAGTCAGAGTCTTGCTCTGTTTCCCGGGCTGGAGTGTAGTGGTGCAATCTTGGCTCACTGCAGTGTTGACCTCCTGGGCTCAAGCAATTTTCTTGCCTCATCCTCCTGAGTAGCTGGGACCACAGGTACATGTCACCATGCCCAGCTAACTTTTATGTGTTTTGCAGAGACAGAGTTTCGCCATGTTGCCCAGGCTGATCTCAAACTCCTGGGCTCAAGCAATCTCCCTACCTTGGCCTCCCAGAGTGTTGGGATTACAGGTGTGAGCCACTGCACCCAGCCTTTATTTTTTCCTCATTTTTGAAGGACAGTTATGCTCAAGATAGAATTCCGTATGTCATCCTACTCACTTCTGGACTCCACAGTTCTGATGAGATATGAGCTGTTCGTCTGATTCAGGATCTCCTGTATTTGACAAGTTGCTTTTCTCTTGCTGCTTTGAATATTATTTCTTTGCCATTGGCTTTGACAGTTTGGTTATCATGTGTCTCCATATGAACCTTTTTGAATTTAACCTGCTTAGAAGTCACGGAGCTTCTTGGATGTGTAGATTTGTATCTGTCATCACATTTGGGAAGTTTTGGTATGTTATTTCTTCTTTTTTTTTTTTTTTTTTTTTTTGAGACAGAGTCTCGTTCTGTTACCCAGGCTGAAGTGCAGGGCAGGATCTTGGCTCGCTGCAACCTCTGCCTCTTGGGTTCAAGTCATAACTGTGCCTCAGCCTCCCGAGTAGCTGGAACTACAGGCATGCACCACCACGCCAGCTGATTTTTGTATTTTTATTAGAGACGGGGTTTCACCATGTTGGCCAGGCTGGTCTCAAACTCCTAACCTCATGATCTGCCCGCCTTGGCCTCTCAAAGTGCTGGGATTACAGGCGTGAGCCATGGTGCCCGGCCTCTTCACATGTTCTTACTGCCCCCTTCTCTTCTAGAATTCCCATATTCATATATTGTTTCACCTTCACCTTTTTTTTTTTTTTTTTTTTGGTGACAGAGTGTTGCTCTGTCACCCAGCCTGGAGTGCAGTGGTGTGATTTCTGCTCACTGCAACCTCCACCTCCCAGGTTCACGCGATTCCTGTGCCTCAGCCTCCCAAGTAGCTGGGATTACAGGCACGTGCCATCACGCCCAGCTAATTTTTGTATTTTTAGTAGAGATGGGGTTTTGCCATGTTGGCCAGGCTGGTCTTGAACTCCTGACCTCAAATGATCCACCCACCTCAGCCTCCCAAAGTTCTGGGATTACAGGCATGAGCCACCGTGCCTGGCTATTTTCAGTGTTTTAATCTTGATGCTGCTTAGTGGGTCTGTTCAATTTGTGAAAATTCATTGAGTTCTATGCTTAGGTATGTGTACTTTTCTAAAATGAGTAATGTACTTCAGTAAAAGTTAAAAATCCTAGCTTAAAAGTTCAAATTTCATATTTAATTTATATTTCCTTTCCTTTGCCAGGTTTTGACTCGAAGAGACTTGCAGTAAGAAGGGGTGTGATCCTCTCTTTCTTTTCTCCTCTCCTCTGTTATCTGGTTTCTTTACTTTGGTGTCTTGTGGGAAGGAATAGGGAAATTGAAAAGTGTATGTGTTTCTCTTAATTGGTACTGATCAAATTCTTTCTTGATTGTTCTTTCTCTGGCTAAGACGGATTATTCATCCATACAGTGTAGCAGGCATCCAAATGCTGGTTCTCCCATGCAGCTGGTTGTAAGTTTTTTTGAGATAGGATCTTTCCCTCTCCACATTGTCTTCATAGAGGATATCCACTTTAGCTTGATGTCTTCCAAGGCCTCCTCAGTTCTCTCTACCTAGAGCTTCTTGCTGTGCTTGTCACCTTTGTGAGTGGCCAACCCTCTTTAATGGATTACCAGCATTAGTCCAAAGTCTGCTTCCTTCCCTGGTTTCTCCTTGATCCATAGGTACTGTTTCATCCTTGACATGCCAAATAGTGCAAATACAAGCTGTTCCCTTGCTACCTTCTGTTTTTGCATTAAGTTCTATTTCCTGTTCCCCGTCTCACTGCTCAGTCCTGCTACAGTTAGGTGCCTGGACACATCAATTGTTTGATTCAGTGCCACAATATCCTCCTTTATCCTTTTATTCACTTACCACCATGTTTTGAAATTGTCTTTTTCTTCTTTTCAGGTATTTTTCTTCACCAACTTCACTCTTCTTTTTATGTTTGGGCATTTGTAAATCATGTTTTGGATAGTCACCACCAACCAATATTAGTACTTACCCATTTTTTTGAACTCACTAATCACAATATATAACTGTATAGAATTTTTTTCTTTTTTTTTTTTTTAATCTTAGAGAACTGGAAATTTCCTCCTTTTTTGCCCCTTGTGGCTTTTAGTATTGCTATGGTGCCAGTTACTTGAAGCTTGTTTTTCAAATGGCAGGTGACATGGGGTCAGTTATTCTCTTTTTTTTTTTTTTTTGAGACGGAGTCTCGCTCTGTTGCTCAGGCTGGAGTGCAGTGACATGATCTTGGATCACTGCAACCTCTGCCTCCTGGGTTCAAGCAATTCTCTGTCTCAGCCTCCCGAGTAAGCCGGGGTTACAGGTGCCTGCCACCACGCCTGGCTAATTTTTGTATTTTTAGTAGAGACAGGGTTTCATCATCTTGACCAGGCTGGTCTTGAACTCCCGACCTCATGATCCACCTGCCTCAGACTCCTAAAGTGCTGGGATTACAGGTGTGAGCTACTGTACCCGGCCCAGTTATTCTCTAATGGTTCTTGTCTCTGTACTGTCTAGATCAGTTTGATGTGTTACTTATCTGTATTTGTTACAGCTTCCTTCATTGACATATAATAGATATACCTCATCGGGCTGATTTTTTTCGAAAGTTTCTTATTTATTATAATACTCCTGATTAGGTGGGTGTTGGCTTAAAAATGTCTACATGTTGATGATATTATTGGACACTGCTTACTGAATGAGGAGAAAGAGGTGTTGGAGTGGAATGGGAAGGTTCTGTCAATGTTTTGTATTGCCTGTATTTTCTGATAGTACTTTTATACTTTGAAAACCTGTATTTAGCTCCTCTTATAGGCATATAAAGAAAGCTCTAATATTAATTTTAGCATTAATTGAATGTTAGAGATATTTCTGACTTTATATGCCAGGTAAAGTCTACCATTTAATGATTTTTTTTAAACTAAAATATGCTTTTCTTTATTGGATATAGGAAGGGTATGAATAAAAGGATAAACATAAATAAACTTAACTAAGAAGTGTACTCATTATGAATACTATATCCTGTCAAAATGTCTGTCATCCCATGACCTTTCTCACCTATTTTTCCTTTGGCATTTTAATAATCAATATCCTGTGTCCTTTACAGCATACCTAGCTTTTACTAAGAAATATGTTTCTGGTTTTAGCTATGGAGGGGGAAGTATAATATTTTGGCACTTTTAAATTGTAGTGAATGCTGTAGAGATGTTTAATATAAAGTTTTTATACTTCAGAGGAGATATTAAAGACTCATGTTTTACTCTTTTTCTCTTTGAAGGATGTAGTAACTGGAGTTAGTCCCCTGCTCTTCAGGAAACTCAGTAATCCTGACATATTTTCATCCACTGGAAAAGTTAAACTTCAGCGACAACTGAGTCAGGATGATTGTAAGTTATGGAGAGGAAACCTGGCCAGCTCTCTATCGGGTAAATATCTGATTTTGTTGTTTTAAGAAATGTGGGACCATGTGGTCAATATTTAAGTGTATATTAATTGAATTGGCATCTTGACAGTTTCTTCTCTGGTAGTAGTCTTGTATAGAACATTTATGGTAAGGCTGTCTTCCTCTCCTTACTTCTTCCTCATGGAATCTCTGATTGCTAACCTGTAGGACCTGATAGATATTTCTTGGTTGATCACCACTAGTGGTCACTCTCTCTTACTCTGATTTTTGCTCTCTGCCTATTTCTGTAAACTTTATATTCTTTGCTTCTGTAGATTTTCTTTTTTCCTTCATTCTCAAAACCTAAAACTCATAGTGGCCTCTACCGCCTTCAAAGAAAAGACTTAAAAAATTCAGGGGGAAAAAATTATACGAAGAAGTCACAGTACAAAAGGAAGCAATTACATTGTACATTGTGGCATAATTCTTTTCTTTCCTTTTTTTTTGAGATGGAGTTTCGCTCCGTAGCCCAGGCTGGAGTGCAGTGGTGTGATCTCGGCTCACTGCAAGCTCCGCCTCCCGGATTCATGCCATTCTCCTGCCTCAGCCTCCCGAGTAGCTGGGACTACAGGCATCCGCCACCATGCCTGTCTAATTTTTTGTATTTTTAGTAGAGACGGGGTTTCACTGTGTTAGCCAGGATGGTCTCGATCTCCTGAGCTTGTGATCCGCCTGCCTCAGCCTCCCATAGTGCTGGGATTACAGGCGTGAGCCACCGCGCCCAGCCTCTTATATTTAAATTTTTATTTTTGCTGGTCATATATTTAGTTACATAGAGCCATTTCTTGTTTGGTTTTTCATAACATTCTCCTCTTTTTTTAAAAGGATGCGATTATCTTCTCTTTTTTTTTTTGAGACAGAGTCTCACTTTACTGCCCAGGCTGGAGTTTAGTGGCATGATGTCTGCTCACTGCAACCTCTACCTCCCAGGTTCAAGTGATTCTCCTGCTTCAGCCTCCTGAGTAGCTGGGATCACAGGTGCGCACCACCATGCCTGGCTAATTTTTTTATTTTTGGTAGAGACAGGGTTTCACCATGTTGGCCAGGCTGCTCTTGAACTCCTCACTTCAGGTGATCCGCCTGCCTTGGCCTCCCAAAGTGCTGGGATTACATATGGGAGGTGAGCCACCACGCCTGCCTGGGATGTGATTATCTTCTGATTGTCATGAGTAAATTAGATTTTTTATTTAAAAATGTGGCTGGGTGTGGTGGCTCACGCCCGTAATCACAGCACTTTGGGAGACCAAGGCAGGCAGATCACCTGAGGTCAGGAGTTCAAGACCAGCCTGGCCAACATGGCAAAACCCCGTCTCTACTAAAAATACAAAGATTAGCCGGGCATGGTGATATGTGTCTGTGATCCCAGCCACTCCGGAGGCTGAGGCACAAGAATCGCTTGAACCTGGGAGGTGGAGGCTGAGTGAGCATCATTACACTCCAGCTGGGGCGACAGAGCGAAACTCTGTCTCCAAAACAAAGCCAAACAAAAAAAAAGTAAAGTTTTCTTACCTGGATCAGCTCTTTCTTTTGAGCATCTAACAACCAGAATATTCAGTGTTTTGTTCTAAAATGCTAAATCCCTTTTATCCTGTGAGGTAATTGCATGGCTGCCGGGTACATTGTTGAAATGTGGTTGTGTTTGACTGTTCTTTCTATGGAATTTTCCATTTATCTGATTGCAGCTCGTGTCTTACTTTATGACTTTTGGGGTGCTTTTCATTTCTGAGTGCTTAGTCTAAGAGTTTGCAGGGCAGATGATACCTCACTTTTTTTTGAGACAGGGTCTCCTCTGTCGCCCAGGCTGGAGTGCAGTGGTGTGATCTCAGCTCACTGCAACCTCTGCCTTCTGGGCTCAAGTGATCCTCCCACCTCAGTCTCTTAAGTAGGTAGGACTACAGGTGTGCACCACCACACCCAGCTAATTTTTGTATTTTTAGTAGAGAGGGGGTTTCGCCATGTTGCCCAGGCTAGTCTTGAACTCCTGAGCTCAAGCAGTCCTTCCTTGGCCTCCCAAAGAGCTGGGATTATAGACCTGAGCAACCAGGCCAGGCCAGATACTCCACTTAATTGCAATCCCCTCCATGCTTACTATAGCTTATACCTTTCTTTGCCCAGTTGCATTGGTTACAGTCCATCTATCTGCTTTAGATTTCCCCACAGTTTTTTCACCCCCTCATTATCAGTGTCTGGCTGTTTCTGTCATTATGGCCTTTGTTTGCTTACTTTTTATTTTTATTTATTTATTTATTTTTGACGGAGTCTTACTCTGTCACCAGGCTGGAATGCAGTGGCGCGATCTCGGCTCACTGAAACCTCCGCCTTCCTGGTTCAAGCGATTCTCCTGCCTCAGCCTCCCAAGTAGCTGGGACTACAGGTGCCATGCCACCACACCCAGCTAATTTTTGTATTTTTAGTAGAGACGGGGTTTCACTATGTTGGCCAGAATGGTCTCAATCTCTTGACCTCGTGATCCGCCTGCCTCGGCCTCCCAAAGTGCTGGAATTACAGGCGGGAGCCACCACGCTCTGCCCAGGTTACTTCTTTTGTCTCATTTTTATGGTGTTTCCTGGAGGACAAAAGATAAAAGCATGTGCTTGGTCTGCCATCTTTAACTGAGAATGTTTTATGCATTAGCCTCTTGAATTATTATAAGAATAGTAATTAGAATTTTTAAGAGGTTTTCTTTTTTTCTGTGTTATTTATTTACTAAAGAGCTGCTTGTTATTCTGTTTGTTTATGTTGTTCCTTCCGTTTTATTTATTTTCCTCAAGTTCTTGGCAGTCTGCGGTATGCTTCAGTCTTTACTGGTGTACAGAGTCAAATAGGTTTCTTCTACAGTGTGTAAGCCTCTTTCCCAACAGGCCTTTATTTTGAAGAGAGAGATGATAGTAATCTTTGTGTAAATAGGATAAGTTAAGCTGACTTCCCTTTAGAATTAATAGGTGAGAAGTAGGCAGGTCATCTGGAGAAATGCACATTTGCAGAATGAAGGAAAGAAGGCAGGCAGGCTCTACTCTGGGCTTATGGAAGTTTTGAGCAGAACACCATCATCATCATCATTATTTTTTTTTTATGGAGGGCTTTATGGAAAGACTTTCCAGTAAAAGGTACATTTGAGACTTGAAAACTTAACTAGATTTTAAAAGTATATTGTAATTTTCTAGTAAAACATGCTAGTTATAAAAAATGTCACTACAAAAACATGCATTATGTCAAAGTGAAGTCTTTCCTTTTTTTAAATTTTTTGAGACAGCTTCTCATTCTGTTTCCCAGGCTAAAGTGCAGTGACATGACCATGCCTCACTGAAGCCTTGACCACCTGAGCTCAGGTGATCCTCCCCGCTTCTCCTCAGCCTCCTGAGTAGCTGGGACCACAGGCACACACCACCATGCCTGGCTAATTTTTTTTTTTTCTTGGAGATGAGGTCTTGCTATGTAGCGGAGGCTGGTCTTGAACTCCTGGGCTCAAGTGATCCTCCTGCTTCGGCCTCCCAAAATGCTGGGATTACATGTGTGAGCCACAACACCTGTCCTGAAGTCTTTCTTAATTTTTACTTTCTTCTATGTCTTAATTTTCTTCTGTGGTTAGCTTTGCTAAATTGTTCTCCAAATGAATTGTATCATATTTTGTTGGCAGCAAAAACAAAAATATCCCCCAAGCCCTTTCTTAACATCTTTACTACATTGGGTATTTTCATGACTAAGATTTTACCAGGCACAGAAAGGATTTTCAAGTGAGTTGAGTGATCATGATAAAGCCAGGGGAAAGTGCAGGGCATAATATTGAAGTTGAGTGAGTGAATAAGTGTGGAAAAGAGTCGAAGGAGATGAGACCAGAAAGATAATCTGGATTTATGGAGGGTCTTTTTCATATGCCAAAATGTCTGGCATAATATCTTCAAATAGTAAGGAGCCATCAGAGGCTTTTAAGGAAGGAAATGACATGAACACATTTTTGTTGGTTAGATCACAAGCAAAAGTGTGAAGAATGGTGGGAAGAAGGGGAGAAATGAGACCTTCACCTCATTTATAAAGTCATTGCAGGTCGGGCGTGGTGGCTCATGCCTGTAATCCCAGCACTATGGGAGGCCAAGGCGGGCACATCACCTGAGGTCAGGAGTTGGAGACCCGCCTGGCTAACATGGCAAAACCCCATGTCTACTAAAAATACAAAACATGAGCCAGGTGTGGTGGTGCATGCCTGTAGTCCCAGCTACTCAGGAGGCTGAGGCAGGAGAATCGCTTGAGCCTGGGAGGCAGAGGTTGCAATGAGCTGAGATCACACCACTGCACTCCAGCCTGGGCGACAGTGAGTGACACTCTGTCTCAAAAAAAAAAAAGCCAAAAAACAAAAATCATTGGAATTCCCTATACTTGGTCTTTATAAGTGACTCTCTTTCATTGAGATTAAGGCAGACAGTAAACCTGAACTGAGCACATGGAGTCTAGTGAGAGCAGAATAGGTTCATTGTTTGCCTGCTGGAAACTTGCATCTCTAATGTTACATTGAGGTGATGAGAAACTATGTAGGCTAGAAGGGATTGGAAAACTCCTAGACTGCTAGTTTGGGTGTTAGAGTGGGAGGCTGGCATGTGGTGAATATTATAGAGAACATAAAATAGTTAATCCATTTCAGTGTTCCACTTGCCATTATCATCACCACCAAGACAGTCACAATTTTTAATGGATAGTTGGAAATTTTAATAGATTCTAAAATGGATGTGAACAATTTTACTTTGTATCAGTATGGTTTTATCCACTTGATATCACTGTATTTGTATTTTTTCATTTGTTTATCAATAAATAATTACATGTATATTTTCCAAACCTTGTATTTGAAGGTAAGCAGCTGCTCCCTTTGTCCAGCAGTGTACATAGCAGTGTGGGACAGGTGACTTGGCAGTCGTCAGGAGAAGCATCAAACCTGGTTCGAATGAGAAACCAGTCCCTTGGACAGTCTGCACCTTCTCTTACTGCTGGCCTGGTAAGTGTTCATAAAGGTGGCATTTTGCTCTATGAAAAATCCATAATTGTCATTTGTCATTGCAACATCTATTCTTTTTCCTTTTTAGGATTTGGAGAATTCAGTTTCCCAAAATGAAGTATGGAAGAGAATGAATTTATTATTATTTTTTTTAGAGATAGGGTCTTGCTTTGTTGCCCAGGCTGACTTCGAACTCCTTGGCTGTAGTATTCCTATTGCCTCAACCTTCCAAGTAGCAGGGACTACAGGTACATGTCATGGCATCAGGCTAAGAATGAAATTTTTTTTTTTCTTTTTTTTTTTGAGTTGGATTTTTGCTCTTGTCACCCAGGCTGGAGTGCAATGATGTGATCTCACCTGCCTCCTGGGTTCAAGCAATTCTCCTGCCTCAGCCTTCTGAGTAGCTGGGATTACAGGTGTGCGCCACCACCCCTGGCTAATTTTTTTGTATTACTAGTAGAGATGGGGTTTCACTGTGTTGGCTAGGCTGGTCTTGAACTCCTGACCTCAGGTGATCCTCCCTGCTCGGCCTCCCAAAGTGCTGGGATTACAGGTGTGGGCCACCACTCCCGGCCTTAAGAATGAAATTTTAATTGAATCTTTTTTTTTTTTTTTTTTTGAGATGGAGTCTCACTTTGTTGCCCAGGCTGTAGTGCAATCTCGGCTCACTGCAACCTCTGTCTCCCAGGTTCAAGTGATTCTCCTGCCTCAGCCTCCCAAGTAGCTGGGATTACAGGCACTTGCCACCATACCCCGCTAGTTTTTGTGTTTTTAGTAGAGATGGGGTTTCACCACGTTGGCCAGGCTGGTCTTGAACTCCTGACCTCATGATCCACCCACCTCAGCCTCCCAAAGTGTTGGGATTACAGGCTTGAGCCACTGTGCCTGGCCCAATTAAGTCTATTTTGATTGCCCTCTCATGCTGTCAGTGTCACTGGTACTAATTGTATAGTGAGGGTCAAGGAAAAGATTCTGTAAGGTTGTAACTTCAATGAGTAAATTTTCCTGGGAAAGAACATTCTTTTTATAGAAATGATTCTAAATCTGGTACAGTTGTGCTGCTTTGGTTTACAGCTCTGTGGTATACATATTTAGTACATGAGGACAGGGAACTTGTTTGGCACATCATGGGTACTTAAAGTATATGTATAAGAATGAGGGCCGGGTGCAGTGGCTTACGTCTCTAATTCCTGCACTCTGAGAGTCTGAGGCAGGAGGATCGCTTGAGCCCAGGAGTTCAAGACTAGCCTGGGCAACATAGTTGAGACCTTGTCTATACAAATAATAATAATCATAAAAAAAAAATTAGCCGAGGATGGTGGGGTGTGCCTGTAGTCCCAGCTACTCAGAAGGCTGAGGTGGGATAATCGCTTGAGCCTGAGCAGTTGAAGCTGTAGTGAGTTGTGATTGTGCCACCACACTCTGGCGACAGAGTGAGACCTTGTCTGGAAAAAAAAAAAAAAAAAAAGCCTTTTGTTTGTCTAGGCTTTGTGTGATAGGCAGGGCCTTACAAAATTAAAGCTGTGTAGCCTGGGCAGGTTGCTTTGTTTCTGCCTGTTGTTACAAATTATACCCTTTTATCCTCAAACTTGCTTTTGTACCAAAGGCACCCACTGGCTTTCTGCTCATCTCACACTGTTCCCTCTATCCTTAGGTCTAGGCACCTACTAATTTGTAGGGTACAATAACAGAAACTTGTTACTATTAAAGTCTCATCTACACTTGAAGATATAAGCCTTTTGGGTCAACATATGTGGAGTAGAAAGTTTTGTCCATTTGTTCAATATGGGAAGTGGGAGTAGCGGGGAGGATGTCTTTGTGTAGCAGGTGGGAGGCTAATTTTTGGATCAAAGGATATCCTGATAATACCGAAGTTTGTGATTCTCAGGCCACAGAGAGAATCAGGATCATTTGTGAAAATTCCTACCTCCTTAATTTTTTATTTTGAAATTTTGAAATCTGCAGAAAAATAGACAGAATGGTACAGTGAACACCCATGTAAGTTTTACCTAGACTGACTAATTTGTACATTTTTTCCATATTTGTTTTTTCTGTGTGTATATATGTATTTTTTTCCCGAAGCATTTCAAAGCAAGTCACAGACTAATTACGATACCTCATCCTTAAGTATTTCTCCTAAGGTGAAGGATACTCTCCTAAATAACTACAATATATGACCAGATCTAAGAAGTTTAATAGTTTTTTTTTTTTTTTTTGAGCCTGAGTCTCGCTCTGTCACCCAGGCTGGAGTGTAGTGGTGTGATCTTGGCTCACTGCAACCTCTGTCTCCTGGGTTCAAATGATTCTCCTGTGTCAGCCTCCCAAGTAGCTGGGATTACAGGTGCGTACCACTACACCTGGCTAATTTTTGTATTTTTAGTAGAGATGGGGTTTCACCATGTTGGCCAGGCTGATCTCGAACTCCTGACCTCAAGTGATCCACCTGCCTCGGCCTCTCAAAGTGCTGGGATTACAGGCGTGAGCCACCGCACCTGGCCACATCATTTTAATAGTAACATCTAATAATGTGAAGACCATATTGAGATTTTCCTACTTGGTCCCAACATGTCTATTAAAGCCTCGCCTGCTTCCCTTTTAACCTCTGGAACCTAAAACAAACAAACAAACAAGCAAAAATGGATGAGTGTACCCTCCTAGAGATTTTGATCCAGATGTCTGGGGTTAGTCACAAGCATCTGTGTTTTCTTTTCTTTTCTTTCTTTCTTTTTTTTTTTTTGAGACAGGTTCTCCCTCTGTTGTCCAGTCTGGAGTGCAGTGTCATGATCTTAGCTCACTGCACCCTCTGCTTCCTGGGTTCAAGTAATTCTCATGCCTCCCGAGTAGCTGGGATTACAGATGTGTGCCACCTCACCTGGCTATTTTTTGTCTTTTCAGTAGTGATGGGGTTTTGCCATGTTGGCCAGGCTGGTCTTGAACTGCTGCCTCAAGTGATCCACCGGCCTTGGCCTCCCTAAGTGCTGGGGTTACAGGTGTGAGCCACTGTGCCTGGCCTGTATTTTCTTTAAAGTGTTACCCTGATTCTAACAACGTACTTCTTTGAGAACTACTGCCACCATGATACAGCTGAATATTCCACTTTAAGGTGGTATGTTGCAGAAGGGATTCCCGGACTGAGGTTACTGGAACCTAGGCCAAGTGAGCTAGAATATTCCTGAATTAAGTTTTTTTTAAATTAACAGTTTATTGAGATATAATTCACATATGATATAATTCACCCACTTAAAGTATACAGGTCAGTATTTTTTGGTGTATTTCACAGACATGTACAGCCATCACTGTAGTCAATTTAAGAATATTTTCTTTACTTTAGAAACTGTACTCTTCAGGTATCACCTCCTCATTGTTCCATCCCTAACCCCGCCCCCACACTAGGCAACCACTAATCTACTTTCCACCTCTATAGGTTTGCCTATTCTGTATTTTTCATATAAATCAAATCAAATATGTGGCCTTTTGTGGCGGCTGCTTTCACTTAGTCTAATGTCTTCAAGATTCATCCATGTTGCAGCATGTGTTCCTTTTTGTTGCCGAATAGTATTTTGTTGTATGTATATATCATGTTTTGTTTAGCTGTTCATCAGTTGATTCATTTCCTTCATTCTTCACCTTCATTTTCTAATGTTTATTGAGAGGATTTATCTGAGGGCTTATTTTTCCCATATATGTAGAAATCATGATCCTAATTAGTGATTACCAGGGCATGTTCTAAAAAGGATCATACAATCGTATCATTATATGTGCCTAGGGATGGAGGAGAACTTAGGTGGAATATTGTTCAAGATTAGTTCTTCTTCTTCTTAAAAAAAAATTACATAGAGTGAAAATCTGTTGTTAACAGTGGGTTGTTTCTGCCTTTTGGCTATTATAAGTAATATTGCTATGAACATTCATGTACAAATTTTAATGTAGATATATGTTTTCATTCCTCGTGGATATATATCTAGGAGAGAAGTTGCTGAGTCATATGATAACTGTATTTAATCATTTGAAGAACTTTGATTTCTCTACATCCTTGCTATCCTGGTGGGTGGGAAGTGATATCTTGTGTCTTTGATATGCATTTCTCTAGTGACTCATGATGTTGAGCATCTTTCATGTGCTTACCGGACATTTGTTTGTCTTCTTTGAAGAAGTGTCTATTTGGATTATTGGCCATTTTTAAAATTGAATGTTTCTTTTATTGTAAGTTTGTAAAATAATTGTTTCTTTAGACCTGAATCCAATTTCTTCTCTTTCCCAGGGAACTGCTTTTTGTTTTCTCTTGTGCTTTTTTTTTTTCCTGAGCTACTTATTTACCTACTGTAACTTCAAGCTAGCTCTTCTCTTCCCATTCTCCCGCCTAAAGATTTTCAGTTGAATATTTTATGTTAGGTGGCACATTTGCTAGTTGGTATTAAATACCTATTTCTGCTTTGACCACCCATACTGGAATAAACCTCAGTGTCTACCCTGCTTCTGGCTGTGACATTTCTGAAAAATCTTAACTAGAATGTATTCTCTTTGGAGTAACGGCCGTCTATAGTACATGGACCCAGCCTCCAAAGAACTTTTGGGTTAGCAGAACAGGATTCACATATAATAGGACAACTATTTAAAAATAATAAAACATCACATTTAAATAAATATTGTATTGATTTTTATTTAAATAGTAACAAAAGGGGGCAAGAATTATACTAGTTATAATTATTGGAATGATAACTGGTAGGAGGTTAGACTTGACCAGAGTCTGGAGAATAGATAAGCAAAAGCCTTAAAGTTGCAAATATTTCCATTTTGAGGCCATCTAGATGATGTTTTTATGAAGAGATTTTTGGACTCTTCATTTTCTGATGTCTATTGAGAGGATTTCTCAGAGGACTTATTTTCCCCATATATGTAGGAACCATGATCCTAATTAGTGGTTCCCAGGGCATGTTCTAAAACAGATCGTAGAATCATATTATTTATTATATGTTCTTAGGGATGGAGTAAAACTTAGATAGCGTCTTGTTCAAGATTAGTTATTATTTGTATTCTTAAAATATATATACAGTTAAAATCTGTTGTTAAAAGTGGCATAGGAGAAAGACCCCTGCATTAGAAATCAGAAGACCAAGCTCTGATGCTGCTATGTGAATCTGAATAAACATACTGGAGCCTATGTTCTTCTCAT
The DNA here is from genome assembly GCF_000001405.40 of Homo sapiens. Classification (NCBI taxonomy): domain Eukaryota; kingdom Metazoa; phylum Chordata; class Mammalia; order Primates; family Hominidae; genus Homo; species Homo sapiens. The sequence goes on from NC_000001.11 coordinate 45,834,755, forward strand.
CTGTAAAATGAGGTCAGTTCCTGCTTTGCTTTCTCCTGAGTATGTTAACTAGTATCTGCAGTTTTGATCTTTGCCTTCTGTATCTCTGATGTAAATCCACTTGGCTGTATCACCATTCTAAGACTCACCCTACCTGTCTACTGTCTTTCCATCCGCCCAAGCCAGTTCTTCCTTGTTCATTCCCTGTCTTTTTTTTTTTCCATAATTGAAATTTTATTGGTAGTGTTGAGGATCAGTACACAGACATTTCCATTTGTACACAGTTCTTAACATATCTACTGGAAATCTAAAAAGCCATGTATTGTATTTGTTTTTTAAACAGTTATTCCAGTGACTTTCCAGCTTAAAATTTGGAGGCAAATTTTCCTTAGGAGGCCATCAAGTATCCTAAGGAAAATACCAGTATTGTCAAGTGTTACATACATCCTACCAATCTACCAGTTCACAAGTTAGTAGTATATATACTACATACTCAAATTTTCAATCTTTCGCATCACATTAACAAAGTTATCAGGAAAGTAAGACTACTTTGACTACAGATGTTACAGAGTGCACACAGTTCTGACAGGGAGAGCCATGATCAAGGAGTGATTTTCGTTAGAAAACAATTCTACTAAAAAACAGTGTGAGAATAGAAGTAATCTAAAATGTTCAAGTCATGATTACCAATAACCATTCTAACATGATACTGTGATTATAGCAAACTGCTATAATCTTAAACTGAATTGGGAATATTTCTAACCAGAACAAAAGATGTGATATTCTGTTGAACATTTTATCATCAGTTCTCATGTTGAATATGATGTCATTTTGGGTGCCATATTATTATTGAATTTTGTTGAGATGAGATTTTCAGATAACATAAAATTAACCATTTTAAAGTGTACATTTTAGTGGCATTTCATGCATTCACAATGTGTGCAGCCATCACCTTTATCAAGTTTTAAGACATGTTCACCACCATCCCCTGCAAAAAAAATCCTCTACCCATTAAACAGTCATTATTCATTCCACCCTCATTCTAGCTAGGGCAACCACTAATCTGCTTTTTGTCTCTGTGGATTTACCTATTCTAATATTTCATATAAATGGAATCATAAAATATGTGCCCTTTTGTGCCTGGCTTTTTTCACTTAGCCCAATGCTTTCAAGATTTTTCTGCATTATAGCATGTATCAATACTTTATTCCTTTTTTATGGCTGAATAAGATTCTGTTGTATGGGTAAACCACACTTTTATCCGTTTGTCTGCTGATAGACATTTGAGTTGTTTCCACCTTTTAGCCATTGTGAATAGTACTGCTGTATTTGTGTACATGAATTTGTTTTGAATACTTGTTTTCTGTATTTTGGGTATGTACCTAAGAGTAGATTTGTTGGATGATACAGTAATTCTTTGTTTAACTTTTTGAAGAACTACCACACTTTTGGTTTGCTACACCATTTTATATTCTTCCCAGAAATATATGAGGGTTCCAGTTTCACTGCATCCTTGCCAGTACTTTTCTGTGTTTTTGATTATAGCCATCATAGTGGGTGTCAAGTGGTGTCTTATTGTGGCTTTGATTAGTATTATATTTTAATAATATTTTAGAACTGTCTGTTGAGGTCACATGGAGTATGCTGTTAAAGGAAATAACAAAACTCCAAGACTTTTCTTAGAACCTAGAACCTTTTCTCATCATTAAAAAGATTCTTATTTTAATTTATATTATTTTAGTTGAAAAGTAATCCCATCATTCTTAATTTATTTTTCCTTAATTTTCACGAGTTCAAAGAGGAAAAACCCATAGACGTTTGTTTTACCTACTTCAGTATTATAAAGAGATTCCAAATTCAGCACTTCCCCTTTCAGTATTACCTTTCTGCTGCTGTAGTTTTGCATTTTCTACTGTGAAAGGTGGAGATATCTATATCTATATGTCAGTTGGCTTTATTGAGGTATAATTTACATAGAATAAAATTCACCCGTTTTAAGTGTTCAGTTTGATGACTTTTGGCAGATGTATACAGTTGTGTCACCACCACCACAATTATGATATAGTTATATAAGAATTATGGTATAGAACAGAACAGCATTCCCCAACCTTTTTGGCACCAGGGACGGGTTTCATGGAAGACAGTTTTTCCACAGATGGGTGGAGGGGGGATGGGAGGTGGTTTCAGGATGAAACTGTTCCACCTCAGATCATCAGGCATTAGCTAGATTCTCATGAGGAGCGTGCAACCTAGATCCCTCGTATGCGCAGTTCACAATAGGGTTCATGCCCCTACGAGAATCTAATGCTGTGCTGCTGATCTGACAGGAGACGGAGTTCAGGCGGTAATGCTCACCCTCATACAGCTCATCTCCTGCCATGTGGCCTGGTCCCTAACAGGCCATGGACCTGGTATAGAATATATAATGCTCACCCTCATACAGCTCATCTCCTGCCATGTGGCCTGGTCCCTAACAGGCCATGGACCTGGTATAGAATATATCTGCCACCCCAAGTTCGCTTGTGTCCCTTTGCTGTCTGTTCTCTCTCCCCAGGCCCAGCCTTTGGCAACTACTGATGTGCTTTTTGTCACTGTGGTTTTGCCTTTTCCAGAATTTCATAGGAATGGAATCATACAGTATATAGTCTTTTGTGTCTTTTTTCACTTAGCATAATCCTCCTGAGATTCATCCATGTTGTTTTGAGTATCAATAGTTTGTTCCTCTTTATTGCTGAAAAGTGTTCCATTGGCATGGGTATATAGACTTTTCCATTCCCTAGTTAATGACCATATGGGTTGTTTCCAGTTTTTGCCTGTTAGAGAGAGAGCTGCTGTGAAAGTTCATATAAGTTTTTTTGTTTTTGTTTTGGTGTGGAATATGCTTTATTTCTCTCGGGTAAATACCTAGGAATGAAACTGGTGGAATGTATATTTACCAGTGTAAATTTATCTTTATAAGAAACTGCCAACCTGTTTTCTAAAGTGGCTATACCATTTTTGCATTTCCACCAGCAGTTGCTCCACATCTTATCAGTACTAGGTATTATCATATATTTTTTTTTGAGATGGAGTTTCACTCTTGTTGCCCAGGCTAAAGTGCCGTGGCACAATCTCGGCTCATTGCAACTTCCACCTCCCGGGTTCAAGCCATTCTCCTCCCTCAGCCTCTCAAGTAGCTGAAATTACAGGCGCACGCCACCACGCCCAGCTGATTTTCGTATTTTTAGTAGAGGTGGGGTTTCGCCGTGTTGGTCAAGCTTGTCTCGAACTCCTGACCTCAGGGGATCCACCCGCCTCAGCCTCCCAAAGTGCTGGGATTACAGGTGTGAGCCACCGCACCCGGCTATCATTTTTTAAATTTTAGCCATACTAGTGGATGTGTGGGAGTTTCTCATTGTGGTTTTAATTTTAATTTGCATTTCTCTAATGACTAATGAGATTGAACATATTTTTATGTGCTTATTTGCCAATTATATATATTCTTTTTTTTTTTTTTTTTTTTTTGAGATGGAGTCTCGGTCTGTTGCCCACGCTGGAGCGCAGTGGCATGATCTTGGCTCACTGCAACCTCCGCCTCCTGGGTTCAAGCACTTCTTTTGCCTTACCCTCCTGAGTAGCTGGGATTACAGGCATGCACCACCATGCCTGGCTAATTTTCTCTGTATTTTTAATAGAGACGGGGTTTTGCCATGTTGGCCAGGCTCTTCTTGAACTCCTGACCTCAGGTGATCCACCCGCCTAGGCTTTCCAAAGTGCTGGGATTACAGGTGTCAGCCAATGCGCCCAGTCAGCTATTTTTATATATATACATTCTATGATCAAATGTCTGTTCAAAACTTTTGTCTATTTAAAAAAAAATTTTTTTTGTCTTATTGAGTTTCAGGAATCTTCGTATATTCTGAATACAAGTTATATATCAAATATATGCCTTCTAAACATATTCTCCCTGTCTGTGACTTACATTTTCATTTTCTTATCAGTTTTACACAAATATTTATATACGAAAAATGTGGAAATCAGTTGTATCCCTCTATACTAACAATGAGTAATTAGAAATCAAAACTTAAAAATCAGGACTGTTTGCAATAGTTTAAAATATGAACTACTTGAAGATAAATTCCAGAAACCATTTTGGAAGACCAGTACATTGAAAACTACAAAACATTACTGAGACAAATTAAAGAAGACCTAAATGAATGGAGAGATACAACATTTTTGTGTATTGGAAGACTCATATCTTTTCTTTTTTTTTTCCTTTGAGACAGGGTCTCACTCTGTCATCCAGGCTGGAGTATAGGGGTGTGATCTTGGCTCACTGCGACCTCCGCCTCCTGGGCTCCAGTGATCCTCCCATGTCAGCCTCCCAAGTGGCTGGGACTACAGGCACCATCACAAATTTTTTTTTTTTTTTTTGAGACGGAGTCTCGCTCTGTTTGCCAGGCTAGAGTGCAATGGCATGGTCTCAGCTCACTGCGACCTCCGCCTCCCGGGTTCAAGTGATTCTGCTGCCTCAGCCTCCCCAGTAGCTGGGATTACAGGTGCCTGCCACCATGCCTGGCTAGTTTTTGGTATTTTTAGTAGGGATGGGGTTTCACCATGTTGGCCAGGCTGGTCTCAAACTCCTGACCTCGTGATCTGCCCGCCTCAGCCTCCCAAAGTGCTGAGATCACAGGCGTGAGCCACCACGCCCAGCAACATCTGGCTGATTTTTGTATTTTTTGTAGAGATGGGGTTTCGCCATGTTGCCCAGGCTGGTCTTGGACTCCTGTACTCAAGCAATCCTCCTGCCCTGGCCTCCCGAAATGCTGGCTTACAGGCATGAACCACCTGGTGCCCAGTCTAGGAAGACTCATATCATGAAGATGTAAATTTTCTCCATTAAGCTATAGATTTAATGCAGTCCCGATCAAAACCCAGGTAGTATTTTTCAGAAAATATCAAGCTGATTTCAAATGTGTATTGAAATGTAAAGGACCTAGAATAACCAAAACAATATTAAAAAGAAGACCAAAGTTAGAGGAATCAAACTTATTTTATGACTTTGTATAAAGGAACAGTAATCGGGTCAGTGTGATTATTGGTATAAGGATAGATATATAGATCACTGGAACCAAATAGACAAATTTGCCAAGGCAATTTAATGGGGGAAAAGGTAGTCTTCATAACAAATGGTGTTGAAACAATTCACACAAAAATATCAACCTCTATACTTACCTCATGCTGTACAAAAATTAACTTGAAGTGGGTAATTGAACAAATGTAAGAGCTTAAATCATAAAATGTGTAGAGGAAAACGAGAAAATTTTTGTGATTTTAGGTGGGGCAAAGGTTTCTTGGAGTAAAAAAAGCTTAACCTATAAAAGGAAAAAAATTGGCTTTTATCAGAAAGAAAAATTTTTGCTCTTCAGTATTTATTTTTAATGGAATGAAGACAAATTGAAGTGTATCTACAAGGGGGTGGAATGATGAGTAAAACTTGTGTTAAAGAGTTATTAACAGATTTTGTTGTCTGTTTGGATTTTAATACATATCACTACCTTCTACCTTTGGAGGTAGAAATCTAGAAGTCATAATGAATGTTCTTTGCATGCAACTCCTGTGGGTTTACCCGTTAATTTATACTTTTTTCATTTCTACTCAAGAAAATATATTTGAATGAAATCATTGTGAATGCCTTCTACTTTACAAAAGTAAATACAAACTCAGGCTGTACACCTGTGTTCCACATCCTACTCCTGCCACTTAGTAATCATATGACCCTCTACAAGTCACTGAACCTCTTTAAGCCTCTGTTTTCTCATCTTTAAAATCAAAATAATATTAAGACTTCGCTCATGCAGTTTTTAGGATGAAATGAGACAATCCATTTAAAATAGCATAGTGCCAGATTTATAGTTAAATTTAGAGGCAGCCAAAAGCTACCTCCCTACATAGTGAACTATAACCTAATTTAATATATAAACTACCTGCAACCTAACCTAAGAGTATACTCTTGTAACAAGTAGCTGAGCCTCAGTCAAGCATAGCAGCCAAGTTTTCAGCCAGTCATATAGGCTGAATATTGCCAAAGCATGTTCAAATAAGGCAAACACCTGAACTGCAGCCCATCAGGCTACTTCTGTATGTCATTTCTGTTTCTCTGGCTATAAATATAGCCTACATGCATTGGGGGATGGAACATTCTGAACTGCATTTGGTACTGGATGCTAACTGGTTCATTAATCTCTATTTTTTTGAGACAGGGACTTGCTTAGTCACCCAGGGTGGAGTGCAGTGACATGGCTCACTGCAGTCTGGACCTCTTGGGCTTGAGTGATGCTTCTGCCTCAGGCTGCTCCCTTCCCCACCTTTCCCGGAAGCTGGGACCACAGTTTTCATTTCCTTATTATTTGTAATGGGGGTTGGGGGTGGGGGCTCCCTGTGCTGCCCAGGCTGGTCTCAAACTTCTGGGCTCAACCAATCCTCCAGTCTCCACCTCTGCCTCCCAGAGTGCTGGAATTACAGGGGTGAGCCACCGCACCTGGCAAATCTGTTTTTTGTTCAATTAAGTCATTAAATTTAACTTGTCTCAGGTTTGTCATTTAACAATATGAACAAAATGTATATATTTTTTTCTTTTTATGCCTCGGTACTTCAAATAGTTATTAGTAGCTGTGATACAGTAAGAAATATTGTGTATATTTCTTACCGTATAAAGAAATATATACATATATATATTTCTTCTGTATATATATATAATTACTGTGATACAGTAAGAAATACATGTATTCCTTATATATGTAGCTGGGACCACAGGTGGATGCCACCATGCCTGGCTAATTTTTTGACTTTTTTGTAGAGACAGGATTTCGCCATGTTGTGCGGGCTAGTCTCTGCTGGGCAAGGTGTCAGAACCCGGCAGTGGAGAGTGGTTGGCTCACTGGTGGTAAAAGAATTTACTGACAGCAGTATAGGTTTAGAAAGGAAAGTTTTATTAGATAGAATGCTGCAGCAGAGTGCAGTACAGTGCTTCATTCAGCAAAAAGGACTGAGTGTGTTGCGGTGGATTTTCCTTAGGGGTATTTATGGACTTTAAAGCAGGACCTTAGGGTAATTTGGACCATATTAGTTATGTAGGTCATGGTAAATTATTACATTTGTAGACTTTGGGTGCCTTGATGTTAGCAAGGGTTGCAAAATAAGTTTTGACATTCATGCATTCTGGAGATGTATAGAAATTCTAGTTACTTATAAATTTTTGGGAAAGAAGCCTGGTACCAGATGCTGGCTTTAGATAATAGAGAAGTCTAATTACTTTTCAATTTTTCAGATAAGGAGTTTTGTCTTCGGATGGTCTGCTTGATTGCCACTAGGTGATCGTTGTATTCTTCTGTGTCGAACTCCCAGGCTCAAGTGATCCACCCGCTTTGGCCTCCCTAAGTACTGGGATTATAGGAATGAGCCACTGTACCTGGCTGTTACTTTTATCTGAAATTGAGAATACAGGAAAAGGAACAGGTTTGGGGGAGAAAATTAATGAGTTTGATTCTCAGATGATGACAGGTAATCTGGTGTACATATCCTTTTAAAAATATTGATATGAAATTTACATAACAAAATCAACCATTTTAAAGTGAACAATTCAGTGGCATTTAGTACTGGCAGATTTGTTTTTCACAATACAACTGCCACCTCTATCTAGCTGCAAAACCTGCCTGTTACTTTAGATTTAAACCTCTTATCCATTAAGCCCTTTCTCCCCACTCCCCTTCCATGCAATCTGCATTTTGTCTCTATGGATTTCTCTATTCTGGATATTTTATATAAATAATATTATACATATGTGACCTTCTGTATCTGGTTTATTTCATTTAGCATAATGTTTGGATGTTCATCCACATTCTAGCATATATTGGTACTTTATTCCTTCTTTTGGTTGAATAATATCTCGTTGTATGTGTCCAACACAACTTTTTATCCATTGATGGACACTGGGCTGTTTCCACCTTTTGGATACTGTGAATAGTGCTGCTATGAACTATATGTATACATGTACTTGAGTACCTGTCTTCAGTTCTTTTGGGGATATACCTGGGGTGGAATCACAAAGAAATACGGTAATTCAACTTTTTGAGGAATAACCAAACTGTTTTCTGTAATAGCTTACCATTTTACAGTTCCACTAGCAATGTACTGAAGGTTTCAGTTTCTCTATATCTTTGTCAACTTGTTATATTCCATTTAAAAAATTATTGTTTAGTTATACTATCCTGGTGAGTATGAAGTGGTACCTCATTGTGGTTTTGATTTGTAGTTCTGTAATGACTAATGATGTTGAGCATCTTTTCATGTGTTTTTTGACCATTTATATATCTTCTTTGGAAAAATGTCTATACAAGTCCTTTGCCCATTTTTTTTAATTGAATTTTTTTGTTGTTTTAAGTTTGTTATATATTCTGGGTATTAGACCCTTAGTTATATGATTTCCAAATTTTTTTCCTGTTCTGTGTGTTGTCTTTTTAGTTTGTTGGTAATGTCCTTTGAAGTTTAAAAATGCCCTTGATGAAGTCTAACTTATCTGTGTTTTTCTGTTATTGCTTATGCTTTTGGTTTCATATCTAAGAATCCATTGCCAGCTCCAAGGTCATGATTTACTTCTGTGTTTTCTTCTATGAATTTTATGGTTTTACTTCTTATATTTACTTCATCGACCCATTTTGAGTCAGTTTTTATATTCAGTGTGAGGCAAGAGTTTATTTTTTTGCATGTGGATATCACTTTTTAGGTATCCTTTCAAGAGTTAGATGTCCAGAGTAAAGTACAGCAGTTTAGGGCTATAGATGTGGACTTGGAAGCTGTGGATTAAATCACCATGGGAGAGAGTAAAGAGAAATAAAAGGAATGTAGGGGAACATGAAAAAATTACATGTGAAAGGATAGATAATGTTAGACAGTGAAGTATTCAACTTAGATAAGAACTGTAGGAGTTTAGATAAAGTGCATTCACTTGAGAATTGCTGTCCTTTTCACTCTTAGTTTTTCTTTTTGTAAGAGGAACTTGTTTCTAATGCCATCTAGTGTCTTTTGAAGGGTATATGAGTAATGTTAAGAGGTTTTAAAATAAAAGTTTTGAAATTTCATGAGACTTGAGCAGTATATTGGCAGTCTTAGCTTACTCTCAAGAGCATCCTTAAGAGAGAAGTAAAAGAACACATTAAATACTTTGCCTGAACAAATTCGGAGCTGAATTTCATCTTGAATAGTTAAGCATTTTTATCATCTCTTTTGTGTTAATTTGTAAAGAATTTAAGATACCTTAAAAATAGTGACGTCAAATTTTTTTCTTATCTTGAATTTGTCTTACAAAAATTATAGACAGCCTTACTTTTTTTTGTTTTTGTTTTTGAGACAGGATCTTGCTCTGTCACCCAGGCTGGAGTGCAGTGGTGCAACCTTGGCTCACCGCAGTGTCAACCTGCTAGGGTCAAGTGATTCTCCTGCCTCAGCCTCCTGAGTAGTTGGGACTACAGGCATGGGCCACGATGCCTGGCTAATTTTTATTTTTATTTATTTTTAAACTTTTATTTATTTATTTTTTGAGACAGAGTTTCACTCTTGCTGCCCAGGCTGGAGTGCAGTGACTCACTGCAACCTCCGACTCCCAGGTTCAAGTGATTCTCCTGCTTCAGTTTCCTGAGTAGCTGGGATTACAGGCGCCTGCCACCATGCCCAGCTAATTTTTTGTATTTTTAGTAGAGATGGTGTTTCACCATGTTGGCCAGGCTGGTCCCAAACTCCTGGCCTCAAGTGATCCACCTGCCTCGGCTTCCCAAAGTGCTGAGATTATAGGTGTGAGCCACCGCGGCCAGCTTAATTTTTATTTTTAAACTTTTTGTAGAGGTGGGATTTTACAGTGTTTCCCAGTTTGGTCTCGAACCCCTGGGCTCAAGCAATCCTGCCTCAGACTTCAAACTATCGGGATTACAGTTGTGAGCCACTGCACCTGCCAAGCATCTAAATTTTTAAAAGGCATTTAAAATAAAAAATTTTTTTAGATAAATTTGTTGGTTGATTGGTTTGTTCGTCCGTTTTGTGCTGCTATGACAGAATACTCGAAACTGGGTAATTTATAAGGAATCAAGGTTTATTTCTTAGAGTTCTTGGGGCTCAGAAGCCCAAGATCAAGGTACCAGCATCTGATGAGGGCTTTCTTGGTGTTTCCTCACGTGGCAGAAGGTGGAAGGGCAATAGAGAAGAAATCCATTCCTGTAAGCCCTTTTTATAGTGACATTAATCCATTCATGAGAACAGAGCTTTCATGACTTAAACACCTCTCAAAAGGCCAAATCTCCCACCACTGTTGCATTGGAAATTAAATTTCCAGCACATGGATTTTGGGGAACACATTCATACCATAGCAGTTGAGGTTACAGAAAGAGATCTTACTGAATTTGTTGATGGTTAGAATACATGGGAGAACGTTTATGCAAGTTTTTGGTAAGGTGTCATATATGTCAAGGAGAACGGCATTATTAAACCACTAGTAAAAAGTTATAAGAGCAGGTTTTGTTTTTACTCTTATACAAAAAATATCAGTGCTAGTCTTTTTGTTTTTTTCCTTTTTCTTTTTTGAAATTGCAGAAATAAATTTTATTTTTAATTTTCAGAGGTTAAAAAAAGTTATGATACTTTAAACTGTTAACAAGACTTAGTTGATATCCAGTTAACCTAATACAGCATTAATGTTTTTATTATTTTCTTGAAGAGACTCAAATACACCTGCATTGTGCTCTTTTAAAAACATATTAAGGATACTTGTATTTAACAAGTTTTTTAGGAAAAACATTGTACAACATTTATGTTTTTCATGATGCTGAAAATGCTGAATTACATGTCAATTTAATTTATCTCTTAGAAGAAAAAGTAACATAATTAAAATCACTGGGTCTCTAATCTTTAGTTCTCTCTCCACAAATAAAACCTGTCACTTTTCACAATAAAAAAGCAAAAAATAATATACAATTAAAAGGAGCTAAACTGAAATTCTTTATCCTCTTTTTCCTTTTTTGAGACGGAGTGTCTCTGTCGCCCAGGCTGGAGTGCAGCGGTGCGATCTCGGCTCACTGCAAGCTCTGCCTCCTGGGTTCACGCCATTTTCCCACCTCAGCCTCCTGAGTAGCTGGGACTACAGGTGCCCACCACCATGCCCGGCTAGTTTTTTGCATTTTTAGTAGAGACGGGGTTTCACTGTGTTAGCCAGGGTGGTCTCGAACTCCTGACCTTGTGATCTGCCCGCCTCGGCCTCCCAAAGTGCTGGGATTACAGGCATGAGCCACTGTGCCTGGCCTCTTTATCCCGTTTCAAAAGATAAATTAATTGTGGGAGATCAACATAACAATCATCACTGATTTTTTTTTTAACCATTTAACTCTGGTTCAAAAGATAAATAATAATCTATAATCCACCAGTGTATACAAATTTTTTATCACATTTTCCCTTATGTTGTAAAAAAAAAGAAAATAGGTTTAATGTTTAAAGAAGGATTAATTTGATATTATTACTGAAAGACAATTTTGCTGTTATCACAGCTCAAAAAGTAGTGACAGGAATCTTTTAGGAAACAGGTTACTGTCCGTTTCACAAAATGTGAAATTAGATGATCATAAATATACAAGAAAATCAAAACATTTTCTGTCCTTAGTTATATTGCTCCCCCCGGCCTGAAATTTAGATGAAAAAGATTAAACAACTTTTGCAGATCACGTCTATCTATTTTAGCAACTTAATATAAATGAAAAGCAATCTTCATTTTAAAATAAATATCATAGGCCAGGTGCGGTGGCTCATACCTGTAATCCCAGCACTTTGGGAGTCCGAGGCAGGTGAATCACGAGGTCAGAAGTTCAAGACCAGCCTGGCCAACATGGTGAAACCCAGTCTCTACTAAAAAAACACAAAACAAATTAGCTGGGCGTGGTGGCGGGTACCTGTAATCCTAGCTACCTGGGAGGCTGAGGCAGGAGAATTGCTTGAACCTGGGAGGCAGAGGTTGCAGTGAGCCGAGATGATGCCACTGCACTCCAGCCCAGGTGACAGTGCAAGACTCCGTCTTAAAAAAAAAAAAAAATTAATAACACCATTTTTGAAACTGCAAATGAAACTCTCATCATATAAGAGAATGTCAACATCAAATTCTTGTATCTTGATGATTATGTACCATAATCAATGAATATAATTTGAAGCTCTCAAATTATTTATTTTGAATTCAAGTGAAGATGATTAGGCTAATCCAGTCATTTCCTCTTCTGAGTCATTTGATTCATCGTTTAGTTCCAATTCCACTAAATCTTGGTCTGTAGTTATAATAGTTTTCCTCTTGCACTTCTTGGGAATTGCATCATTAGCACAGATTTTTCTCATTTTAATATTTGGCAATTTCTTCAGATCAAAGTCCCATTCCCTAAATGTTTTCAGATTACTTGCATTTAGAATGTCTGGAATCTCAAAGCCACATCCTTTATACTGCTGTCCCTCCCGCTCCATCGTCTGCTTGATGATGGTGTCCTGGGAACAGTGCTGCCTGTCCTGCTTGTCCCTGATACTGTTATGTAACTCAATCTGCTCCAACTCACTGCTAAATCAATTTAATTTAAGTACCTTTCAGTTAGTTCACAAGCATCTTTGTTTGAATATCTTTTTTTGGGGGGGATCAAGATGATTTTGAAACCATTGCAGTTTTTCACCAATAAGATTGAAACACAAGGCCTTTTCATTCTTCAATTTTTCCTTTTTTTCTTATTTGTGGGCCTCTCTCATAATTTGAGCTGCTTTTCTACTATATGGATGAATGACTTTTTTTCCCATCCTGCACTTTTTCCCTTTGGTGCTTTAGGTATAGTGACGTCCTCGCGGCCACAGAGGAGCTCTGCACTCTAGACCCAGGCAGTCTCACCAACCACAAGAGCAGCAGCTCACAGGAGTACCCGTGCCAAATCCCCCTGGGGCCTCCCTTTTTCTTTTTTTTTAAGATGAGATTTTGCCATATTGCCCAGTCTGGTCTCGAACTCCTGGGTTCAAGCCATCTCCCCGCCTCAGCTTCCCAAAGGGTGTGAGCCACTATGCCCGGCCAGTACTAGTCTTTTAATTAGGCTGTTATTGTCATGTGTTGCTTCGCACTGGTATATTTACAGTGCTGAGCAAAGATTGAAAAGCAGTGCTACTGGTGCATTCTATCATATAGACAATATAATTACTAGTGATAGTTTAGTTGCAATAGAGAACTAATATTTACTAGACCCTATTCCTAGTTTAACGTATGTTCTCCTTTATTTTCTCCAGAACATTGAGTTGTCATTCTTCATTTTTGCAATATGTCTTATCTATAGAATGTATAGGGAACAAGGCTGGTTTCAGCATGTGTAGACTGGTGGCCTTAAGAGATAGCAATGTTAAGAAATAGTAGTAGTGTACAATAAACCATTAATATAGCAGTCCTGAGACTACTATCCTTAGAAAGGCTTGTGCGGAAGGCCGACCCTTGGCTGGTATCTGGAAACTTGAATGGTAAACAGTTTCCTACACTGATAAAAATTTCCTTGAATGATAAGAGTGACTTACTGTGCAAACAATGTGATTTATGCTGAACATTTACTTACCTTCTGGGAGTCTGAAATTTTGGTATGTAGTAGGCAAGAGGGTGCCTGTGTGAGCAGCTCCATTAAAAACTTTGGACACTGAGTCTTTGGTGAGCTTTCCTGGTAGACAACATTTCATGGATATAGTTACTAGGTGTTGCTGGAAGAAATAAGTGTGTCTTATGTGACTTCACTGGGAGCGAACTCTGGGAAGCTTGTGCTTGGTTTCCTCCAGACTTTGCCTCATGCACCTTTTCCATATGCTGATTATATGCAGGGTCCTGTGAGTACTCCTGGAGGATCATGGAACCTGGGGATGGTTTTGGTGACCCCTGACACAGGTAGTCTTTGAAGGATTTATGAAAATAGTTAAGGGTATAGCCGGAGTAATCAGGCAAGAGAAAGAAATAAACGGCATTCAAGTAGGAAGAGAGAAGTCAGATTATCCCTGTTTGTAGATGACATGATTGTATGTGTAGAAAACCCCATCATCTTGGCCCAAAAGCTCCTTCAACTGATAAACAAATTCAGCAAAGTTTCAGGACACCAAATTAACATACAAAAAACCACTAGCATTCCTATCCACCAACAACAGCCCAGCTGGGAGCCAAATCAGGAAGGCAATCCCATTCACAATTACCACAAAAAGAATACAATACCTAGGAATACTGCTAACCAGGGAGGTGCAAGATTTCTACAATGAGAATTAGAAGACACTGCTCAAGGAAATCAGAGAAGACAAAAACAAATGAAAAAACACACCATGCTCATGGATAGGAAGACTCAATATCATTAAAATGACCATACTGCCTAAAGCAGTTTACAGATTCAATGCTATTCCTATCAAACTACCAAGAACATTCTTCACAGAACTAGAAAAAACGATTTTAAAATTCGTATGGAACCAAAAAAGAGCTTGAATAGCCAAGGCAGTCCTAAGCAAAGAGAACAAAACTGGGGGCCTCACGTTACCCAACTTCAAACTGTACTATAGGGATACAGTAACCAAAACAGCATGTTACTGGTACAAAAGGCACATAGATCAATGGAACTTTATTTCCGGCAGAAATAAAGCTGCACACCTATGACCATGTGATCTGTGACAAAACTGACAAAAACAAGTAATGATACTGGGATAACTGGCTAGCCATATGCAGAAGATTAAAGCTGGACCCCCTCTTTTCTTTTTTTTTTTTTTGAGATGGAGTCTCTCTCTGTCACCCAGGCTGGAGTGCAGTGGCGCGATCTAGGCTCACTGCAAGCTCCACCTCCCAGGTTCACACCATTCTCCTGCCTCAGCCTCTGGAGTAGCTGGGACTACAGGCGCCCGCCACCACACCCAGCTAATTTTTTGTATTTTTAGTAGAGATGGGGTTTCACCATATTAGCCAGGATGGTCTGGATCTCCTGACGTCGTGATCTGCCTGCCTCAGCCTCCCAAAGTGCTGGGATTACAGGCGTGAGCCACTGTGCCCCGCCCATATTTTCTTTATCTAGTCCACTGTTGATGGGCACCTAGGTTGATCCCATGTCTTTACTATTGTGAATAGTGCTGTGATTAACATGTGAGTACATGTGTCTTTTTGGTAGAATGATTTGTTTTCTTTTGTATATTTACCCAGTAATAGGATTGCTGGGTTGAATGGTAGTTCAGTTTTAGGCTCTTTGAGAAGTCTCCCAACTACTTTCCAGAGTGCTAAACTAATTTACATTCCTACCAACAGTGTATACGTGTTCCCTTTTATCTGCAGTCTTGCCGGCATCTGTTGTTTTTTTGCTTTTTGATAATAGCTATTCTGACTGGCATAAGATGGTATCTCATTGTGGTTTTGATGTGCATTTCTCAAATGGTTAGTATGTGGAGCATGTTTTCATGTTTGTTGGCTGCCTGTATATCTTCTTTTGAGAAGTGTCTGTTCATGTCTTTTGCCCATTTTGTGATGGGGTTGTTTTTTGCTTGTTTAATTGTTTAAGTTCTTTATAGAGTCTAGATATTAGACCTTTGTCAGATGCATAGTTTGCAAATATTTTCTCCCATTCTGTAGGCTGTTAACTCTACTGATTGTTTCTTTTGCTGTGCAGAAACTCTTTAGTCTAATTAGGTCCCACTTGACAATTTTTGTTTTTGTTGCAATTGCTTTTGAGGACTCAGTCATAAATTGTTTCCCAAGGTCAGTGTCTGGAATGGTGTTTCCTAGTTTGTTTGTTTGTTTTTTCCCTAGGATTCTTACAGTTTGAGGTCTTACATTTAAATCTTTAATCCATCTTGAGTTAATTTTTGTATGTGGTGAAAGGTAGGGTTCCAGTTTCATTCTTCTGCATGTGCCTAGCCAGCTATCCCAGCACTATTTATTGAATAGAGTCCTCTCCCCATTGCTTATTTTTGTTGACTTTGCTAAAGATCAGAAGATTGTAGGTGTGTGGCTTTATTTCTGGGTTCTCTATTCTGTTCTATAGGTCTATGTGTCTGCTTTTGTACCAGTACTATGCTTTTTTTTTTTTTTTTTTTTAAACACTGTAGCCTTATAGTATAGTCTGAAGCTGGGTAATGTAATCCCTGCAGCTTTGTTCTTTTTGCTTAGGATTGTTTTGGCTATTTGAGCTCTTTTTTGGTTTCATGTAAATTTTAGAATAGTTCTTTCTAGTTCTGTGAAAAATGACATTGGTAGTTTGATAAGAATTATGCTGAATCTGTAGATTGATTTGGACAGTATGGCTGTTTCAACAGTATTGATTCTTCTAATCCATGAGCATGAAATTTTTTTCCTTTTGTTTGTGTCACCTGTGATTTCTTTTAGCAGTGTTTGTAGTTCTCCTTGTTGAGATCTTTTACCTCCTTGGTTAGATGTATTCTTAGGTACTTTTTCTTTTTCTTTTTTTTGTAGCTATTGTAAATGGGACTGCATTCTTTACTTGGCTCTCAGCTTGAATGTTACTGGTATATAGAATTGCTACTGATTTTTGTACATTGCTTTTGTATCTTAAAACTGGGAAGCCATTTATCAGTTCCAGGAGCCTTTGGCGGAGTCTTTAGGGTTTTCCAGGTATAAAATCATATTGTCTGCAAAGAAAGATAGCTGGACTTCTTTGCTGTTTGGATGCCTTTTCTTTCTTTCCTTTGTGTGATTGCTGTGGCTAGAACTTCCAGTGCTCTGTTGACCAGCAGTCAGGAGAGTAGACATCCTTGTCTTGTTCCAGTTCTCAAGAGGAATGTTTCCAGTTTTTCTCATTCAGCATGATGTTGGCTGTGGATTTGTCATAGGTGGCTTTTATTTATTTTGAGATATGTTCCTTGGATGCCTAGTTTGTTGAGGGTTTTTATCATGAAGGGATGGTGGATTTTATTGAAAGCTTTTTCTACATCTATTCATCTGACTTCCTTTTTTCTGCTTGACCTAATAGAAAAAATTTTCAGCCCTACTTGAAATGAATTACCTGAGCTGAGGGACTGAGATTGCTGCTGGCAAATAGAATTAATGGACTATTTTTTAAAGAGGGCAAAAAGCTCCAAACAGAAACGTTTCTGAGATGTGTTGGGGCATTTTGGGAATAAAGTAACATGCATTTATAGGGAGATACTAAAATGAAAATATAGGAATTTCCTTTTTTTTCAGTTATTTAGCCTTTAAAAAAATACTTATGGTTGCATAGGAAGTTGCAAAAATAGTGCAGAGTACTATGAACCCTTCACCCAGCTTTCACCAATAGTGTCATCTTATATAGCTATAATACAATATTAAAACCATGAAAATGACATTTGTACAATATCATTAACTAGATTATAGCCCTTATTTGGTCTTTATATACACTTGTATATGTTTGTGTGTGTATGTACAAGTCATGCAATCTCATCCCATGAATAGATTTGTGTAATGGCCACCACCACAATCAACATACAGAACCGTACTGTCATTACAAAGGAATTCGCTTGGGCTGCCCTTTTATATTTGCACTCCCACCCCGTCTTTATCTTCTTGCAACCACTAATGTGTTCTTCTCTATGTGAATTATATTTATATTTATATTTCCTTTTGATACAGGGTCTCACTCTGTCCCCCAGGCTGGAGTGTGGTTTTGCAGTCATGGCTCACTGCAGCCTCCATCTCCCAGTCTCAGGTGATCCTCCTGCCTCAGCCTTCCGAGTAGCTGGGATCACAGGCACAAGCCACCATGCCTGGCTAATTTTTTTTTTTTTTTTTTAATTTGTAGAGATGGAGTCTTGCTATGTTGCCCAGACTGGTCTCGAACTCCTGGGCTCAAGTGATCCTCCTCCCTCAGCCTTCCAAAGTGTTGGAATTAAAAGGGTGAGCCACTATGCCTGGCCTTTATGTGAATATTATATAAATGGAACCATATAGTATATAACCTTTTGAGATTTTTTTCAGTAAGTATAATGTTTTTGAGATCCGTCTAAATTGTTGCATGTATCCACTCAGTTCTTTCCCTCTTTGTGTGTAGTATTCCATTGTATGGTCACACATCACTTGGTTATTTACTCACATGTTGATAGATTTTATGTGTTTGTTTTTTGAATCTGCACCACTGGCAATGGATTTTTTTAAAGCTATTAACTTTTTTTTTAAATTAAAAACAATTATTTTTTGTTGAGATGGTATCTCTGTCACCCAGGCTGGAGTGCAGTGGCATGATCTTGGGTCACTGCAACCTCTGTCTCCCAGGTTAAAGTGATTCTCATACCTCATCCTCCCGAGTAGCTGGGATTACAGTCGCCTACCACCATGCTCACTAATTTTTGTATTTTTAGTAGAGACAGGGTTTCACCATGTTGGTCAGGCTGGTCTCGAACTCCTGAGCTCAGGTGATCCACCTGCCTTGGCCTCCCAAAGTGCTGGGATTACAGATATGAGCCCCATGCCCTAAAACTATAAACTTTTAAAAGTTTTGTATGTATTCTAAATATAAATTCCTTGTTGGATATGTGGTTTGCAAATAACTTTTTTATTCTTTTTAACAGAGTGTTTTGCATAACACATTTATTAATTTTTTAAAAATAATTATTGTTTTTTTTTGAGTCAGAGTCTCTGTCACCTAGGCCATAGTGCAGTGGCTCGATCTCGGCTCACGGCAACCTCTACCTCCTGGGTTCAAGTGATTCTCCTGCCCAGCCTCCTGAGTAGTTGGGATTACAGGTGTGTACCATCACGCCTGTGTAATTTTTGTATTTTTAGTAGAGACAGGTTTTTACCATGTTGACCAGGCTGGTGTTGAACTCCTGACCTCAAGTGATCCACCCACCCCGGCCTCCCAAAGTGGTGGGATTACAGGCGTGAGCCACTGTGCCCATCCTAAAATTGTTTTTCTGTTTCTTAAAAGAAAAATTTTTTATACTACCTTTATGTGTACAATCTCTTTTTTTTTTCAATCAGCTTTCTTAGGTTGAAAAATGTCTTTAATTTTGATGAAGTTCTGATTGTGTTCTTGGTGTCATGTCTAAGAACTTTTCACCTATTCCTAGGTTCTGAAGATTTTCTCCTCTGTGTTCTTTTAAAAATTTACAGTTTTATTTTTTACATTTAACTCATGATCAATTTTGAAGTAATTTTTGTGTATAGTGTGAGTTGTAGGTTAAGCTTATTTTTTTATTCAGCTCATGGATGTCCAGTTGTTCTAGTATAAGTTATTGAAAAGTGTGTCCTTTCTGCATTGAATTGCTTTTCCACTTTTGCCAAAAATCAGTTGGACATATTCAGGCCGGGCACAGTGGCTCATGCCTGTAATCTCAGCACTTTGGGAGGCTAAGGTGGGCAGATCACCTGAGGTCAGGAGTTCGAGACCAGCCTGGCCAACATGGCAAAACCCTATCTACTAAAAATATAACAATTAGCCAGGAGTGATGGTTCATGCCTGTAATCTCATCTACTCGGGAGGCTGAGGCAGGAGAATCACTTGAACCCGGGAGGCAGAGGTTGCAGTGAGCTGAGATCGTACCACTGTACTGCAGCCTGGGTGACAGAGTGACCCTCTGTCTCAAAAAAAAAAAAAAAAAATTGGACATATTTGTGTGGTTTATTTCTGGGTTCTCTTTTCTGTTCAGTTCACTTATGGGACTCTCCTTCTGCCATTACCACAATGTTTTGATTACTGCTGCTATATAGTAAGTCTTAACATTGGGTAGAGTGATTCCTTACACTTACTGTTCTATTTCAAAATGGTTTTAGTGATTTTTTTTCTTTCTACATAAATTTTAGAATAAGCTTTTTTATATCTACAAAAAGTCTTGCTGGGATTTTGATAGGAATTACATTAAACCTATAAAGAAATATGAGATAAAGGAAAAACTAAACTTTTACCTACTCTCAAACTCACCACAACACAGGACCCTTCTGACACCACATTTATGGGTTTTTTTTCCCTGTACACCAAACAGCAGACAGAAGCTGGGTGCCTTATAATTTAACTCAACTCCTATACTGCATGCCTGGAATAAGCATCAGATCCCATAGGCTAAGGCCCTGTCCCATAAGATTGCCCCTACTTTAGATCCAGTTTCAGTCCTAGCTGGTTTTACCTGTTCTTTTGACTGACCAGCTATAAATTGGATACAGATGAACCACCAGGTGGAGAAGCACATAGGATGAGGCAGGTGGGAAGGAGTGTGGAGCTTCACCCGCTCTGGGCTCACTATCCTCCAGGTACCTGCATGTGGTCAGGATCCTGGAAGCTCTCTGAACCCTGTACTTCACTGATTTTCATGGCAGCTTTATCACATAGGCATGATCCCCTTCCCAGAGGATTGGAGGGTGAGGTGGAAAGTTCCAATTTTCTAATCATGGCTTGGTCTTTCTGGTGCACAGCCTCCATACAGGAGCCCAGTTAACATTCCCTTTGTTAGAACAGAAGGCATGTCTATCACCCAATAAATTCTAATGGATTGGGAGCTCTGTGTCAAGAACTAGGATGAAGACCAAAAAATATATATTTTTATTATAAATCACGATATCACAATAAGTTTTGAGGAGAAATGGCTTTTTTTTTCTATTTGATTCTTCTGACCCATGAAAATAGTGTGTCTCTGCATTTATGTAGATTTTTAATTCTTTTCATCAGCATGTTGTAATTTTTAGCATACATATCTTGTATGTGTTTTGCTGCATTTCTGTCTCTAAGTATTTTATCTTTTTGTATTTTCATGCTGCTTGCCAGGAACAGTCTCAGTCCCTCAGCGCTGGTAATTTATTTCAAGTGGGGTTGAAATTTAAGAGGTCAGATAGAAAAAAGAAATGAGATGAAACTTTTTTTTTTGCAACTTTAAATGATGTTGTATTTTAAATTTTAGTTTTTACATGTTTGTTGCTACTAGTATATAGAAATATGGTTGGTTTTCGTGTGCCGATCTTGTATCCGGTGAGTTTGCTGAACTCATTTAGGAGTTTTTCTTGTAGATTGAGCATTTCTACATAGGCAATCATGTCATTTTCAAATAGGACAGTTTTATTTTTTCCAATCTATATATTCCTTTTCTATCATTTTCTTTCTTTATTGCTCTGGCTAGGATTTAATTAAACACTGAATTTTTATTCTGGTAGTGCTGACTTCAGGAGCCTAATTTGGGACTAGCAAATGCTAGTTTTACTCACCTTATCATTACAGTTTCAGATCTTCGGCTTCTCTTGGGCTTCAGAAGTTTAACTTGGATTGATCTTGAATATTGATCTTGAATATGCTGAAGGCAGGAAAAGCTCTGTCCTGAGTGTATACACAGTGCAATATAATTTTTATTTATTTGCCTCCCTTGAGTGTGAGCTTCTTGAAGAAGACAGTTCTGAAGATACAGGGCTTGGTACACAGCAAACTTGTAATTAATGTTTGAGGTCAGGCATGGGTGGCTCACATCCGTAATCCAATGCTTTGGGAGGCTGAGGTGGGGGGATTGCTTGAGGCCAGGAGTTCAAGACCAGCCTGGGCAACCTAGCAATATCCCGTATCTAAAAATAATAACAGTTACAATTGTTTGTTGAGCAAATATTTAAATGAATAAATGGAACTAATATGTGGCTTCTTCTCATATAAGAAGTCTAGGGAAAACCTTTTCAGACAAGGTATAGTGTAACTCAGGTTGAAATGACAAATGTGAGACTATTTGCAGTCACACACGCAGTTGCACATGTGATTTTGACATCAAACATTTTTGTTTATTTTTGTTTACTTGCATGCCTTGTAAGTTTCATGTTTTACTAACAAGACACTTTATTCTTTGAGTGTTACATGTCGTTTGGTTTGGCTTGCTTCTGTATGTTAAAAAAACGTTCTGTCTTTTGAAAAGATACCATTATCTAATTGGTTTTAAGTTAGGAGAATTCTAAATTACAGGGCACAGTAAAATA
This sequence comes from Homo sapiens, assembly GCF_000001405.40. Classification (NCBI taxonomy): domain Eukaryota; kingdom Metazoa; phylum Chordata; class Mammalia; order Primates; family Hominidae; genus Homo; species Homo sapiens. The sequence goes on from NC_000001.11 coordinate 45,856,692, forward strand.
AATGAGCAATTATACCGAGGAAGAGCAAAACAAACAAAAAAGAATCATGGAACCATGTTTTGTATATACGTGGGGAGAAGTTATCCTTTAGATCTGTTTTTTTTTTTTATGTGAGTATGCTTGAATGTATATGTCATGAGGGTAGTGGGCTGGGCTGAGCTGGGGAGGAGATGTGCATCATATGTAGGGAGTAGACTTAAGCTAGTTATTTTTAAATAATACTTTAGCAAGGGAATTAGTACTTGTTTAAGTGTTCATATTGCCTTAATATTAGCATAGCTTTTTCATCAATATGTTCAGTATCTCAAACGTCAAATTTGCATGAAAATATTCTCCCAAACCCCTAATCCTTCCCTGTTTTATTTTTCTTCATTGCATTTATTATCTTCTAACATACTGTATATTTTATGTATTCATTTTTTGTTTAATGCCTGTCTACATCCACTTGAATGTAAGCTTTAAGAGGTCAGGGATTTTTATCTATTTCTATTAACAGTTGTATAGCTAGGCCCATGATATCATCTGGTACATAGAGAATACTTAATTTGTAAATCAATGAAAGGAAGACTACTTTGAAAAGAGTGATTTCTAGGATATTGGAATGAGGAATCTTAATCATAAGCCTATGTAAATGATAAAATATTATCCCTATGGAATAGCAGGAAAGTCATTGTCCTTTTACCCTGAGGAGCATATTTGTCCTCTATAAAAAGGCCTTTCTATTTGGAAGGAATTTTACTTGATTGATTGACTCTCTGTTTAAGCAACAAATGAAAAAGAATCCTTTGTTGAGAAGCTACCACAGACTGTAAAGTTTCCAGGTTCTGTACTTTGTGCTGGATGGGGCACCACTGTGATGGGCCTGATGAGTCTCTGAGACTGCTGCAGGACTTGGATTTTGTAACTAAAGTTAGTTCTTATTTTTATACTTTAAGTTCTAGGGTACATGTGCACAATGTGCAGGTTTGTTACATATGTATACATGTGCCATGTTGGTGTGCTGCACCCATTAACTTGTCATTTACATTAGGTATATCTCCTAATGCTATCCCTCTCCCCTCCCCCGACTCCATGACAGGCCCCAGTGTGTGATGTTCCCCTTCCTGTGTCCAAGTGTTCTCATTGTTCATTTCCTACCTATGAGTGAGAACATGCGGTGTTTTTTTTTTTTTTTTTTTTTTTGTCCTTGCGATAGTTTGCTAAGGATGATGGTTTCCAGCTTCATCCATGTCCCTACAAAGGACATGAACATATCCTTTTTTATGGCTGCATAGTATTCCATGGTGTATATGTGCCACGTTTTCTTAATTCAGTCTATCATTGATGGACATTTGGGTTGGTTCCAAGTCTTTGCTATTGTGAATAGTGCCGCAATAAACATACGTGTGTATGTGTCTTTATAGCAGCATGATTTATAATCCTTTGGGTATATACCCAGTAATGGGATTACTGGGTCAAATGGTATTTCTAGTTCTGCATCCTTGAGGAATTGCCACACTGTCTTCCACAATGGTTGAACTAGTTTACAGTCCCACCAACAGTGTAAAAGTGTTCCTATTTCTCCATATCCTCTCCAGCACCTGTTGTTTCCTGACTTTTTAATGATTGCCATTCTAACTGAAATGAGATGGTATCTCATTGTGGTTTTGATTTGCATTTCTCTGATGGCCAGTGATGATGAGCATTTTTTCATGTGTCTGTTGGCTGCATAAATGTCTTCTTTTGAGAAGTGTCTGTTCATATCCTTTGCCCACTTTGTGATGGGGTTGTTTGTTTTTTTCTTGTAAATTTGTTTGAGTTCTTTGTAGATTCTGGATATTAGCCCTTCGTCAGATGAGTAGATTGCAAAAATTTTCCCCCATTCTGTAGGTTGCCTGTTCACTCTGATGGTAGTTTCTTTTGCTGTGCAGAAGCTCTTTAGTTTAATAAGATCCCATTTGTCAATTTTGGGTTTTGTTGCCATTGCTTTTGGTGTTTTAGACATGAAGTCCTTGCCCATGCCTATGTCCTGAATGGTATTGCCTAGGTTTTCTTCTAGGGTTTTTATGGTTTTAGGTCTAACATTTAAGTCTTTAATCCATCTTGAATTAATTTTTGTATAAGGTGTAAGGAAGGGATCCAGTTTCAGCTTTCTACATATGGCTAGCCAGTTTTCCCAGCACCATTTATTAAATAGGGAATCCTTTCCCCATTGTTTTTGTCATGTTTGTCAAAGATCAGATGGTTGTAGATGTGTGGTATTATTTCTGAGGGCTCTGTTCTGTTCCATTGGTCTATATCTCTGTTTTGGTACCAGTACCATGCTGTTTTGGTTACTGTAGCCTTGTAGTATAGTTTGAAGTCAGGTAGCATAATGCCTCCAGCTTTGTTCTTTTGGCTTAGGATTGTCTTGGCAATGCGGGCCCTTTTTTGGTTCCATATGAACTTTAAGGTAGTTTTTTCCAATTCTGTGAAGAAAGTCATTGGTATCTCGGCTCACTGCAACCTCCGCCTCCTGGGTTCAAGTGATTCAGCTGTCTCAGCCTGATGAGTAGCTGGGACTACAGGCACAAAAAGTGCCATCACACCCAGCTAATTGTTGTATTTTTAATAGAGATGTGGTTTCACCATGTTGGCCAGGCTAGTCTCAAACTCCTGGCCTCAAGTGATCCGCCAGCCTTTGCTTCCCAAAGTGCTGGGATTACAGGCATGAGCCACCACGCCTGGCCCTTGAGCTGGGTTTTGAAGAATGAATAGGAGTTTACTAGGTAAGAGCTGAAGTAGGGAACCTCTCCAGTAGGTGGGAACATGTGCCAAGGCATGAAGCAGTGAAACAAAGTGGTGCGTGCAAGAGAAGTACTCATAATTTGTTGTGGCCAGACACAACATGAGAGGGAGAAAATCAAGATGAGCTGATCAGGGAGGCCTAAAGTTAATTTTTTCATTGTGCTTATCTTGGCTTGCTTACCATGTAAAGAACCTTATAGCTTTCCACATGGGGTTAGTTATATTTTATTCACTTACTGATAAATAAAAGGATAATTTATGTTGAGGAAATGTTTAGATGCAGCCTATTCTGAGAATTTATGTATTTACTTTTATTTCTGCAAGGTGTTTGACTTTTTATCTAGTCATTGGCTGATAGTCCTCTCAATACTAATAACATAGTAGAGAAGATGATGAAAATGTTTTATTCATCTGTTCTTGGACAAGAAACCCTGCTCTTTCTGTTCTTTTTAGTTGAAGCTGAATAAAGCTGAATGTTCTAGTCGGAAGCATGGGTTCAAGTTTCTACTACACTGTTTCTGAGCAGGTTACGTCTCCTTCCTGGGTCTTAATTTCTCCAGTTGTAAAATAGGGGATTTGAGGTAAATTAGCATATCCACATTGATAAAAATTTATCTGGGCTGGGCGGGGTGGCTCATGCCTGCAATCCTGAGGTGGCGGGATGCTGAGATGGGCAGATTACTTGAGGCCAGGAGTTTGTGACAAGCGTGGCCAACATGGTAAACCCCTGTCTCTACTAAAAATACACACACACACACACACACACACACACACAAATTAGCCAGGAGTGGTGGCGGGCACCTGTAATCCCAGCTACTCGGGAGGCTGAGGCAGGAGAATCACTTGAACCTGGGAGACAGAGGTTGGAGTGAGCCAAGATCATGCCACTGCACTCCAGCCTGGGTGACAGAGTGAGAATCTGTCTCAAAAAAAAAAAAAAAAAATTTATGTGAAGCAAGAATCAATACATATATGACCCATTAGGGTAATTTTTCTTGGCAGTCCTTCCCTTCCTGGCTGCTGTTTACCAACTTAATTATTCTTCCTGTTTCATGTTAGATTCTATAATCCAGTATACATCTTACTACTCTTGGCCGGGCGCAGTGGCTGATGCCTGTAATCCCAGCACTTTGGGAGGCCAAGGCAGGCGGATCACCTGAGGTCAGAAGTTTGAGACCAGCCTGGCCAACATGGTGAAACCCCATCTCTACTAAAAATACAAAAATTAGCCAAGCGTAGTGGCGGGTGCCTGTAATCCCAGCTACTCAGGAGGCTGAGGCAGGAGAATCACTTGAACCTGGGAGGCAGAGGTTGTAGTGAGCCGAGATCATGCCATTGCACTGCAGCCTGGGCGACAAGAGCGAAACTCCGTCTCCAAAAAAAAAAATCTTACTACTCCTCTCAACTCCTGCTATTATCTTTGTTATTTTCAGCAACCATGTAGATGAATCCATCCAATAATATCCTGGCATAGTTGTTGACCTCATTATCATTTCTAGTCCACTTAGCTCTCTGCCTTGTCATACCTCTGAAATGTTCCTTCACTAAAATCGTAACTCTAGGTAACCTCCTCACTACAACCTGATAATTTTTTTAGCTTCCCCATTTAATTATTCTTAAAGTATACCAGTTCTCAGACTTACCAGCACCTCTATTAAATCTTTTCTTCCTGTCTTTTCGTCTTTACTTTCCTCCTCTTTTAGCTTAGATTCCATTGTTACTCTCTCTATTCCATGTCATAAATTGTTTGCCCCATTTTTGGTCAATTTATCTGGTAAAGCTGTTTAGTAAAACTTTGCCTTTGCATTACTGTAGTCTACTGAAGAAAGCCACACAACGGAGCAGATTGGTGGGACTGTAAAATGATGATGAATGATGTAGGTCAGTCCTTAACGCTGCTTACCAATTCTACTTTTTGTTCAGCGTATTTTCTTGTTCTCTGTATTATCTCTCAATTTTTTTTTTTTTTTACTCATCTCAAATTTGGAATTTCCTTGCTCTGCTGATTTCCTTTTTATTTCATGGAGAAAATAGCTATAATGTGGAAGCTTCTTTAGCTTCTTTACCACTAAAGTTACAAATATTTTGTTACCTGTACCTGCTTTTTCCTTTTCATCTGTTGTGGTGGAAGAAATATTCCTTCTATCACTGTTTATGCTCTCAATCCCCTTCCTTCCTTTTCATCTTTTGTGGTGGAAGAAATATTCCTTCTATCACTGTTTATGCTCTCAATCCCCTCCCTTCCTTTTCAAGAATAACTTTTTTTTTGAGAACTTTGGCTGCAGAGAGTATGGAGAGTTAAATGCAAGCTGGAAGAGTTGTCTAGATTCACTGTCTTTATTTCCTCATCTCCTACCCACTGGAGTTGGGCTTTTGCTCCTACCACTCCTCCACTCCTGAAATTGTTCCTACAAAGGGTACCAGTTGACTTCAAGTCAGTTAAATTGGATGACATTCTTTAATGATGGGCCTCCAGGCAGCATTTGTTCAGCAGTCCCTGACTATCTTTTCTTGGCTTCTTTAATAGCATTTGCAGTCTTGATTTCCTTCCACCTCTCTGGTTACTCTTCTTCTGTTTCCTACAGTTTAATCAGTTACTACAAATATTACTGTAACATAAACAAATAAAGGTTTATTATCTTACAGAGAAGAATGCAAAATTTGCATAAATTTTGAGAACCAAACAGGCTTTAAGGAAACCAGGTTGTGGCAGGAAATTTTGAGCAGGTTACACACTACTCTGTGAGAGATACTGAAAAAAGTTGTGAATCATTCATACATGTTTCATAAATGATTCCTTTCAACAACCTTATAAGGTAGATGGTTGTATTCTTGTTTATCCACAAAGGATTTGAGGTGGGGAAAGATGGGGTATGTTCAGGAAACTGTGCCTTGTTCTTTCCAATTGGAAGGTTAAGTTACAATAAGGTACTACTGAAGATAAAATCTGTTGTTTCCATGATATGGCGTGTCTTGAATGCCAAGGGGAGACGTTTTTTACTTAATTTTTTAGATAGTGAGGACTGAAGATTTTTTTTTTTTTTTTTTAACCTTGAGTGGCTGGAGTGCAGTGGCACGATCTCAGCTCTGCAACCTCTGCCTCTTGGGTTTGAATGATTTTTCTGCCTCAGCCTCCCAAGTAGTTGGGATTACAGCTGCCTGCCATCATGCCTGGCTAATTTTTGTATTTTTAGTAGAAACACGGTTTTGCCTTGTTGGCCAGGCTGGTCTCGAACTCCTGACCTCAGATGATCCACTTGCCTCGGCCTCCCAAAGTGCTGGGTGAGCCACTGCACCTGGCCAGGTTGAAGATTTTTAAGCTGTGTACAACGTTTTGGGAAAGGAAACCTGTCTTGGTGAAAGGTTGATAATCCCATAACGTTAGTTTTAGTGACCAAATGGCACTTCCACTTGAAGCCTTTTTGTAGGCTTTCCACTATAATGAATTGAGCCTTCTTTGACACTCCCATAGCACTTTGTCATACCTTTTAGCACACTTCTCATGTGTCATAATTACTTGTTTGTATTTGGCTTCCCCATTGGATTTTAGCTCTTCTAGAATAGGATTATTAGTTTATGGTTAATGTTGATTTTGGTAATCTTTCCTCATCCCTATCTCAGTGGTTGGCAAAATAAATGGTTCTTGAATTAGTAAATGAATAAAGAGTTTGAATTTTGAATCTTTTGTCTGAATAGCTTCTCAGAATGCATCTTTTTTATATTTTTACTGATTACCGGGTTGAATAAATTAGAAGCCACTCCTACTTCCTCTCTGCTGATACATATGTTTTAGCTAGTTAAACCTATTTTGATAGAGGAGTTCTATGACTTTAAAGGCCTATGACTTTGCAGACACTCATACAGTGTACAGCATACCCTATGCAAATCAGCTGTCTGTTCAGGTCTTGTGTTTGTTTTCCCCATAGACATAATCCAGCCGTTAGTTATTCAAAGCAGCAGATGGGAGAAGGAATCCGTGGAAATGTGGATTTATTAGCTCTCACAATGAAAGACCACACTGGTTATGCTAAGGATTAGAAGATTTCTGCTGAATGAAAGGGACATGGATCCTGTTTTTTGTGCTATTTTCAGCAGTGTGGCAATTTCTTATGACTATAATCAGTTGTAAAAAGACCAGAAAATGATCTTGTAAATAGACTTTCCTTCAAGCCCTAGACTGTTGGTTGCAGCTGTCATAATTATAGGAGGGACTGCTTTTCTTCCTTTTTGGGTGCAGACTGAATCTGGCCTTTAGCTATTGCTATATTTACACCTTAGGTAGTATAACTGGCTGATTGTGTGCTTTATACATACCTTTATCTGTCAAATTAGGGAATTTGGATTCGTGTCTCCTGAATTTTGTAGGAGAGTAATTATTGTAGCATGTCTTATAGTTTGGAAAAAATGATTGAATTTAATGTGTTAAACTCACTTCCTAAAAATATAATGCTGCCTTCACTAACAATTTTGTGTGTGTGACTTGTTAGAAAGATCAGCAACTTTCCTTTGTGTTTACTAAGATTCTGACAATTACCATAAAGTTGGAAAGTTTAAACGTTGCTTATGGAGTGTGTAAGGAACAGAATCATATCATGAGAACAATCTTTCACTCTTAAAATCTAAAAGATTATGTATTTTGAGCCATGAATTAAGAAACAGAAGCATCTTTAAACTTGGCTGAAGTTCTACTTTAAAAATGGCAGCCAGTAACCAAAGAAACAATTCTTGAGATCATTAAAGCTTGGATAAAATGAGACTTTTTCATGCTGTGCCCTTTTAGAAGTCTGGGGGAATGGGGAGCGTTTCCTGTGACAGCACTGTAAGTGATAAACAGCTGAATGAATTTGTCCATGCTCAGAACTCACAACACGTGGACTAGCCCCCTCCTGCACATAAAAGAGCAGGGAAACCGACCTTAGCAATGATCTAGCTCCTGAAGAAAGAGGCTTTCGTTACTGTCCAAGAAGTGAAGACCAGTGAGTCTAGCGATAAAGAAACAAAAGAGCCCCTGACAGTATCGAAAGAATCTGACATTTGCTTTGTCTGTACAAAGGATGAAAGGAATTTTGCCGACTTAGTCAAAACAATAACTGGTTTTATATCATTTTGAGTCTAAAATACAGGCATCAGAATCGTATGTTTTTCTTTGTATTTCTGAAGAATTGTCATCTTTTTAAAAACGTATGTGGAGTGGTTTTGTTTCTGGAAAGGAAAACGTGACATGGATTTTATAAGCTTAGTAGCTGTAGGTGGAGACTCTTGTTTTGTTTGCTAAACCTTTTTAATAAGCAGCAAAGTCAGGATATCAAAGATTGGAATTTTTCCCCCGGAACCTTTTGTTCTTTTCTTAGTACTTCAAATAATTTCAACCAAAGGGGTATGCATGGAAAATGAAAACAAATATGAAGTCTTTCCGCTATTTGGCAGTGCTTCAGATGAGATGTATCTATACTTCTGTGAAGAAAGACGTGATTCTGATATGAGGCAGTGATTGTATACTTACGCTGGACAGAGGGATAACTGGTTTAGTGGAACAGTGGGTTAGTGGTGTGCTGAAAGGATTGTTTGCCTCTTTATCCAGCAGTAAGTAGGCACTAGTAGTTGACTGTCTGGGGAGTGGCTTTTTTTTGTCTGATATCTATTATGGATGATTCCAGTATTCTGAGAAGGAGAGGGTTACAGGTGAGTAAAAGAAAACCTTTTTCACTGATCTCCTTCCTTTTAATGTCTCTTGTAAATGTACTGAACAGATTGTTATAATGTATTTAATTCATTTGAGGTAGGAGGCAGAGTGGAGTGCAGCTAAGTTCCTCTTTATTCTTTGATGTATAGTTATAATTAGAGAACTTATCTAAAATCTTGCTATTTTGATAGAAAAATGCTGCTTGGGCTTATTTACACTGTATTTAGTGAGTAGAGCAACTAAATCAGACCTGTATGGGATACAAGCCTAATTTAGAACATTAGACATTACTGCTGACAGATTGTTTACGGTGAACATATTCTGTTCCTGACCACCATGCCTGATCTGCCCACCATTAAGTCACATGTATGGTAGTATATGCTTGATTCTATGCATAGTTTTAAGAACTTTTCTAAATTATCACTTGGCATATACACATTCCATCCACTTATCTATTGTCTGTCTGTGTTGTCTGTCCATCCATCCGTCTGTCTGTCTACCTACCTACCTACCTACCATCTTTTCCTTCTTAAATCATAGGTAGTTTGTTAGATGAAGAGGTATGTAAGATATAACAGTGAATGAAAATAGACTGATAGGCAACCTTCAACTGAGTTTTAATGAATATCCTTAGCACTAAAAGAATACATGCCAAATTTGATGATTATTTTTTTCATGCTTTGTAGATTATCTCATCTTAGTCTTGTTAGCAAAGAGCAAGCCAGCTTCTAGTCTATCACTAAATGTTTTTGAGAATTGACATAATGAAGATTCTAGTGTAAATCACTGAGCTAATCAATCAACCTGTGATGGTTTAGTCATGAAATGTAGCTATTTCTGTTGTTTTCATTTTGTTTATTTGACATTATTTATAAAGCACTTTTTTTGTACAAAATACCTAAGGATTTTAAAATTATCATGAATTAACATTATTTTAGTTTCTTTAAAGTTCTCAGGTAGAAAATGTATAGGATTAGTAAACTTAAAATATAAATTTAAACAAATTGTATTGTTTCTAGTTATTATATGTACTTCTTATTGATGGTGCTGTAAACATTCAGAGCCCGTAGGGAGAACCCACTGAATCTTTAGCAGTTGACCAGTATGACCTGGGCTTTAAAAGTCAATAACATAAACTCCAGCGCCTTATACTAATTTCTCCTGTTAGCACAGTTGATTCGATGAGATTTGTCCCTTGATTTCTTGGGGTTATTTTGAGTAGTATTTATTTAGTACTGTACTCAGATGACCTCTCATAAGTAGTGATGTATGTTCAAGCAGCTGCTAATTAAAAATGGCTGGCTCTGTAAGCCCATTTAGTTGCACTGCTTATTTATATCTTTATTTCTCTTTAGTTGCTAGGATTCAGAAAGGGAATCCTATTTGTTGAATGGGAAATATTTTCTGTTTTGTGTTAAATCATTCATTTTCTCCCTGATGCCTGAGTCAGTCTCTAGTATTTGCTACCTTGTTTACTGATGCCCTTCCTCTCGAGTCTTTGTTTCTATCTAGCAGGAGTTCTAAACTGCCAGATTACATAGCACTGGAAGATCTTTTCCTACAGCCTTATACTTATAAAAAATTTTTCCCCTATTTATTTTGTCTACTTTTTTTTTTTTGAGATGGAGTCTCACTCTGTCACCCAGGCTGGAGGTGCAGTGGCGTGATCTTGGCTCATTGCAACCTCTGCCTCCCAGGTTCAAGTGATTCTCCTGCCTCTGCCTCCGGAGTCGAGTAGCTGGGGCATTACAGGCATGTGCCACCACACCTGGCTAATTTTTTGTATTTTTAGTAGAGACGGTGTTTCACCATGTTGGCCAGCCGGGTCTCAAACTCCTGACCTCAGGTGATCCACCCGCCTCGGCCTCCCAATTGCTGGGATTGCAGATGTGAGCCACCGCACCCAGCCTATTTTGCCTATTTTTAAAAAATAAACTTTAAGGTTCATTCTCCAGAAGATTGCTTTGGAACATTCCAAAACAGAGCTAACGCTTGAAAAGCAGCAGTTTAGATTATTTGTTTTAAATAGTTACATTATAATATAAAGATTTAAAGGTAAGTTTTATTAATAGATTTATATAAATAAACACACAAAGGTAAAGTGTGCCTGGTGGTACAGGTAATCTACTGGGTAACCTCAGATTTGAAGGTGAAAATCCAAATAAATATTTGGCTTCGCTAATTGCTTTCTGGTGAAATAGATTTCCTAAAACTTTTCCAGAAGATCAGCTAAGACACAGCCTACTTTGATACCTCCAGGTTTTTCCGCAGAGTTTCTTGGGGAGGTAGCAGAATAGTAAATAGGGCATTTAGAAGTTCCGTGACAGCAAAGACCTTGTCTATTTTGTTCAAATTACAGTTCTGCCATGTTCTAGTCATATAACCACAGCCAAATTTCATTTCATTTCTGTACTCCACTGGTATATTGAGAGTAGACAGTGGAGGCAAGGGCTGCAGCAAAAAGACCAATTATGAGACTGTTGTGGTCAAAAAAAGCAAGAAATAATAACAGATTGGAGGGGTGATAGCAGTGGACGATGTGGAGGACTTTCTTATTGGCCATTTTTACAGATACGTGAAGCTCAGTAGCTTCCTCAAGGACAGACAAGTAGGTGTATGGCCAGGCTAGATGTATAGGTTAGGGTACTCTGAACTACAAGTAACAGAAATTTTGACTCTGAGTGGTTTAAATGTTAGGTAAATGTATTGACTCACAACAATGAAGTCCAGAGGTTGGATGGGTTTCAGAGTTGGGTAGTCTGGTGTATTTGCTCAGCTTCATTGCTCTTTTGCCTTCCTCTGTGTTTTGGCCTCATTCTCAAGCTTGCTTCCTATGTGTTAGAAAAAGAACTGTAGCAGTTTCAGTCTGCACAGTCACACACTACAACATCCCTACATCTTAATGGTAAAAGGACATCTGGGAGATTATGTGTGAGCATCTTTTCTTTACACTGGAGGAGCCTCTGTCGGTGTAGGAATTGACACTGTTTTGCTTGAAAAGCTGTTCAAGTTGGGTCTTTTTTGTGGTAAAAATTGGCTTTCATCTTACATCTACTTTTGAAGCATCTACACATGGAGAGACATTTGAGATTGAAGTTCCTTGTGAATTGAAGGAGGTGCTTTTATACTTGCCCTGTTTCCCAATCAACTTTATGGGGGATGATTTTAACTTTGAAAGGTCAGGGACTAGCCACCATAAGCAAATTTTTGTTATCAACTCTCTTAGTGCCATAATTTCCACATTATTTGCCCATAAGGCACATATAGTAATCTGTCTTCATTGTATAGACAGTGCAATTTCCCAGGTTCTGAATTGAAAATATTTGTTGTGCTGATAAAATTATTGCCTTCAGGCAAAAACTAAATTGTATAGTATTTTTATGCACCCCCCCCAACCCCCTGCTTGCTTTTTGCCTTTGCTGTTCAAAAACGAGAGTACTTAGAGTGTCATTGTTTACGGGTACTTAATTATTTTGGAGGATATATGACAACATAATGCATACTGGGAAGCATTATTATTGAGAAAGCCTTGGGACTTTTTTTATTTTGCAAATTATGACTGTCATAAATTATGGTCATCTTACAAAATGTGATTCAGCTAATTTTTAGTCTTTAAAAACAAAATCTTCAAGAACCAGGTAGATTTCAAACATTCAATTTCTTCTTGAAATTTCATTTTAAAAAGGCTGATGACATGGATAAAAATGTAACCTAATTATTTGCTTCTGTTGTTCTACATTTCCTTGTTCTTTTCTGTGGGAAGCTTGATAAAAGAAACATTTCAGTTTGTACTCTTCAGTTTTTAGTACCACTAAGATATTTTCATCAAGTCAGTAAATTAGATGGCTTTGAAGGTTAAGGAATTTATCTCACTCTTGTCCCTCTTCTTTGCCCTGACTCATGTATTCCTATTCTATGTTGCAGCTACACCAGTCTTGTACCTTTGTTTGTTTTTTTCATAGTCATTTTTTTCTGACATTCCCCCCATTCCTGAGTGGTTTTATCCTCCTTTTCTACCTATCAACCTTCTGATAATCCCCATGCAGTTAAAACCTGAGTACCTAATTTTCAAATATTATAGTCATTATGGGTAACTCCAGTATCTTTGTAGACAAGGATAATCAGTCCAGCCTCAGATCTTTAGAGTTCCTTGGCTATCTGGAGTCTGTGTTAACAATACATTCCTGTAGATGCCATGTATTCTGTAGAGGGAACTGTTTGATTCAGAAATCTTACAGTGATTTACAGTTACATCCCTTGATCACCTCTGAATTAAATTCTGGTGTTCTCTGTGTAAATCTAGATCACAAATTGGTGGTCTGGTGACTGTTTCCTGTAGATATATTTTATTTAGCCACCTTTGGAGATTTAAAGAAAAATCAACCAACATAGTCTCTATCAGTCCCCTTTTGTTTTATCCTCTGCTGCTTTATGTATTTACTGAATTTCATCTATTCTAAGGCTCACATCTTTTTACTTTATAACAGCTTTGAAATAGCGGTGTTACTCTTGATGGTGTGTTATACGTTAATTGGCCAGGCTTATTTTTGTTTTGCATTTTAAAAAATGTTTCTTACTGTTACAAAAAATAACAGTGTCTTTTGCAATTGATAGTTTTTCAGATTTGATAAAGTACAGTATATTACCTTACTGGCTTATTAAAGCATTTGAGTTTGCACCATTTGTTTCTCAATGTAAAGACCTCCACCTTTTTTTAGCTCTCTCCCTTTCCTTTTTCTAAAGTCTTGAAGATCTCTGTTCCTGTGATTCTTTTGTTTGTTTGTTTGTTTGTTTGTTTTTGAGACAGAGTTTTGCTCTTGTCACCCAGGCTGGAGTGCAATGGTGCAATCTTGGCTCACTGCAACCTCCGCCTCCTGGGTTCAAGCGATTCTCCAGCCTCAGCCTCCTGAGTAGTTGGGATCACAGGTTCCTGCCACCATGCCTGGCTAATTTTTGTAGTTTTAGTAGAGACAGGCTTTTGCCATGTTGGCCAGGCTAGTCTCGAATTCCTGACCTGAGGTGATCTGCCCACCTTGGCCTCCCAAAGTGCTGGGATTACAGGCATGAGCTACTGCGCCCAGCTTTTGATTCTTTGTATACCTGTTTGACATGCCTTTCTGTATCATCTGATATTGTTTTATTTTTTCTCAATTTATTTGAGGTATATAACATTTGTGAATTTTTTATTGTATAACCACATTCACATTTTGTTGGTAAACCCAACTCAGGAATAATGTATGATTCAGTTTTTTAAAATGCTCATGTATATAATGTAAGTTTCCTACTTTTCATCTTGAGGTAGTTTTGGTAAGGTATATGTTTTTAAGAGTTTGTCCATTTTGTTTATTTTGTTATTTATTGAGATCAATTTGTTTATATATATATATATATAAAATTTTTGTTCTTTTAAACCTTTGCTGATTTGTTCTTCTGTTTCTCTTTGTATTTCTAATATTGGGTATTAAGACTCTTTTTTTTCATTATCAAGTATCAGTGGAATGCCGAGTACAGTGGCTCATGCCTATAATCCCAGCACTTTGAGAGTGCCAGGTGGGTGAATCACTTGAGCCCAGGAGCTGGAGACCAGCTTGGGCAACATGGTGAGATGTCTGTACAAATTAAAAAAAAAAAAAATTTAAGTAGCCAGGCGTGGCGGTGCACACCTGTAGTTCCAGCTATTTGGGAAGCTAAAGTGGGAGGATCGTTTGAGCCTAGGAGGTCGATGCTGCCGTGAGCCATGATTGTGCCCCTGTACTCCAGCCTGGGTGACAGCAAGACCGTGTCTCAAAAAAAATTAAAATAACAACAACAAAAATTCATGGAAGATTTTTTTTGTTGTTGTTAGTTTTTCCAGAAACCAACTATCCCTTTATTTCAGCCTTTTCATATCAGTTTGCTTTTGGTATATCTCTTGCAAATGGCATACAGTAGGTTTTCTTTAAAAAAAAAAAAAAAAAGTCCTGTTTGTAATGAAAAGTTTGTCTGTGTACATTTATTATGATTAATGATATATTTGGACTTGTTTGTGCCATATTATTTTTTGTATTCCATATCCTACATCTCTATGCCTTACTGTCCCCTTTTTTTTTTACCCTTTAAAAATATTGGTAGAGTTTTTTTTCTTATTTTCTTTTTCTATTTCTACTGGTGTGTTAGAACAAATTCAAACTTTAACCCCCTCCTGAACACTACAAGCACTCCATGTCTCTTATTACCTCCCCCAAACTTATTTGGCCATGTAATCAAACTGAACTGAAACAGGCCAGTTTAAAAAACAACAACAAAACCATGAAATTCACTGTAACCAGAGGTGACCCAGTTTACCTGAGCTAGCATGATAAGAAAGTTCTGTTTTAACTCTATAAGGAGAGTCACTTTGTAATGAATAATCTGCTTTTTGTTCCCTGTTTGTGCTTTCTTAACCCATTTTCTGCTTAGAAAGCCAGCCCCCTCTGCTTAGCTCAGCAGAACACGCATTCTATTTTTAAGAATGAGATGTTACAGAATTGCAAACAAAAGTCAGTTTGATCTTTAAACTGAAAGTCAGTTTGATCTTTAAACTAAATCTGTTGTAATTTTGTCCTTTGACAATGGTATTGTCATCAGCAGTGGATTCTGAGTAGGCCCTAGAATGTTCACCACTCCTACCCTAAGCCCAAGCAGTGTTATTTATGTTAGTTACATTATGTGGGTTTAATTATGAGTTATATCAAGAGACATATAATATTTTAGTGGCAGAGAATACCTTTTTTTCATCATTGATTTGTTTGTTTTTCTTGAGTTCTCACTATGTTACCTAGGCTGGTCTCAAACTCTGGGCTCAAGTGATCCTCCCACCGTGGCCTCCCAAAGTGTTGGGATTACAGGCGTGAGCCACAGCACCTTGCCTCGTTGATTTTAAATGTTAGTTGAAAAGTTATTGTCTCCAAAACCCAATTCTCTATCCACTTCCAATGGAGTGGATTATTGGGTTATGTTTCTTAGAGTCTGTTAATTTCCTTCTCTGGAAAGAGTGCTGCTACTGCAGTAGGGATCAATATACGTATAGTGTGAGAATTCAATAGCAAATGAGCCAGGCTGAGTCCCAGGGAGGGAGTTGCCTCAGGCATAGACAGCTTTGACCCATAGTCATCTCCACGCTGGTGACTGTTGACATAAAGGACAAGGACCAGCCTTGTGACTCCTGGCTTGCATATTTACTTGTGGGGGTAGCGGTTACTGCCTTTGGACACTTGGCCTTTGTCTTTTCTTTGGAAATATTTTATGGCTTTAGTCATTGTGAATAATGAGTAGTGCATATAGGCAGTGAATCCTCATCTGTGGGAATAGCACCATTTCGTGGTTTTTTTTTTTTTTTGAGACGGAGTTTTGCTCTTGCTTCCCAGGCTGGAGTGCAATGGGGCAATCTCGGCTCACCGCAACCTCCACTTGCTGGGTTCAAGAGATTCTCCTGCCTCAGCCTCCTGAGTAGCTGTGATTACAGGCATGCGCTACCACGCCCTGCTAATTTTCTTATTTTTAGAAGAGACGGGGTTTCTCCATGTTGGTCAGGCTGGTCTCAAACTCCCGACCTCAGGTGGTCCACCAGCCTCGGCCTCCCAAAGTGCTTGGATTACAGGCGTGAGCCACCACGCCTGGCCATGAATAGCACCATTTCATGTTTTATTTAATACCTTTAGAAGTTTGCTTTGTGGACAATGAAAGAGAGTGACTGGTTATTTCTCTAGGATTTAGTATGTATAACTTTCTTTGTAACTTCAGAATATAGTTTAATATCTTTTATTTTGTTCAATATAGTCAAACATTACTTAAAGTTCTTTGGGAAATATCATCATTGGCAGAAAGTATCAAAGTGTATCAATTTGAGGGTCCAAATGGTAATAAAATTTTGGAGACTGTTAAAACAATATACCTTGAATATTTGGGGTGGAGTGATAGGGATGGAGTATTGGGGGTGGGGTTAGTTTTTAGAGAATAGCATCTTATCACTTAGCTTTAGAGCTTCGCTACTGGTGGGTTAGATTAGAAAAATGCAGTTTCTTCTTCCTATTTTTTTTTTTTTCTCTTTTTTGAGACAGGGTCTTGCTCTGTCACCCAGGCTGGAGTCCAGTAGCATGATCTTGGCTCACTGCAACCTTCACCTCTGGTCTCAAGCGATCCTCCCACCTCGGTCCCCTGAATAGTTGGGACTACAGGCGTGCACCACCACTCCTGGCTAATTTTTTTTGAGCTTTATTATTAGAGACGAGGTCTCACTGTGTTGCTCAGGCTGGTCTTGAACTCCTGAGCTCAAGGGATCCTCCTGCCTCAGCCTCCCAAAGTGCTGGGATTACAGGTGTGAGCCACCACACCTGGTCAATTTCTTATTATTAATCCAAAGTGTCTTACTTTAAACTTTTAAGTTTATTTTAAAAATTCAAGCCTAGGAATAACTTTTGTGAGAAAGGCAGAGTAGGTATTTTTATCTCAGGTGAACAGGTAAGAATAATGAGGTTTAGAAAGGTTTAATGACTGACCAAGATTTTATAAGGAAGTAAGTAGCAGAATTGCATTCACATATTTTTCTGAGTCCTAGTTTCTTTATACCATGTAGAAATATCCTGTTAATATCATCAAGCTGTTCATCAAACTCAAATGAGAATAACACATTATTTATAGAATAAAGGTTTTTGTTTGTTTGTTTTTGTTTTTTCTTCTTGAGACAGAATCTCTCTCTGTTGCCCAGGCTGGAGTGCAGTGGTGTGATCTTGGCTTACTGCAGCCTCTGCCTCCCAAGCTCAAGTGATCTTCCCACCTCAGCCCCCTGAGTAGCTGGGACTGCTGGCACATGCCAATATGCCCAGCTATTTTTTGTAGTTTTTGTAGAGATGGGGTTTCACCATGTTGCCCAGTCTGGTCTCGAACTCCTGAGCTCAAGCAATCCTCTCGCCTCGGCATCCCAAAGTGCTGGGATTACAGGTGTGAGCCACTGTGACTGGTCTAAAGTATTTTCATGTACGTTACTTTATTTGACTTTTACAACTGCTGTATCTAAGCCTTTGAGGTAGATGGAATCCCAGGTCACACAGTTACATGTTTTTGAGCCACGACAGAAGCCTAGTTTTCCAAACTTTAAATTTTGTGTTCTTGACCAGGCATGGTGGCTCACGCCTATAATCCCAGCGCTTTGGGAGGCGGAGGCAAGTGGATCACGAGGTCAGGAGATAATGTTCCTTTTAAGACTAGATAGTAAATGATATTAACATAGATTTTCTTCCTCGGTAATATTTTTCTCTTCTTAAAGCATTCCGACTCTCCATGGAGTAACTACCAGCCAGGAGACTGTCAGTAAATAATATGTGATAATAGAGCATATTCTTCCCCTAGTAAAGCTTCTTGCTGAAATTATTGCAATTGATAGTTTTCATCAATGCAACTCCAAACTGGTAGGCAGGACCCTATTGTCTTATAATTGCCTTATAATGATGATAACAATAATAGTATGAACCATTTACTTACTTGATGGATTCATAGATTTATTCATCCAGTATTCATTTGTTGCCTACTAGGCTAGGTATTCTGCTGGGTGCCAGGAATGTCCTTGAGAGCAAGACTAATTCCTACTCTCCTGGAGCTAACAGTCAAAGAAAACAGATAATTTAGCAAATAATTATAGTAACCAGTGAAGTAGGTATGATTGAGGAATTAAAGGAATATTTGGATAATATATGGAAGGAGGCTGGGGAAACTGTAGAAAAACTTGCCAGAGGAAACGAAGTTTAAGCTGAAGTCCAGGAATGTATAAAAAGAGATAAAGAAAAGTAATCCAGACCAGGAGAACAGTAAGTGTGAAGACCTGAAGGTGAAAGAAAGCATGGCAAGTCTGAGTCCAAAACTCCAATAAGACTGGAGAATTATGCAAATGATACTGAGGAGGGAGGCAGTCAGAGCCAAGTAGTGCCCTGTAGACTACAGAAAGGATTTTAGACTTTATCCATTGCAGAATTATAAGAGAGAAAGGACACATTTAAAAAAGTTATTTTTGGCCGGGCACGGTGGCTCACGCCTGTAATCCCAGCACTTTGGGCGACCGAGGTAGGTGGATCACCTGGGGTCAGGAGTTCGAGACCAGCCTTACCAACATGGGGAAACCCTGTCTCTACTAAAAATACAAAAATTAGCCGGACGTGGTGGCGCATGCCTGTAATCCCAGCTACTTGGGAGGCTGAGGCAGGAGAATCGCTTGAACCTGGGAGACGGAGGTTGCAGTGAGCCAAGATCGCGCCACTGCACTCCAGCCTGGGTGACAGAACGAGACTTCATCTCAAAAAAATAAAAAGTTATTTTTGACTTCAGTATTTATTTCATTATACCCACAGTTATCACTCAGAAAACAGGTACTATATATGATATTTACATTGATATAACATTAATCAAGGGGGACAAAACTGAATGAAAGGGAGACCAATTAGGAGGATGTTATAGGATGATGGTGGCTTGTGCCCGGGGAAGTAGAAGTGAATTGACAGATTAAAGATAGATATTTTGGAAGTAGAATTGGCCGAGCTTGATGAATAATGGATGTAGAGAGTGAGAGAAAGTGAAAAATGAAGAATGACCCTGGGTTTGGTGGTACCATCATCAAAATAGAGAACAGAGAAGGAGCGAGACTGAGTAGAAAGATCAGCTGAGTTTTAGACATATTAAGGACAAGGTAGTTGTATGTACAACTATAGAGGTCAGCAAAAAGATCTGGGATAGAGATACAAATTTGAGATTGTAAAATATATAGAGAAAGGAGAGTGTACAAGCAGAACTAAAAGGACAGTCCCCATTTAAGGGTCTAAGGTGATGAAGGATGAGCCTGCAAAGATGTTTAAATGGTGTGTTTGCGGGGATAAGAGGAAAAACAAGAGAATGTGGCTTCATGGCAAGAAAAGTCTTCCAGGACAGAAGAGTGAATGATACTATCAGGTGCTGTTGAGCAGTGGAGCCAAAAAAGATAGGTGGACTAAAAATGCAGTGAAGCTTCATTACCCTGGCGTTATACATTACATTGGCAGTGTGCCAAGAATGGTTTAAATGGGCTGGTAAGGTCTAGGGATATTTATAGAGTGTTGAAGAATGAGTAGGAAGTGAGAAATTAGAGACATTGGATGTAGATAACTCATTCAAGAAGTGTGGTTGTGAAGGGAAATAAAATTGATAAGGCAGTATTTGAAGAGGGATGTGTAGTTATTAAGGGAATTTATTTCCTTATCTGAAGCTGGAATAGACTTGAATGTGTTCAGAATGCTAATCAGGAAGATCATTAAGAACATGAAGAGTCAAGAGATAATGAGTAGATCAGAGAAGGCTGAATGGAATGGGCTTCACCTGATATTGTAATGTATTACCAGGTATTACCAGCCTAGTTGCTGGAAGGTTATGAGTAAAATAATTTATGGTTATCTGTCTAAATGGGAGTACTCTTGCCTCAGCCAAGTTTCCTGATTGTGTAGCTTTTCTCCCCAACTTGCTGTGAATATTCCCTGGGAAAAGGAGGATTGAGAAATCATTGCTCCTTGGACTACCTTTATGTGGTTGGGCCCTTCTTGTTCCACTGTGCCTTAGTTGTCACAGAATGTACTGATCTGGAGTCCTGGGCATCAAATGCAGGCTTTTGTATAGGTGTAAGGAAGTCGGAAGGGATGGATTTCCACGGATGCGCTTCCGTGCCTCTAAAGGAATGCAGAGAGGGGCATATATGCATTTTAGGAAATTTTATTATTGTTAGCCAAAACTGTAGTCTACCATATTACCCATTTAAACTATTCAAGAAGTCAGAACTGTCATGTAGATTCAAAGAACAAATATTTCCAGTTTTATATAGATTGTTTCAGAAAGTAGAAAAAGAGGATATATTACCTTAGCACATTTTATGAGTGTCTTCGTCTGTTCGTGCTGCTATAAAAAAATACCACAGATTGGATCATTTATAAAGAACAGACATTTATTTTCTCACAGTCCTGGAGTCTGAGAAGTCCAAGATCAAGGTGTTGGCATTTGTGTGGTGAGTGCCTTCTTGCTGTTTCTTCACATGGTGGAGGATGGAAAGGCAAAAAGGGCTGAAAGCTGTATGAAGCCTCTTTTTTTTCTTTTAATTTTGATTTTTTTGAGATGGGGTCTTGCTCTGTTGGCCAAGCTGACCTCAGACTCCTGGGCTTAAGGGATTCTCCTGCCTCAATCTCCTGAGTAGCTGGGACTACAGGTGCACATCACCATGCCTGGCTTAAAGCCTTATGAAGGCCTTAATCCCGTTTACAAGAGAGAAGGCCTCATGACCTAATCACCTCCTACAGGCCCCACCTCGTAATACTATCACATTGGATTTTAAAGTCCAATGTGAATTTTGGACGAGACACAAACATTGAAACCTTAGCAGTGAGGATAGTATAAGTATGAAGTCAAAATTGGACAAGAACAATTTGAGACGAGAAAGTATATAGGCCAGTCTTACTTATTAACATACAGGCAAATATCCTAAATAAAAGTTTCTAGGCCTAGATACTTTTATTAGTGAAAGCTGTTAATATTTAAGGAAGAAATAACACCAGTCTTACATAATTTCTTTCAGAAAATAGAGGAGTAAGGAACAGTTCCCAGTCAGTTTTAGGAGACCGGCATAATTGTGATATAAAAATCTGACAAAGAAATTATAAGAAAATTAGAGATTATTATCCCTTATGAAAATAGGTGCAAAAATCATTAAAAAGATATTAGCTAATAGAATCTAGCAATGTATTTGATAAAATTGAAGTTAGGTTGGGCACGGTGGCTCACGCCTGTAATCCCAGCACTTTGAGAGACCAAGGCGGGTGGATCACCTGAGGTCAGGAGTTTGAGACCAGCCTGGCTAACATGGTGAAACCCCGTCGCTACTAAAAATACAAAAATTAGCCAGGCATGGTGGCACATGCTTGTAAACCCAGTTACTTGGGAGGCTGAGGCAGGAAAATCACTTGAACCTGGGAGGCAGAGGGTGCAGTGAGCAGAGATCACGCCACTGCATTCCAGTCTGGGTGATGGAGCAAGGCTCTATCTCAAAAAAAAAAAAAAAAAAAAGTTGACTTTAACTCAGAAATGCAAAATTAGTTTAATCTTAGAAAATCAATCACTGTAATTTGCCACATTAACAGAAGAGAAAAACTATGTAAGCATTTCAGTAGATGCAGAGAAAGTATTTGACATAATCCATGCCCATTTGTGAGAAAGACTATGAACAAATTAGGAATAGAAGAGAACTTGATAAAAAGTTATCCATGAAAAACCTATAACTAACATAATATTAAATATTCAAAATGTTAAATGCTTTTCTTGTAAGATCAGATGAGAAGCAAGACGAGGATGTCTACCACTTCATTTAACATCTTATAGAAAATTCTAGAAAATGGAAAGAAGTAAAGCTCCCTATTATAGAAGATATGATTGTTTATATAGAAAAAATCTAAGGAATGTACAAAACATTTATGATTAATAATAATTTTACCAAAGTATAGGATACATGGTCAATATAAAAATTAATTGAATTTCTATAAACATGCAAGCAATTGGAAAATGAAATAAAAGTTTTTATTTATAATAGCTTTAAAAAATCTACTTAGGGATGAGCTTAATAAAAGGAGTGCAAGGTGTTTTTGTTAAAAACGATAAAACATTGCTTAGAGTAATTAAAGAACTCGGTAAATGGAGAAGTACTATGTTCATGTATTATAAGACTTGATATTTTGAGATATCACTTCTTTCCAAATTGATGTATAATCCCAGCAGGCTTTTTTTTTTTTGGTAAAAATTAATAATTGGATTCAAAAATTCAAATCGAAATGCAAGAATCTAGAATATCTAAAGCAATCTTGGAAAATAATAAAGTTAAAGGACTGTACAATCTGACTTTAGGACTAAATATAAAACCACAGAATCATGATAGTGTGGTGCTTGCATAGGGCAGAAAAATAGATCAGTAGGATGCAATAGAGAGCCCAGAAAGGTTAAAAAAAAAATTGTTAGGGAAAGGACAGTGTTTTCAATAAATGGTATTGAAATAAGTGGATATCCATATGAAAAAAAATGAACCTTAATTTCATCTCACATACTACCTCAAAATTAATTTTCACTCATCAAAAGGCTCTACTGGCCTGGCATGGTGGCTCACGCCTGTAATCCCAACACTTTGGGAGGTTGAGGCAGGTGGATCACCTGAGGTCAGGAGTTCTAGACCAACTTGACCAATATGGTGAAAACCCATCTCTACTAAGAATATAAAAATTAGCTGGGCATGGTGATGGGTGCCTGTAATCCCAGCTACTTGAGAGGCTGGGGCAGGAAAATCACTTGAACCCAGGAGGTGGAGGTTGCCGCACGCCGAGATTGCACCACTGCGCTCCAGCCTGGGTGACAGAGCGAGACTCCATCTCAAAAAAAAAAAAAAAAAAAGGCACCACCAATAACTTTAGTAGGCAAGCCACAGATTAGAACATATTTATAAAACACATATGACAAAGGACTTGTATTTAGAAGATTATGAAGAGCTCTTATAATTCAATAGTAAAAAGATAACTCAATTTTTAAAAAGGTAAAAAAATTTTAAGATACTTCACAAAGGAATATATATTGATGGTTAATAAGCACATGAAAAGATACTCAACATCGTTAGTCATCAGGAAAATGATTAAAGCCACAATGAGATACCCGTACACACCTAAATGGCTAAAATGTAAAATGACTAAAATATAAAAAGCTGATACCATGTATTGGCATGAATGTAGAGTAGTTCGAACTTTCTTATATTATTAATGTGAACATAACATGTATTAGCTAGGATGTGAAGCAGTTGAAACTCTCATACATTGTTAATGGGAATGTAGCATGGTATAATCACTTTAGAAAAAGGTCTGGTAGCTTCTTATAAATCTAAATATATATCTACCCTTTAACTGAGTAATTCTACACTTTTAGGGATTTACCCAAGAGAAGTGAAATATAGCTTGTCAAAAAACATGTTATAGGAATGTTAATAGCTGAAAAATGGAATTGGAGAAACGATAAATTAACTGGGGTATATTATTCATATTGCCATTGTTACCTGCAACAACATGGATAAATCTCACAAATACTATGCTGAGTTGAAGAAGCCTATGTAAAAAGGTTTATATTTGTATGGTTCCATTCATATGAAGTTTTGAGGAAGTAAAAGTAATCTGTGGTGACATAATGAGAATAATATTTGCTTGGGGTAGGAAGATAGTGGTTTGTTTGGGGATTTACGAAGAAAGGACATGGTGGAACTTTCTGGATTGATGGACATGTTCTATATTTTGATAGAGATTTAGGTTATCTGAGTATATGTACTTAACAGACTTATCAATTGGCATACGTAAGATTAAGTAATTTAAGATTTGTACAGTTGAATGTTTGTAAATTTACCTAGAAAAACACACAAAAGAATTGCAATCAAATACTGAATTTTAGCAAAAATAATTTTATAAAATAAGCGAATTTTACAAAAATAAGGCATATTAAACTTATTGTGAAAAGTAAACCGGCTGGGCGTGATGGCTGACACCTGTAATCTCAGCACTGTGGGAGACCAAGGTGGGAGGATCACTTGAGGTCAGGAGTTTGAGACCAGCCTGGCCAACATGGTGAACCCCTGTCTCTACTAAAAATACAAAAAAATTAGCTGGGCATGGTGGTGCATGCCTGTAATCCCAGCTGGAGGCTGAGGCAGTAGAATCGCTTGAACCCAGGAAGTGGAGGTTGCAGTGAACCGAGATCGGCCAGCCTGGGTGACAGCGTGAGACTCCATCTCAAAAAAAAAAAAAAAAGAAAAGAAAAAAGCAAATCTATAAAATGTTTAGAAGAAAATATAAGCACATATATTCATGACTGTGTATGAGGGATATATTTCTTACATGGACAGTTGTTTTGGAGAGCAATTTGGAATATCCAGTACTTTATGACTCAGTAGTTCAACATCCAAGAAACTTTTTCTACATGCGCACTAGGAAACAACTACAAGAATGTTTACAAGAGTATTGTTTTAATGGAGAAGAAAAAGATGGAAAGAAAATTAAATTTCCATTTACTAGAGAATAGATAAATAAATATTGGTATATTCATAGACTGGACCACTGTCTGAAGATCAGTGAACTAAAGTGAAATATATCCACATGGGTGAATCTCCCAGTTTTCATAATGTTGGCTGATGTCAACAGAGGAATACATATAATATAATACCATGTATATATAATTTTAAAACATGTAAAACAATACTACTAATTTTTTACAAATCCAAAAACACGTATTGAAAATATTTAAAAAATTAAGAATAGTTGTTAATTTAGGACTGGTGGGAGGTGGGACTTGATACACTTGGAAAGCAAGTCACAGGGGCCCCAGCTGTTATCGTAAAGGTTATTTCTTATGCCAGTGGTGTGTGAAGTCATCTCTTTGTTATATTATTAACTATACTACTTTATTTGTCTAAAATATTTTCTAGTTATCACCCACTGCCCCTAATCCTATTTCATTCCTTCTGTATGCTTGCCACTAATGCCCTTTACAATTCAGCAGCAGTTAATGGCTGGCCTAGAGTGCCTGTAATCTACACTGGGGAGATGGTTCCATCTAGTGGGAAAAATGTTGCATGTATTCTATGAGACATTCCTTTTAGGAAGGAAGGATAAAGAAGTAATAGTTTGCCTGAGTGCTTTTATTTCACAAAAATTTAAGAGACAGGCTGGGCATGGTGGCTCACACCTGTAATCCCAGTACTTTGGGAGGCCGAGGCGGGCGGATCACGAGGTCAGGAGATCGAGACCATCCTGGCTAACACGGTGAAACCCCGTCTCTACTAAAAAAAAAAAAAAAAAAAAAAAAAAAAAATTAGCCAGGCGTGGTGGCGGGTGCCTGTAGTCCCAGCTACTCAGGAGGCTGAGACAGGAGAAAGGCGTGAACCTGGGAGGTGGAGCTTGCAGTGAGCCAAGATTGCGCCACTGCACTCCAGCCTGGGAGACAAAATGAGACTCCGTCTCAAAAAAAAAAAAAAATAAATAAAATTTAAGAGGCAAAGAAAAAGTTGTTATTTAGAAATATGTGGCCTTTTCCATTATTAAGATAATGCTGTGAATTTCCTAGGACATTTAGGTAGACCAACAGGACTCAGATGGGTTCTTATTTCTAACTTGCATATGTTTTGTTTTTCAGAAGGAGTTGAGCCTTCCAAGAAGAGGCAGCTTGTAAGTAGATGATTATTACCATTATGATTATGATCTCCTACTTAGGAACCCCTCTTGGGAACATTTCCCACTATCATGTGGAGGAATCCCGCTCAGTACACAATTTCTTTCTGTGTACTCCTATCTGAGCTAGGGAAGCCAGCAGGCCAACTGACTTCTCCCACTAGGTCAGATCTTCCCCTCCTCCCCATTCCTCCCGACCTCCAAACCTCTTCCCTCTCAGTTTCTACATAGCATTCTGGGAAAGTTACAACTTAAATATTCATCACAGTCTTATACTTGTGCTTTGGGATTTACTGAGTTTTCGTAGACTCAAGCTAAGGAAGTAGGAATATTAAAATGGAAACCCTTTGCATTTACATCTATCCGGTAACATGGTATGAGGAGAAGACCAACTTTTCTGATAAGTTGAGGCAAGGCCAGCTAAGTTTGGAGACTATGTTGAATGGAATAGGTTCCCAACCTGTTTGGTTTTTTTCTGGCTTCAGGGTTAGGGGAGATTAATAAATAGTCTTTGCCCCTGGATTTTAATTTCTTAAATTCTCTTGGACTGCTTTTCCTCTAGGAATTCTGTTGGGGCAGTATTAGAAATTTGGCCAATCAGAATCTCCTGGAATGTTTGTTAAAGTGCAGAGTGTGAACTTAATGCATTAAAATCTCTGTGTTGGGGCCCAAAAACCTGTACTGTATATACCTAAAACATACTCATATTTACCATGATTTACTAGTAAAGTCACATCTGGGGAACCCTAAGGAAATAGAGCTGTGATAAAACAATGGCTTTTAAACTTTTCCTTAACAAAAAAAGAGATGTAATTAAGGAGGAGATCACAACAGCATTCATATTTATTAAGTATACTTTATATACACATCATATGCAATTTTTAAATGTTTAAATGAAACATGTAGTAATTCTTTCTGTTACTGTCCATTTTAGGATTTTGTTTTGTGAAAAATGCTCTAGTGATTAAATTTTCCTCTGAGGTTTTTGTGAAGCCTTTTGGGCTGTTTACGAAAACTTATTTTGGTTTGATATGAAGAGGCTTGAGTCAGAAAACTCATAAGGTTCAGTCTTGACCATGCCATTTAACTAGCTTTGTAAACCTAGACAAATCACTTTATCTTCTTAAACCTCAGTTGCCTTATCTATAAAATGAAGATAATGTTACCTGTGTTTTCTTCTTACTAAGCCTGTTAGAAGGATCACTTAATATATGTATAGTGCTTTATTACTTATAGTTTAATTTTAATATATATTAGTTTTAGAATTCTTAATGGGTTAAATTTGGATGAATTCTATTATTTAAGAGGCACATTTTAAATTTTAAATTCAGTTTCTAGCAGTGGATATTCAGTCTAGCTTCACAAGTGTCCTGAGTCTTCTGTAAATGGCAAGGGCTCTACCAGGACTCTTAGAGGAATGAGACACCAAATAGGTATGCATAACTGAAAAGGAGTAGCTTTTCAGCATCATAGTCAGGAAATATTTGTACTTGGTCATTTTTCTACTATTTCTGCCCCCCCCGCTTTTTTTTGGTTGCTTCTATTTGAAAACTGCCTGAGATTTGCCTTTTCTTAGTATTAAGTGAAATAAATTAAGGCCTGAGACAGGTAGCTTCTTGCAGAAATGTGTGTCCTCAATGAATGGAGTTGCTGGGAAGAAGGAGAAGGAGGAGTATTCTTATTTTTATTTTATACCAGAATAATTTTTTGGTCATTTTAGTGATATCTAAAGTTAGGCCTACTCTAACTGCCTTAAAAACGTTTAATTAATAAGGATCAGAAATAGATTTTCCCTCCTCTTTTTTGATAAAGTAACTCACATTTAAACAATTGATCACTCAGTAAATACACAGTAATATCTACTCTGGGTCAGGTGCGGTGGCTCACACCTATAGTCCCAGCACTTTGGGAGGCTGAGGTAGGTGGATCACCTGAGGTCAGTAGTTCGAGACCAGCCTGACCAATATGGTAAAACCCTGTCTCTACTAAAAATAAAAATAAAAATTAGCCGGGCGTCATGGCGTGCGCCTGTAGTCCCAGTTACTCAGGGGGCTGAGACAGGAGAATTGCTTGAATCCAGGAGACGGAGGTTGCAGTGAGCTGAGATCATGCCACTGCACTCCAGCCTGGGCGACAGAGTGATGCGCCGTCAAAAAATAAATAAATAAATAAATAAAAAAGCCTACTCTGTGCTGGGTAGAGTGATCTAAGTTCTGAGGCTGTTAAGATTCAATTAGATAAATTCTTCTCTTTTGAAGAGCTTACACTTAAGTAAGCCAGAAGTTCTTCAGTTCTTTAATATAAACAATATCCTTTCTTATCTTTAACATTAGAGGAGTCGAAAAAGTTTTGTTCTGGAAGGAAGCAAGGAAACATGGGTACTAATATAGGCTTTGCCACTAACAAATTATGTGTGGCTTTAAAACAGGAGCTCCCACTTCTGGACCTGAATTGCCATACTTGTAAAATGAAGGGATTGGCTACCTGATCTCTATGCTTAGTCATCTCCCCAAACAGTTAAAGTTCCATGGTACCTCTTGTACACAGAGCTGGGCAAGTCTTTGTAGGGAGTGTGCAGTAGGAGGCAAAGTACTGCTTAGCATTTGTAGTAAAGAAAACAGGTAAGAACCACAAAACAAATATTTGAATAAGTTTAATTACTACAAAATTTGTTGTGTGGAAAAACTGATGTTAATAAAATGAGTGACTTACCATTTGCTCCACTGTTTCTCGTCCTCATAGCCTGATCTGGAAAATTTTTAAAGTTTCTATAATTGTCATTTAAGTCTTGGTCAGAAGGAGGGGGCATCATATTTGTGTCCCTGTTTGCCTTTCTTAGAATGGTTCTCCCAAGAGCGAATCCTATGGTGTGCTCATTCCAGGTTATAAAGGCCCGTTTCCTCTGATATATCCTTCATGGACATAGAGAAATTTAGAATTTGCCTCTAGTTTGGTGTTCTTGTCCTTTGAGAGAGCGTTTTTGTTAATTAATTTTTGAGGCTTTCAATTGCTGTGCTTTTCACGTAATATGTTAGTTGCATTAAAATGGACAGGAACTCAAATATGAGTTTCTAGACTTATGTGACAACTTGGCATTATACAAAATACACATTCTTCCACTCAACAAGTAATTCCTCCAAAGTCTCCAAATTGGTAAGTGGAAGTATAGCATAAAAATTAACAGCTTGGGTTTGCAAGTCAGGCAGATGTGGGTTTCAGTCACGGCACTATTACTTACTAGATGTTTTTTGGTAAAATCAGTTACTATATTTTTGTCTTTTTGCCTCCATTCACTTTGTCATTTGCTCAAATCTTTCCATCCATGCATCCATCATACTATATTATTTTAGTTCCAGTTAGGTGTAGGCACTATTCTAGATACTGGAGATACAGTAGTGAATAAAGCAGACAAGGTCCCTGTGCTCATGGAGTTTCCATTCTACTTAAGAGAGACAAAAACATGTATGATATGCCATATGGTACTTACTGCTATGAAGAAAAATAAAGCCAGATATCAGAGAGGAGGATGTGTGTTTCTGTGGGGGTGAGGGTTTAAATTTTAAATTTTAAATTGAATTGTCTAGGCTGGGTGTGGTGGTTCACACCTGTAATCCGAGCACTTTGAGAGACTAAGGCAGGAGGATCGCTTGAGTTCAGGAGTTTGAGAACAGCCTGGGCAACATAGTGAGACCCTGTCTCTACAGAAAAATTTTAAAAATCAAAAAATTTTGTATTGTCCAGGAATTTTCTCATTAAGGCAACATTTGAGCAGAGAACAGGAGTCTGGAATGAGTGATACTGAGATAGAGATAGATCGATAAATATATATGTATATATTATATATATTTATATACTTATATAAGTATACATATATATTTATATATTGTATACATATTTATATATGTATCTATAAGTACACACACACACACACACACACACACACACACACATTTATAGTGACATTGGTCAGATTAGGGAAGAGAGCTGTTACATTCTAATACGCAAAATGCAAACATCATCTATGCCTGCCACGATAAGGGCTTTATTGGGGCAAGGTGGTTATGAAAGTTCTTTTGGCCTGGCTCATACCATTTATTTTAGATGTAGCTTCCTGAAACTAAATCATTTTCATTTTTAGAAAGCTATTTCATATTTAAACCCATCTGGGTATTTTTTTAATGCATTAAAAATGTAGTTTAGAATATCAGACCTAAGGGAGTTGATAACTTTGTTCAAAGTACAATATCTGTGAAAAGAAGATTTTGAAGTTCTAAAGTTACTTGTATCTGTTTACCCAGGCTAGAAGGGTTTTATATTTTACTTTTTCATAATTGAAGCAGCTCTGAATGGCTTTTCTTGCCCAATGCTATAGTGGGGGCCTCTTTTTGATGATTCCTTTCAAATAGGATTGTTTCTTTTGCTGTTGTTGTTATTTTGTTTGTTTTTGTGACAGGGTCTCATTCTTTAGCCTAGGCTGGAGTGCAGTGGCGCAGTCTCAGCTCACTGCAGCCTGGTCCTCCCTGGCCTCAGGAGATCTTCCCATCACAGCCTCCTGAGTAGCTGGCACCACAGGCACCTGCCACCACATCTGGCTAATTTTTGTATTTTTTGTAGAGATGGGGTTTCACTATGTTACTCAGGCTGGTCTGGAACTCCTGAGCTCAAGCTATCTGCCTACCTTGGCTTCCCAAAGTGCTTAGATTACAGGCATGAACCACAATGCCTGGCGACTGTTTATTTTGTTTGTGAATTTCAGCACCAGTACCTAGACCCTGCATTTGGGAGCTTAATGTAAATAATGCTTATGTCTCCAGTTACCCTGAAAGTAAAGCTTTTCTAATACCCATTAGGCTTAAGATAATTTTCCTCATATTTCATGAAATGTCTTGCTTTATTTCTTAGAGGCTATGAGCAGTCAATTGAGATAACAGACTGTAGGAGTGGAGAGGTAGCTGTTGGTTGCATTCATCATGGGGTATGTGTATATGTGTGTGTTGATATTATTGGCATTGCTGGCTTGTAGTCTTTAGAGCCCTTGGGGATAGTTAACCTTTTATTTTGTCAGCTTATTCATTTGGGCAGTGGACTTAGATACCAGATATTGGATGAAAGTTAATGTCTGGTGTCTGCAGTGATAGGCACTGCATAGTGGGCAGGGAGGAGTTCCTGGGCCCCAGGGATGTGATGTGTCAAACTTTGTTCCTATGAAACTGACAGTGTCATGTACTTTCCCATTCTGATGCAACTTGATGCCTGGATCAATGCTTCTGGAAAATGTGCTAAAAAGAGATACCACCTGCTGCATACACATAATAAACCCTTTGTTGAGGTATCAGTGGCGTCTGATATAGGGCTTTAGGTTTTCTGTGGGGCTTTGAAAATCAGGAAATTTTGCAATCTTTCAAGACTCTAAAGCCCAGAGTGATAGCTTTGTGTTACATTTAAGACCCTGTCTTTTAAAAGTTGGTGGGAAGTAATTTCATATAGATTCTCTAAGTGTCCAATGGGAAGGCAGGACGTAGCAGAGGTTGGGAGGGAAGTAGCCATAGTCATCACTCATATCCCTACAGGGAACCAGTTTGTTGTTAAAAAATGGATGTAGTTGTTGGCGAGCTTTACCTGTGTAGGTGGGATCTGAAAATCCTTGAGAACCTGTTTTTGTTACTGTATGTTGAGAATAGTTGTCATGCTCATTATCCCCACATTTATATCGCTAGATCTCATAACTGTCCATTCACCATAATGTGACTGAATATTTCAGAGACATCTGAACTGCAGCATTTATGAATCTGAGTCATTGTCTTTCTCAAAAATCAGGTCCTCTCTTATACTCTAGCTTATTAAATGGTACTGCTTCCTCAAGATAGAAAATTTAGTTATTTTTGTTGCCATGCTCTTCCTTACACTCACAAGTCTTTTCTGTTATACCTCTCAAATATCTCTTGGTGTTCTGTCTTTATTTTTATTTTATTTTATTTTTTTGAGACTGAGTCTCGCTCTGTGGTCCAAGCTGGAGTACAGTGGCGCCATCTGGGCTCACTGCAAGCTCCGCCTCCCGGGTTCACACCATTCTCCCACCTCAGCCTCCTGAGTAGCTGGGACTACAGGCCCCCACCACCACGCCCGGCTAATTTTTTGTGTTTTTAGTAGAGACCGGGTATCACTCTGTTAGCCAGTATGGTCTCGATCTGCTGAACTTGTGATCCACCCACCTCGGCCTCCCAAAGTGCTGGGATTACAGGCGTGAGCCACCGCGCGCGGCCTCTTTTTTTTTTTTTTTTTTTTTTTTTTTTTTTTTTTTGAGATGGAGTCTTGCTCTCTCGCCCAGGCTGGAGTGCAATGGCACAATCTCGCCTCACTGCAACCTCCGCCTCCCAGGTTCAAGTGATTCTTCCGCCTCAGCCTCCCCAGTAGCTGGTACTACAGATGTGTGCACCACGCCTGGCTAATTTTTTGTATTTTTAGTAGAGACGGGGTTTCACCACGTTAGCCAGGATGGTCTCAATCTGACCTCATCATCCATCCGCCTCGGCCTCCCAAGTGCTGGGATTACAGGCCTGAGCCACTGTGCCCGGCTGGTGTTCTCTCTTTCTTTATACTACCACTGGTTTGTCCAGATAGTCACAGCCATTGTAATCTCTTGCCTCTGCTACTGCCATAACCTCCTAACTGGCCTTTCTTTATCTGGCATTGCTCACCCTCAGTCTACCTAACTATCATACAATAGCCAGGAAAAGCTTTTTAAAATGCGGATTTCATTATTAGATATTAATTTAAACTTTTTTGGTGAAATTTTTTTTTTTTTGAAACAGAATCTCACTTTGTCACCCAGGTTGGAGTACAGTGGTGCGATCACGGCTCAGTGCAGCCCCAGCCTTCCTGGGCTCAGGTGGTACTCGCACCTCAGTCTCCCAAGTAGCTGGGACCACAGGTGCACGCCGCCACACCCAGCTAATTTTTGTACTTCTTGTAGAGGTGGGGTTTTGCCATGTTGCCCTGGCTGGTCTCAAACTCCTGGGCTAAAACTACCTGCCTTCCTCGGCCTTCCGAGGTGCTGAGATTACAGGTGTGAGCCTCTGCACCTGGCCTTTGGTGAATTTTTTCTTACTCTTAGGATCACACCTGACTATCTATACAGTGTGGTTGCTATATTTTTCTCCATGTTTTACACAATGTGTTCTCTGTGCCTGGAATTTTTGTTTTGTTTCGTTTTGTTTTGTTTTTTTGAGGCAGAATCTCACTCTGTTGCCAGGCTGGAGTACAGTGACGCAATCTTGGCTCACTGCAACCTCCACCTCCTGGGTTCAAGCAATTCTCTTGTCTCAGCCTCCTGAGTAGCTGGGACTACAGGTGCACGCCATGACACCCAGCTAATTTTTTTTTTTTATTTTTAGTAGAGCCAGGGTTTCACCACATTGGTCAGGCTGGTCTCGAACTCCCAACCTCAGGTGATTAAGCAATTCTCCTGCCTCAGCCTCCCAAGTAGCTGGGACTACAGGTGCGCTCCACCACGCTGAGCTAATTTTTATATTTTTAGGGTTTCACCATGTTGGCCATGATGGTCTCAATCTTTTGACCTCGTGATCCGCCTGCCTCGGCCTCCCAAAAGTGCTGGGATTACAGGCATGAGCCCCCGTGCCCAGCTGGAATGTTCTTTTTCCATCTATACCAATCTAGTTCCTACACACCTTTCAAGTCCCAGCTTACACCTCACTTCCTTATGAAAGGCGTTCCTGACCTCACCCAAACCTTGCTGTCTGTAGACTAAGTTGGGTTTCCCAGAACATACTTTCAATAAAGCCTCTACTTTTTCTTCATAGCTCTTACATCAGTTGTAAATAAAGAACTATTTGTCTGCCTTTTCCCGTTGTGTAGTATGTAAGTATTAGCTCAGGCTGCTGTAACAAAATACCACATGCTTAAATAACAAAAATTTATTTTCTTACAGTTATGCAAACTAGTAGTCCAAGAAGGTGACAACATGCTAAGTTTCTGGTAAACCTCTCTTCCTGGCTTGCAGAGAGTGGCCTTCTTGCTGTGTGCTCACATGGCCTTTATGTGGTACACCAGCCTGAGGATAGGGGCATAGATCTGTCTCTTCTTCTTTTTCTTCTTCCTTCTCCCTCCTTCCTTATTTTTTCCTTCATTTTCAAGCCCAACAGTCCTATAGGATTAGAGCCACCCCTATGACCTCATTTAACCTTAATTACTTCCTAAAGAACCTATATGGAAATATAGTCAGATTGGGGGTAAAAGCTTTAACATGAATTTTGGGGAGACACAGTTTAGTCCATAGCAGATGGTAAGCTCCGTGAGGTCAGGACCATGTTGTGCGGTACAATATGCTGATCCCAGAGCCTACTATAGAGTTTAACACAAATTGGCAATCATTTGAACTTGTTCCAAACATTGGTATGGTCTGGCACAAGAATACAAATAGAGGTATACACGTTTAATCATTTAAAATAGAGCTACCAAATTGTAAAATAAAATAAATGCTTTGTCCTCCTACCTCTAGAAATATAGTTGCATAATAACAAATTTTGAAATATGTGTAAAGCTATTGATTTTTAAAAAATAAGCACATGTTAAATATTTAACTCATTGTTAGTAAGGAAATCTGGCAGATATATTAGCCAGTTCAAAGAAGTAAAAGAACCACAAAGTGATATGTGGTATGTGTATGTGTAGTGTTGAAATAAATGTATTATTTATTATAAAATTGAGTTTTTCCATGGAGAGAAGGGAAGTCAGTTGCACCTTCACTGTACAGAATTGATCAGCATGTCTATAGACAAACATTATTTTGTGCACTGGATGTACTAGCTCACACCTGTAATCCCAGCACTTTGGGAGGCTGAGGCAGGAAGATCACTTGAGCCCAGGAGTTTGAGCCCAGCCTGGGCAATGTAGTGAGACCCTGTCTCTGCAAAAGTTTTTTTAAAAAAATTAGCCAGGTGTGGTGGTGACTGCCTGTAGTCCTAGCTACTTAGGGGGCTGAAGTGGGAAGGTTGAGCCTGCAGTGAGCCGTGATTGTGCCACTGTACTCCACCCTGGGTGACAGAGAGAGACCGTTTCAAAACAAAACAAAAAAAAGAAATTATTTCACATAACGTCAGTTACCTACCTATAACTTACAGAGTTGTAAAGTAGCTCAAAGACAATAAAAGACAAACTAGAAGAGTATTCTCTAAACAATATGCATAGTTTTTTATTGGAAATATCTAGTAACCTTTTTTTCTTTTTTAACTTTTTCCAATTTTTTTTTTTATAATCTCCTACCTTTTCATCTAAAATAATTTGAAACGTTTTTGTTCACAAAACAAGGGTGGTCTCATTGGGTTTGGCCTGATTATTTGCATAGTGTGGCCAGAATATTAATTTATCATAAAGCCTTCTTAAATTTACTTTGCTGTAAATTTTTATAAAGAATCTCAGATTGGACTTTTAAAGGCCTCTATTATTTGTATTTTGAGGCTAGGAAGGCAAGCCTAAGAAATACCACATTTCACTTGTAATAACTATAAATTTGGGTGAATTCCTAAGGGTCCTGGGCCTTCCAGGAAGTGGCCTTCCTTACCATCTGTAAGTCTGGACCCTGTAAAGCCAGATACCAGGCCAGTTTTCCCAGGAAGGTTTTGTAAGTATTGGCTCCATAAAGTCAACCATAGTTCCTTAAAAGTGGTTTGTTATACCTGATCAAATAAGCATGATTCTCAAATGTGACCTTTCAGGCAAGCTCTTTGTTGGACAACCATTTTTTACAATTATATTCTGGTCAAAAGGAGAACAGATTCTTGTTTAGCCCTATTCAAATAACCATATTGCCTTGAACTGTAAGGAGACTCAGTAAGACGTTCTTAGTTCTGGGTTAGGGGAGGGTCAGTGAGAATCAGATGTGATTTAGGAATGTTTCATTTTACAAGAGCAAAGTCTACTCAATTGTTAAGAGTTATAGATAGCCTAACAAGGAATACAACTGGCTCCCTTGCATATTAGAAAATGGACATTAAAATAATATTTCAAACAAATTACTATAATCATTTCTTATAGTTCATACCGTTCTGTGTACCTAATTCTCATTTCACTGGATCTTACGTTAGTAGTCGGCTTCTTAACTAAAAAAAGTTCTGGAAATTCTGACTCATTCCACTGGAATGATCTGGAAGTTGTCCAGTTGTCCAAGCAATGCTATTGGAAGCCTGTCTATTCTTTGATGTGTCAGTAGTTTTAAAATACCTGCCGCAGTCCTTTTCCGTGGAGCTCTGAGACAACCCTTCTTTGTTGAAGACACAGACTCTGGCTTCTAGCTGATTGTAGAGCCTTCAGACAGGCCTCAGCACAAAACAGAATCTCTCTGCATGTGACAGAGTCTCATATCATAAGAATAATGCAACTAACAAGGAAATTAAGTTGTTTTTGTCACATGTAAAATGAGAGTAATAAGGCCAGTCCAAAAACTTATAGCAAACTGTAAGAGATTATTGCAAATAAGACAGTGAAGGTTACATCTGATTTAGAAAACATAGATAAACATAATTTTTAGAGAGGGAAAAATCTTTATGTATAACTTATAATATTCTTGTGGTATTATACAGACACCAAAAACATACCAAGAATATACTAAGGACATCAAGTAAAGAGATTCAATGGGTCTGGAATAAGTCCTATACATCTATATTTTTATAAAACTCCAGTCCTATACATCTATATTTTTATAAAACTCCACTGACCTAGAAGGTGCTGGATTGAAATGTTAAAAGTAAGGTTGTTACCAAGTAAACATTTTCAGTTTTTATTATTTATTTATTTATTTATTTTAGACAAGGTCTTGCTCTGTTGCCCAGGCTGGAGTGCAGTGGCTCTGTCATAGCTCACGGCAGCCTCAACCTCCTGGGCTCAAGCGATCCTCCTGTTTCAGCTTCTCAGGTAGCTGGGACTGTAAGCATGCATCACCATGCCCAGCTTATTTATTTCATTTAATTTATTTTTTATTTTATTTTAATTTTTTGCAGGGGGCGGGGTAGAGATAGGGTCTTGTAATGTTCCCTAGGCTGGTCTCTAACTCCTGGGCTCAAGTGATCCTTCTGCCTCAGCCTCCCAAAACGTTGGGATTGCAGATGTGAGCCACCGCACCTGGCCAGTATTTTAGATAATAACTGAAATTAAGACTGAAAACACTTCTTCCTGTAGGATATTTTAAAAAAAAAAAAAAAGACTGAAAACACTAAACTTTTGTTTCCTAAAATCTGGCAGAGTTCTGTCAGGACTCAGAAACGTTATGGATAATGAGGACATTGACAAATCTCTAGGAGTTTTCTATTAATCATACAATAACTAGAATATTTATAGTAATAGCATTTTACCCATACAACTTTAACCTAGGGAACACTGAACATGTCTTCTG
Organism: Homo sapiens; assembly: GCF_000001405.40. Lineage (NCBI taxonomy): Eukaryota > Metazoa > Chordata > Mammalia > Primates > Hominidae > Homo > Homo sapiens. The sequence continues at coordinate 45,893,806 of NC_000001.11, forward strand.
GTAGATAACTTTTCTCATGAAATTCATTAATAACAAAATATTAAACCTAATTATTTCTAACATTTCTCTAAAAAGGAGAAAACACGTCTTTGTGATTTTGCCAAGGATGTTTTGGGATATCTCAGAGATAGTTTTTGGTATTAAAAATACACTGACCCCAGCACTTTGTGAGGCCAAGGTGGGAGGATTGCTTGAGCTCAGGAGTTTGAGACCAGCCTAGGCAACATGTTGAAACCCTATTTCTACAAAAATATGTAAAAGTTAGCTGGACGTGGTAGCGCACACCTGTGGTCCCAGCTACTTGGGAGGCTGAGGTGGAAGGATTGCTTGAGCCTGGGAGGTGGAGGTTGCAGTGAACTGAGATCATGCCACTGCACTCTAGCCTGGGTGACAGTGAGACCCTGTCTCAAATTAAAAAAAAAAAAAAATTACACTGAAAGTTTTATTTTATTATTTTCTACACGTAGGATCTGATTTGGGAAAGACAAATCTTCAAATAATCGTTAGTGGAAACACTTAAGATAGGATTGTTGGTGCTTGAGAAATAATACCTGGTTACTTATTTAACCGAAGTGACGGTAAAACATTTATAAACAAACATAGAAAGTAACACAATTTTAAATAACTGTAGTTTTTTTTATGAGGAGCCCTATGCTTGCTTGATTAAGGACCTGATAAGTCAGCATAAAGCACAGAAAATTTTTCTAGCAAGACACAAAATATTTGCTAACTAGGCGTATTACATAGCAAAAGAATATACTTTAATATTGTAGGTAATGGATGGCAGTAAACAGTAAACCAAGGACATGGACTCACCAAAACTGAATAAATTATTTGCTAAAATTTTAACCAGTTTTAGCTTTTCAGACTCAGGTATTATAAACCATGACAGCCAAAATTCACATTCCGAGTTGTGCCCTTCATTAGTCTTCATACTCTGGAACAGACTTATGCTTTACTTGAGTACAAGTTTTAGGGGTTCTCAAGGTCACAATTAATTTGATAATGAGTACTAAGATGTTATTAAGATGCAGTGCATTTTTAGTGTTATCATCAAATGAATCAGTAAGTGTTTTTTAATGTCTCAGTTTCCATTTTCAATACTGTAATTATTGATGGTTATATCCCACAGAAACAATTTGGGGTCCTTCATTTTATGAATTTTGGCAAATATATATACCCATGTAACTACAACCACAATTAATAGATAGAACATTTTTCTTACCCCCAAATATTCCTTCTGTAGTTTTGCAGTCAATCCCATCTTCCACATCTTGGCCTCAGGCAACCACTGATCTATTGTTTGGCACTACAGATTAGCTTTGCCTGTGGTAGAATTTCATATAAATGAAAATGACAAATGACCTGCTTTTTTGTAATTGGCTTCCTTTATGTTTCAGTGTTTCCTTTTGTGACTATACCACTATTTGATGGATATTTGGGTTGTTTCTAGTTTTTGGATATTATGAATAAAGCTGCTATAATCATTCATGTATAAGTTTTTTTTTTATGGGCATATGTTTTCATTTCTCTTGGGTACATACCCGGGATTGGTCAGCCCATAAAATCAGTGTCCCACTCTGCTGCCACAAATGGGAATAACTTAGCTATAAATAAATACAAAACAAAACCCAGTTATGTAAAGAAAAATTGAAATTAGAAATGTGGAGATTCCGTAAACTTCTTTGTTCATCTGGGAGCCAACTTCAGATTACCACTTCAGATTTACCTGTGGGAACCAAGCACTGATGTACATGGATGGTCCACGTGAGGTGTACTTCTCTGATGTGACTCACAGGTTAATTCTTTGGACATTTGGTGGAAGACTTCCAAAACTGTTTAACAGACAGTTTTTTTAAAAAAAGTAAAAACAAAAAATCATGGCTTTCATCCAGATATAAAATGAAAACATTCAAAGATGAAAGAAAAACAGCATATCATCAAAGAGAGAAACAGGCAAATATTACAACCAATTCCATTATCAATTTTTATACAATTGAAAATGGCAAAATGTCAAAAATGACAGTTGAATTAACACTGCACATGTCTATGTGTTCATCTATTTAAATGAGCAATAAAGTAAAGGCAAATTCATAAATTATTAAAATATTTACACTTTTCTTTGGCTTTATTTTTACCAAAATTGTTATTTGTAATCAATAATTTCTTGTAAATTGTATTCTTTTAATAACAATGCCAAATGAAACAGACTTTCTTGAATGACTATATTTCTTAGATTTTTTTTTTTTTTTTGAGACCGAGTCTTGCTCTGTTGCCCAGGTTGGAGTGCAGTGGCACTGCAACCTCTGCCTCCCTGGTTCAAGGAATTCTCATGCCTCAGCCTCCCGAGTAGCTGGGACTACAGACATGGGTGCCACCACACCTGGCTAATTTTTGTGTTTTTAGTAGAGATGGGGGTTTCACCATATTGGCCAGGCTAGTCTCGAACTCCTGACCTCAAGTGATCCGCCCTCCTTGGTCTCCCAAAGTGCTGGGATTACAGGTGTGAGCCACTGTACTTAGCCTCTTAGATTTTTATTTTAATATTTACCGGTTTATAGGATATTGCAAAGGATAGAGATGAAGAGATTCATAGGGTGAGTTACTAGGGAAGGGGCAGGGAGCTTCTGTGCCCTCCCCAGCCGTGTCACTTCAATAACTTCCATGTGTGCAGCCATCCTGAAGCTCACTGAACCCTGTCCTCTTGGGTTTTTATGGAAGCTTCATGAAGTCAATATTTCTTGCCCCAGGTGTAGGGTGGAACTCTCTCATGGGAGAGCCTTAAGACCCACAGTCAGAAAGGTTGGGGAACATTAAAGTGAAAGGAGAGCTGGAGAAGGTCAGAGGCCTGCCCCTGAGGCCTAACGCAGCCAACATTCTAACAAAAGACTGTAACTAGGGCTATGGGAGTTGTAAGCCAGAAACCGTAGATTAAAACCAGTATGTATATCATAACACCACAGGTCACCCCCTAGTTTGTGACCACAGATCTTTTATATCAAACAATATTTGTATATGCAGTCATTAATCATTAGTCCAGTACATCATATTGTATGAATGTCTCCCAGGATGAGGCCATTCCGGTTTGCAAGTTTCCTAAATCTTGTCAAGTTCCAAAAGCAGGATTGGCCTTGGTAAACACACAGCTTCATACTTTCATGCATCTGGAATAATTGAGCTTGAGATAGTATCATCTTTTGTTCTTAGACTCTTTTGGGCTGTTAACATAACATTGAATTTTCCTCAGTTAGTAACCCTAACTCATTTATTCACTTCTTTACTTTCAGCTATGGTTTCTCCTTCTTTCCGTTTATACCCAAATTTTTTCACCTCTGAAAGGGACATTAGAATCTTCTTGTGCTGTTCCAGATTGCAGGCAGCAATACAAGTCTAGGAGTAGGTCTTCCTCAGTCCACTCCCATTCAGATAGGGTAAAGTTATATAGGAGCAGAACTAGTGAGCTATTTTTACCATCAGGCAATATAGTTGCATTCACTGTTAGTCCCACTTTTGCTAAATGGGGTGAAAGCACTACTCACCCCAGTAATGTTCTTAGGAATTTTGCCATTAGGTTTAAAAACATAGTTACAGTTTTTTCTTAGAAATCATCTCTGATGTTTCAGCACTTGTAGTTGCAACCCTGGTCCTAGGACCACTGCATCAGGTAGGAGAGAAAAAATAAATTTTTTAAAGGTGATTTGGGGAGGAAAGAAAAAACTATAGGCTAGGCGAAGTGGTCATGCCTGTAATCCCAGCACTTTGGGAGGCCAAGGCAGGAGGATTGCTTGAGCTCAGGAGTTTGAGACCAGCCTGGGCAACATGGCAAAACCTGTCTCTACCAAAAATACAAAAAATTAGCTGGGTGTGGTGGCACTTGCCTGTGGTCCCAGCTACTCGAGAGGCTGAGGTGGGAGGATCTCTTGAGCCCTGGAAGCGGAGGTTGCGGTGAGCCATAATCACGCCGCTGCACTCCAGCCTGGGCAACAGAGCAAGACCCTGTCTTAAAAAAACAAATAGAGCCAGGCACAGTGGCTCATACTTGTAATCCCAGCACTTTGGGAGGCCAAGGCAGGCAGATCACCTGAGGTCAGGAGTTCGAGACCAGCCTGGCCAACATATAGTGAAACTCCGTCTCTACTAAAAATACAGAAAAATTAGCTGGGCATGGTGGTGCATGCCTGTAGTCCCAGCTACTTGGCAAGCTGAGGTGGGAGAATCGCTTGAACCTGGGAGGTGGAGGTTGCAGGGAGCCGAGATGGCTCCGCTGTACTCCAGCCTGGGCGACAGAGTGAGACTCTGTCTCTCAAAAACAAACAAACGAAACCAAAAAAAGAAAAGAAAAAGAAAAAATTATAGTAGTTATACAAGTGCGCTCCTCCCCTGGTAAGAATTGTGTAGTCATACTAGCATCCTCCCCATCCCCTCTTCCTCAGATCAACCAGAAAAACAGAGAAAAAGTCCCACGTTAAGTATGAGCACATACGTCCTTATGATCGCCTGTAAGCCAGCCCTTCATGCTTTTTATCTCCCCCTGTTTTAGACAACCAATGTTTCAATTGCCCATTCTACTTCTCTATCAAACTATTACTCTAAGGAGGATATCTCACTCTGTCCATTGTTGGACATTATGGGCTGTATAGTGTGTTCCTTGGTCTGAAGAATGATGGTGGGCCATCCAAATCCATGCAATATCTTCCGTTCTGTTTTTTTTGTTGTTGTTGTTTTTGTTTTTACTCTGAGAATTTTTATCTTCCATGGGATAAGCAAAGCCCACTCCAGAGTCAGTGTCTATTCCTGTCAAGACCCCTTTGTAGCTCCCAGGGCTACCGGCATCAGTCTCATTTGCCAGCCATGTTCAGGGCCTTCCTACCAGAGAATCTGCGCCATAGCCATCAGCAATCTCTGTCTCTGTTGCTGAGAAACAGAACAGTTCTTTCTGGCATTTTGTACCTGAAAGGGTGCAAAAGGATCATGTCTAGATTCAGCTCACCTCTGCACTGCTGCATTGCCCCCATACTCACTTTTTTTCAGGGACTGAGTTGGCCACCTCAAGGGAGCACATGGGATGTCTACTTATCCATCCCTGTCACCTTAATGCATCCCTCAAATCTCCTTAGGGCCATGCTCCATATGGGCATTCTTTTAACAGGCCAGATTTCCATTGTCCTCTCACCTGAGTATATAGCCAAGCCATTGGTTACATTGCATGAGGTCAGTAAAGACTCAAACACAGGGGCTTCTACCATTGTTCAATTCTTCCATCAGTCACTGTTAGAAAAATATAATGCAATTCAGCCCACCAAGCAGATCTGTTTTTACCTTCTTTGATCAGAGGAGTAGTCTTCCAAAGCAGGATGATGGTTTTCATTTACCTTGGAATTGCCATCCATGAACCAAACAGCTCTTGATCAATTTTTTTTAATTAAATTTTATTTGGAGGAGATTTGCTCTGCTGAAGCAATAGAAATTAGAATTGGCCAAAAATATTTTTCCTTTCTTTTCTTTTTTTTTTTTTTTTTTTTAGATTCAGGGGTACATGTGCAGGATTGTTACATGGATATATTGTGTAATGCTGGGGTTTCGGCTTCTAGTGAACCCATCAGCCAAATAGTGAACATAATACTCAATAGGTAGTTTTTCTATGCTTGCCATACCTCCTCTCCCCTTTTGGAGTCCCCAGTGTCTATTGTTTCCATCTTTATGACCACACGTACCCATTGTTTAGCTCTCACTTATAAGTGAGTACACATGGTATTTGATTTTCTGTTTCTGAGTTATTTCATATAGAATAATGGCCTCCAGCTACATCCACATTGCTGCAAAGGACAGGATTTCATTCTATTTATGGCTGCATAGTATTCCATGGTATATATGTACCACATTTTCTTTATCCAATCTACTGATGGTGGGCACCTAGGTTGATTTCATGAATTTGTATTGTGAATAGTGCTGCGATAAATGTACCAGTGTAGGTGTCTTTTTGATAAAATAATTTTCTTATGCTATGTCATCAGGCCCAAGGGGAAAAAAAGAGCTTTACAATTAAAAAAAAATTTTTTTTTTTAAGATTTCTTTTCCCGGCCCAGCGCGATGGCTTACACCTGTAATCCCAGCACTTTACTTTGGGAGGCTGAGGCAAGTGGATCACAAGGTCAGGAGTTCAAGAACAGCCTGGCCAACATGGTAAAACCCTGTCTCTACTAAAAATAAAAAAATTAGCCAGGCATGGTGGTGTGCACTTTTAGTCCCAGATGCTTGGGAGGCTGAGGCAGAAGAATTGCTTGTACCTGGGAGCCAGTGGTTGCAGTGAGCCGAGATGGTGCCACTGCACTCCAGCCTGGGCGACAGAGCGAGACTCTCTCTCTCTCAAAAAAAAAAAAAAAAAAAAAAGATTTACCCTTGGGTAGATAGCCAGTAGTGGGATTGCTAGATCAAATGGTAGTTCTATTTTTAGTTCTGTGGAAATCACTATACTATTTTCTGTAGGGGTTGAACTAATTTACATTCCCACCAACAGTATATAAGCATTCCCTTTTCTCTGCATCCTCACCAACATCTGTCATTTTCCATTCTGACTGGTATAAGATGGTATCTTATTGTGGTTTAATTTTCATTTCTCTGATGATTAGTGATGTTGGATATTTTTTTTTTTTTTTTTTTTTTTTTTTTTTGAGACGGAGTCTCGCTCTGTCGCCCAGGCCGGACTGCGGACTGCAGTGGCGCAATCTCGGCTCACTGCAAGCTCCGCTTCCCGGGTTCACGCCATTCTCCTGCCTCAGCCTCCCGAGTAGCTGGGACTACAGGCGCCCGCCACCGCGCCCGGCTAATTTTTTGTATTTTTAGTAGAGACGGGGTTTCACCTTGTTAGCCAGGATGGTCTCGATCTCCTGACCTCATGATCCACCTGCCTCGGCCTCCCAAAGTGCTGGGATTACAGGCGTGAGCCACCGCGCCCGGCCGATGTTGGATATTTTTTTCATGAGTTTGTTGGTCACTTGTCTTCTTTTGTGTCTGTTCGTTTCTATTGCCTACTTTTTAGCAGATTTATTTGTTTTTTTCTTACGATTTAAGTTCCTTATAGATTCTGGATATTAGTCCTTTGTTGGATGCGTAGTTGGCAGATATTTTCTCCCATTCTATGGGTTGTCTTTTTATTCTGTTGATTGTTTCTTGTGCTGTACAGAAGCTCTTTAGTTTAATTAAGTCTCATTTGTCCATTTTCGTTTTGGTCATATTTGTTTTTGAGGTCTTAGTCATAAATTATTTGCCTAGGCCAATGTCCATAAGAGTTTTTCCTAGGTATTCTTTTAGGGTTTTTATAGTTTCAGGTCTTAAATTTAAATTTTTAATCCATCATGTGTTAATTTTTATATATGGTGAGAGATAGGGGTCCAGTTTCATTCTTCTGCATATGGCTAGCCAATTTTCCCAGCACCATTCATTGAATGGAGTGTCCTTTCCCCATTGATTATTGTGGTCAACTTTGTTGAAGATCACTTTACTGTAGGTGTATGGATTGACTTCTGGGTTCTCTGTTTTATTTCATTGAGCTGTGTGTCTGTTTTTGTACCAGTACCATGATGTTTTGGTGACTATAGCCTTGTAGTATAATTTGAAGTCGAGTAGTGTGATGCTTCCAGCTTTGTTATTTTTGCTTACGATTGCTTTTACTATGTGGGCTCTTCTTTGGTTCCATATGAATTTTGGAATGGTTTTTTCTGATTCTGTGAAAAACGACATTGGTAATTTGATTAAAATTGCTTTGGGCAGTGTAGTCATTTTCACGATATTGATTCTTCCTATCCATGATCATAGGATGTTTTTCCATTTGTTTGTGTTGTCTGTGATTTCTTTCATCAGTGTTCTTTAGCTCTCCTTGTAGAGGTCTTTCATCTTCTTGGTTAAATGTATTCCTAAGTATTTTATTTTGGTTGTGGCAATTGTAAATGGGATTGAGTTCTTGATTTGATTCTGAGCTTGAATGTTGGTATATAGAAATGCAACTGATTTGTGCATTAATTTTATATCCTGAAACTTTACTAAAATTGTTTATTGGGTCTAGGAATCATTTGGAGTAATGTTTAGGGTTTTCTAGGTATAGGATTATGTTGTTAGTGAACTGATATAATTTGACTAACTCTGTTCCTATTTGGATGCTTTTTATTTTTTTCTCTTGCCTAATTGCTCTGGCTACCACTTCCAGTACTATGTGGAATAGGAGTAGTGGGAGTGGACATCCTCGTGTTGTTCCATTTCTTAGAGGGAATGTTTTCAGTTTTTGCCCATTCAGTATGATGCTATTGGCTGTGAGTTTATCATATATGGTTGTTACTATTTTGAGGTGTCTTCCTTCAATGCCTAATTCGTTGAAGGTTTTTAATCATGAAGTGATGTTGGATTTTATCAGATGCTTTTTCTGTGTCTGTTGACATGATCATATGGTTTTTGTTTTTTATTCTGTTTATGTGGTGAATCACATTTATTGATTTGTGTACGCTGAACCATCCTTGTGTCCCAGGCATAAAACCATTTGATCATGATCCAGTTATCATCTTGATGTGCTGCTGGATTCAGTTTACTAGTATTTTGTTGAGGATTTTTACATTCATGTTCATCAGGGATATTGGCCTGTAGTTTTTTTGTTGTGTCCTTCTCAGATTTTGGTATCAGGATGATACTGATTTAGTAGAACGAGCTAGGGAAGAATCCCTCATACTCAATTTTTTTTTTTAATAGTTTCAGTAAGAGGTACAGTTCTTCTTTGTACATCTGGTAGAACTTGGCTGTGAATCCTTCTGGTCCTGGGCTTTTTTTTTTGGTTCGTAGATTTTTAAATTACTGATTCAGTTTTATAGCTCATTATTGGTCTGTTCAGGATTTCCATTTCTTCCTGGTTCATTCTTAAGAGTTTGTGTGTTTTGAGGAATTTATTCATGTCTTCTAGGTTTCTCTGGTTTATGCTCATAGAGATGTTATAGTAGTCTCTGAGGAGCTTTTGTGTTTCTGTGATATCAGTTGTAATGCCACTTTTGTCATTTCTGATTGTGCTTATTTAAATCTTCTCTTTTCTTGGTTAATCTACCTAGCAGTTTAACAGTTTTGTTTATCCTTTGAAATAACCCACTTTTTGTTTTGTTGCTCCTTTATGTCATATTTTTGGTCTCAATATCATTTAGTTCTGCCCTGATCTTTATTTCTTTTCTTCAGCTAGATTTGGGTTTGGCTTGTTTTTGCTTTTCTAGTTTCTTTAGCTATGATGTTAGGTTGTTAATTGAGATCTTTCTTTTTGATGTTAAGCATTTAGCACTATAAATTTTTGTCTTTTTTTTTTTTTTTTTTTTTGGAGACAGAGTCTCACTCTGTCGCCCAGGCTGGATGCAGTGGCGTGATCTCGGCTTACTGCAACCTCTGCCTCCCAGGCTCAAGCAATTCTTCTGCCTCAGCCTCTTGAGTAGCTGGGATTACAGACACTTACCACCATGCCTGGCTAATTTTTGTATTTTTAGTAGAGACAGGGTTTCACCATGTTGCCCAGGCTGGTCTCAAACTCCTGAGCTCAGGCAATCCTCCCGCCTTGGCCTCCCAAAGTGCTGGGATTACAGGCATGAGCCACTGTGCCTGGCCTAAACTTAACTTAGCAGTCTAAACACTGCTTTTGTTGTATTCTAGAGGTTTTGGTATGTTGTGTCTCTATTTTCATTTATTTCAAAACATTTTTTGATTTCTGCCTTAATCTCATTGTTTACTGTAAAGTCATTCGGGAGCAAATTGTTTAGTTTCCATGTACTTGTGTGGTTTTGAGAGTTCCTCTTGATGTTGATTTCTAATTTTATTCCATGAGGTCTGAGAAGATGGTTGATATGATTTTTATTTTTGAAAAATTTATTGAGACTAGCTTTATGACCGAACATGTGGTCAATTTTAGAGAATGTTCTGTGTGCACATGAGAATGAGTTTAGAAGTGGATTCTTCCTGAATCGGGTCTCCATATGAAAACATAGCCCAGGTGACACCTTGCTTGCAGCTTTAAGAGACCCTAAGCAAGGACCCAGCTAAGCTGTGCTTGAATTCCTGAATCAGAAACTGTGAGATAGTAAATGTGTATTGTTTTAGGTGGCTAAGTTTTTGCTAATTTGTTATGCAATAGAAAACTAATACATCATGAAAGTCCACTTTTCCTATGTTCTTGCTTGCTTATTTGCTTATTTATTTGTTTAGACACAGGGTCTCAGTTGGCTAAGCTGGAATGCAGTAGCAGTATCATAGCTCATTGCAATCTTAAACTCCTGGTCTCAAGTGATCCTCCCACCTCAGCCTCCCTAGTAGCTGGGACTATAGGTGTGTGCCACTGCACCCAGCTAATTTTTAATTTTTTTTTTTTTTTGAGACGAAGGCTTACTCTTGTCCCCCAGGCTGGAGTGTGATGGCGTGATCTCAGCTCACTGCCAACCTCTGCCTCCCAGATTCAAGCGATTCTCCTGCCTCAGCCCCCTGAGTAGCTGGGATTACAGGCGCCTGCCACCATGCCCGGTTAATTTTTATATTTTTAGTAGAGGTGTGGTTTTACCATGTTGGCCAGGCTGATCTAGAACTCCTGACTTCAGGCGATCCACCTGCCTTGGCCTCCCAATGTGCTGAGATTACAGGCATGAGCCACCGTGTCCGGCCTTAAATTTTTTTTAGGCAGGGTCTGGCTATGTTGCCTAGGCTGGGGTGCATTCGCGCAATCACAGCTCACTGCAGCCTTGAACTGGGCTCAAGCAGTACTCCTACCTTAGCCCCCCCAAGTAGCTGGGACTATAGACACATGCCACCATACCCAGCTAATTTTTGTATTTTTTGTAAAGATGGGATTTTGCCATATTGCCCAAGCTGGTCTCAAACTCCTGAGTTCAAGTGATCCACCCTGCTTGGCCTCCCAGAGTGCTAGGATTACAGGCACGAGCCACCGCACCCAACCCAGACTGTCATTTTCTTGCTTTTAGTTTTTGTGTATTTTATTGCAATGCCACTTTTTTTGAGAGAGAGGCCTTGCTCTGTTGCCCAGGCTGGAGTGTAGTGGTGTGATCATGGCTCACTGCAACCTCAGCCTCCCGGGTTCAAGTGAGTCCCCCACCTCAGACTCTCAAGTAGCTGGGACCACAGGGACATGCCATCATGCCTGGCTAATTTTTTTTAACTTTATTATAAATAGGTGATCTCCCTATGTTGCTCATCTTGGTCTCATACTCCTGAGCTCAAGTGATCCTCCTGCCTTGGCCTCCCAAAGTTCTGGGATTGTAGGCATGAGCCAGCGCACCTGGTCACAAAGTTACTTTTGTTGTAGTATCTGGTACATGAAAACCCTTTTGACTAAAATATGTTTAATCTTTTTTTTTTTTTTTTTTTTGAGGCAGAGTCTTGCTGTGTCACTCAGGCTGGAATGCAGTGGCACCATCTCAGCTCACTGCAACCTCCACCTCCCAGGTTCAAGTGTTCAAGTGATTCCTCTGCCTCAGTATCCCAAGTAGCTGGGAGTACAGGCATGCGCCACCGCATCTGGCTAATTTTTTTGTATTTTTAGTAGAGACTGGATTTCACCATGTTTGTCAGGCTGGTCTCGAACTCCTGACTTCAAGTGATCTGCCCGTCTTGGCCTCCCAAAGTGCTGGGATTATAGGCATGTTTAATCTTTTAAAAAATGAAAGAGCCGGCTGTGCGCGGTGGCTCACGCCTATAATCTCAGCACTTTTGGAGGCCAAGGCGCGGATCACGAGCTCAGGAGTTTGAGACCATCCTGGCTAACACAGTGAAACCCCGTCTCTACTAAAAACACAAAAAATTAGCTGGGCATGGTGGCGGGCACCTGCAGTCCCAGCTACTTGGGAGGCTGAGGCAGGAGAATGGCGTGAACCCAGGAGGCGGAGCTTGCAGTGAGCTGAGATCGCGCCACTGCACTGCAGCCTGGGAGACAGAGCAAGACTCTGTCTCAAAAAAAAAAAAATGCCAAACTTAGATTTAGGATACTACCCCTAACCCCCATCAAATGGTAACTGGTAAGTGTATGTTTAAGTTTCTAAAAAATTGCCACATAATTTTCCAAAATGTTTATACTGTTGTACTTTCCTACTAGGGATGTCGAGGGTTCCAGTTGGCCCACGTCCACATCAAAACTTGTTATGATCAGATTTGAGCCATTTTATTGAGTGTATACTGGTATATCATTGTGGTTTTGACTTACATTTCCCAGATGAATAATGATGGTGAATATGTTTTTCCTGTCCTTATTTGCCATTTGTGAATCTTTTGTGAAATGTGTTCAGATATTTTGCTTATTTTGAAAAAAAGAATAAAAAATTACTGAGTTGTACAAGTTATTTATATATTTCAGATGCAGATATTTTGTCAGATATATATAGTCATGCAATACCATGCAATGTTTTGGTCAACAACAGACTGCATAGACACTGGTGATCCCATAAGATTATAAAGGAGCTGAAAGTGACATCTTGATGATCCTGACCCTGTGTACACTTAGGCTAAAGTGTATGTTTGTGTCTTCATTTTTGGCAAAAACATTTAAAAAGAAATAATAAATTTAAAATTTAAAAATAAAAAACAGCCTATAGCCTGCAGATGTAGAGAACAAAAATATTTTTGTGGAGCAGTACAATATGTGTTTTAAGGGTAAAGTTAAAACTTAAAGAATTTAAGGTGAAAATGTTACAGTAAGCTAAGATTAATTTATTGTTAAAAAAATAATGTAGCCTAAGTGTACAATGTTTATATGTTATTATTATATAATGTTGTATATATTATTGTTATTATATAATTATATTATATGTTATTTTATATGATACAATTATATAATATATAATTATATAAGTTTGTAACATATAATAATTATATTATATGTTTATATAATGTTATTATGCAATATTAAATAGTGTAGCCCAAGCATACAATGTTTCTATAAAGTCTACAGTAGTAGACAGTAATGTGCTAGATCTTTACATTTACTCACCACTCACTCAGTCACCCAGAGCAAGTTCTAGTCATGCAAACCCCACTCATGGTAAGTGCCCTATACAAGTGTACCATTTCTATCTTTTACATGTATTTTTACTGTACCTTTTTTATGTTTAAATGCACAAATACTTACCATTGTGTTACAGTTGCTTACAGTATTCAATGCAGTAACATGCTATACAGGTTTGCGGCCTGGAAGCAGTCTATAGGCTATACAATACCATATAGCCTATGTGTGTGGTAGGCTATACCATCTAGGTTTATGCAGGTATACTCCATGATGTTCACATAATGATGAAATCGCCTAACAATGCATTTCTCAGAAGGTATCTCTGTTGTTAAGTGATGCATCACTATATATATTGTGACTTATTTTTCTCCAGCTTGTCTTTTCCTTTTTGGAAGGATGTCTTTCAGAGAGCAGAAGGTCTTAATTTTGATGTTCTTTGTGAGTTTTTATAGTTAGTACTCACTCATTCTGTCCAAGAAATCTGTGCCCATCCCAAGATCATGAAGATTTTCTCCAATGTTTTCTTCTAGAAGTTTGTAATTTTAGCTTTTATGTTTGAATCTTAACTCCTTTTGAATTAATTTCTTTAAAGTCTTAAAAATTATGGCAAGGTATATATAACAAAATTTGCCATTTTAACTTTTTTTTTTTTTTTTGAGAGAGTCTCGCTCTTATCACCCAGGCTGTGCAGTGGCGTGATCTCAGCTCACTGCAGCCTCTGCCTCCCAAATTCAAGCAATTCTTGTGCCTCAACTTCTGGCATTTTAACCATTTTTAAGTATACAATGTAATGACATTAACTATATTCACAATGTCATGCAACTGTTGTCACCATCTATTTCTAAAACTTTTCCATGGTCCCAGGTAGAAACTCTGTGCCCATTAAGCAGTAACACCCTTCTTCCCTTACCCCAGGCCTTGGCAGTCTCTGTTCTACTTTCTTTTTCTATGCATTTGCCTCTTCTAAATACTTCATATCAGTGGAATCATATAGTATTGTTCATTTGTGTCTGGCTTATGTCACTTAGCATAATGCACATCTATATTAAAGTCAGTTTTGGTAAGTTATTTTTTGAACTTTTTGTCTATTTTAAATAAGTTATAGAATGTATTGGCATAAATTGTTCCTGCTATTCTCTTATTATTCTTTTGCTGTCTTTAGATTTGTTGTGATAACTCATCTTTTATTTCTGATATTGATGATTTATGTTTTCTCTCCTTTTCTTCTTGATGTCTATTACTGTGGTTTTATTAATTTTATTAATATTGTCAAAGAACCAATTTTTGGTTTTGTTAATTTTTTTATTTTCTGTTCCTAATTTCTGCTTTCTTTTCTTTATTATATTTTGAATTTAATTTACTTTTAAGTTTTTTTAAATTGTTTTTTATTATACTTTAAGTTCTGGGATACATGTGCAGAACGTACAGGTTTGTTACATAGGTATACACATGCCATGGTGGTTTGCTGCACCCATCAACCCATAATCTACATTAGGTATTTCTCCCAATGCTATCCCTCCCTGGACTTTTTAAAGTTTTTAATGCAGAGGTATGGATTAGTGATTTCAGGTCTTCCTTTTTTGATATAAGCATTTAAAGCTATATATGTGCCTCTAAGCACTCCTTTAACTGTATTCCATAATTTGGTGTGTGTGTCTTTATTATAGTGTAATTCAAAATATTTTCTAATTTTCTTTGTCATTTCATCTTTGACCAATAGATTATTTAGAAATATGTGGTTTCGTTTCCAAATATTGGAAGATTTTATATTTTATTGTAGTTGATTTCTAATTTAATTCTGTTGTGGTTAGACAGCATAATTTATGGAATTTCAATATTTTGAAATTTCTTGAGACTTTTTTTATGGCCTAGCATGTGGTCTTTCTTGGTGAACATGCAATGTCTGCTTGATTAGCTTACCTGAACTCTAGCCCATGCCTCCTCAGCTTAGTGGAACTACTGTGCTCTGCTTGAACTCTAGCTGTCTGCCCTTGTAAGAAAATTGCTCCCAGGCAGCTGAGGAGGGAGCAGCCTGACTTTTGAGTTTCCCTTCTTTCTGGGTTTTCTTTCTTGCATTACATGTGTCCCAGTGCCTGAAAACTATTACATTGTATATTTTGTCTATTCTTATGGTAATTTGTAGTAGAATGGCTAGTTCTCTTTCGGTAATGTCATAGTTACAGGTGGAAGTTTGCCAATCTTTAGGTCCCTGCCTAAAATCGAAACTTTTTTTCTTTAGTTCTCACTGAAGACAAAGCGTGTACTTTTTACATCAAATGTAAAGCTATAAAATTCTCATTTATTTCTACTTTCTTGTTTTCTTCTTTAGGTAACTCGACAGTATGTAAAGTTTGTTGTTTAACATGACTTTTGTCCCTGTTATAATCTATAGAACTGAATAATATTTACTTAAAAAAGTTAGGTATCTTTTTCTCACTTTATTATCAGTTAAATAAATAATTTCATTTAAGGCTTTATCATAGGCAGTGACTGTTTTATCATTTTAAAAATCATTCTTATATGTGCAGCCATTTTAACGTTACTTTTCAATATCATTTACGTTAAACCTATAAATTTTCCATTGTTTTCTGTGACTATTTTTAAACCATCGGAGGAGAGGGGAATCTGGCTAAATATTGTATATATAATATTATGCTTTTAAGAACAATCACACCATCATTCTATATCGTCTTTTTTTTTTTTTCCTTCTTTTTGGAGACAGAGTCTGGCTCTGTCGCCAGGCTGGAGTGCAGTGGTGTGGTCAATTCACTGCAACCTCCCCCTCCTGGGTTCAAGTGATTCTTCTACCTCAGCCTGCCAAGTGGCTAGGACTACAGGCAT
Organism: Homo sapiens; assembly: GCF_000001405.40. Taxonomy (NCBI): domain Eukaryota; kingdom Metazoa; phylum Chordata; class Mammalia; order Primates; family Hominidae; genus Homo; species Homo sapiens. The sequence continues at coordinate 45,909,665 of NC_000001.11, forward strand.
GCGCCCCCACGCCCAGCTAATTTTTGTATTTTTAGTAGAGACGGGGGTTCACCATGTTGACCAGGATGGTCTTGATCTCTTGACCTCGTGATCCACCCACTTTTGCCTCCCAAAGTGCTGGGATTACAGGCGTGAGCCACCCCACCTGGCCCTTTCTTTTCTTTTTTGAAGACAGTCTCGCTCTGTCGACCAGGCTGGAGTGCAGTGGTGCCGTCTCGGCTCCCTGCAACCTCCGCCTCCCGGGTTCAAGTGATTCTCCTGCCTCAGCCAGGCTGGTCTCGAGTTCCTGGGCTCAAGAGATCTGCCTGCCTCGGCCTCCCAAAGTGCTGGGATTACAGGCATGAGCCACTGTGCCCAGCTACTTGTCTTTTTTGAATACTCTGGTTTATTTTCTGTGTTTCCAATCTTCAGTGATAGTAATTGTGTAAGTACTTTTTGTGTGCAGTTGTTTTTTTTTTTTTTCCCCAAATTTAAGCAGACTAGCTTATTTGTAGATTTTCTCTTTTTCCTCTTCTAAGCTCCACTGTCTTATTTTTCTGTCTATGTTGGGATCACAACGTACTCATTTTCAGTGATCTGTAGGATTTAAAAATAAGACGTAGTTATATCCACAGAGTACAAAGTTTGAATATATTCTCATCAAAAATATAAAGCGTAAAAAATGGAAGTTTTTTATTCTTTTAAAAGTTATTTTTCTTTTAAATATTCAAAATTAATTTAAATAAGCTGAATTAAAAATTTTTGTAAGTACATATTTTTATAAAAATAAATTGTAATTCTAGCATTAACTGTTCAACCATTTATCAGTGTAATAAATTGGTTCCTTGCCTTACATGTGCCATTTCTAGACCTGCATATAAATACATTTACTAGTAATGTGAATTCCTTAATTCTGCAAAATGTTCCTCAATTGCTGTGTGCTACTGTTAGGAATAGTGAGCTAAATTATGAGTACCTTCAGAACTGTGAATTGGAACAGGAAGAAATCAAATAAATGGATGTTTGACTCTGTTAGGAGACAATACTTTCTTAGGAAAGGTATCTATGATATTGATGTTATTTGACAGGAAGGATATAACAGTTAATTTGTCTTGTCTTTTATTCTGACACCCTGTGCTCCTCAAATATTTCATAATCTCAGGCAGAGTTCTCTGAAGTTTGCAGTTTCACAGCCCATAAATGGCGTTCTGATATAGTTGCCTCTCTTTTAAAGGACATGGGAAGAAATATGTGGACAAAGGTTTTCCTGTGGTCTGAACTGTACAATTTGCAAGAATGGATTTTTAGGGTTCTGCTTTGCCAGTGCAGAATCTTGTGACAGAGGAAACCCCATTTCTTTAATTAATTTGTTTTGTGTGTGTGTGTTATTTTGCAGGATCTCTAAAGTGAGAAGCCCATAGCAGAGGCCTTTCTTCTGGCTCTACAGTCAATAAATAAATGTGTGAATGAATAAGAGAAGGCAGGTGTTTCTTTCACCATACTGCAAATTATTGAGCCCTGTCACCAGTCCCAGGGAAATGTTAGGCCTTCCTAGTCCTGGCAAAGTCACAGGAATATTGGCACAAATGGATTCTAATGCCACTAAAGAAAGTACTCTGTGTGGGGATGTGTTACCTGGAGGTAAAAGTAATATCTTCTTTGGTCAGATAAAGGATGTAAAATATGGCTTTCATTCTCTAAAAATCAAACAAATATTTTCTCACTTTGGCATTATTTAAGGAGCTCCGTGTTCTCTCTCCTCCACCCAAGGAGTACTGCTCTGCAATAGTACTGCTCTTCAATATATGCAGAGCAGGCTAGAAAGAATCCATTTGCTGCTGTTGTCAGAAATTTCTACTGAAAGGTAAAGCGCAGTGATTTATAGCATTGGAAACTTGAGTTAGACTGCTCCAGTTTACCAACTTGGCTGAAGACACTTCTGGCTAGTATAATTCATATATAGGTAACCAGGTGCCAACATATTGAGGAAATGCTACTTTTCTACTTACCATTGGCATGATCTTAACTTCTCTGTGTCTTTAAAAAATAATAATAATTTTAAAAATAATAATAATGGAATAATAGTACATATATCATATGGCTATGATGAGTACTACATGAATATTAATGTGTAAAATGCTTAGAATAGAACCTAATAGTTAAGCACTTAATAAATGTTGGTTGCTGTTATGTCATTATTATTATTGTTATATTATTATTATTATTATTATTATTATTATTATTATTATTATTATTATGTAGCCTGGTCTCGGGTATTAGAGAATTGGAGAATATTGAGTAGAAACTTAGGATTCAGCCATAACTGCAAGCCTTAGCTGGGGATGGGAGGATAGACCCAAGGTTGGGGCTTTTGGCAACTGACCCTGATATCATCACAAGGCTTTCCAAAGTAGGAGCCAGTACTTGTTGAGAACTGTTAGATTTCTAAGGTGTTCTAGTTATCTTTAGGACCTGCTACTGAACTGGGGATTCTGAAAAAAAGAGGGTGCTGAGAGGGCTGAATAATTGGACTAATACATGGAGAGGAAAAGTGAGGGCTTGTGGCTACTAGGTGGGTGAGTTTGCTTGGGTAATTAGAACAGTGGCTTTCAAACTTTTTAGACTTTGACTTCAATAACAAATAAAGTTTACATTATGACCCATCACACACGTTCGCATTTGTATATTTGTATGTATTTCAGTAATGGATGTCATAAACACACATTTCACAAAACAGTGCTTACCCTTGCTGTGTGCGAAGGACTAATATTTTCTTTTCTATTCTATTTCATTTGTATATGTACTTTTTGTGTGCAGGTAGTTTCCCTTTTTAGAAAATGTTGATCCTGACTTCCTAAATTGATATAATGTCTTACTAAAGAGGTGTGACCCACATTTGAAAAAGCACTGGTTTGCCTATGAGTTAGTCCTTTGAACATTACCCTAGAAAAAACAGTTTGATACGCTTTGTCATCTAGGTGAATGAGAGAAGCCCCTCAGAGTTGGCAGAGCCGCTGAAGCAGGGGACAAGACTTGCTTCTCTTTGGCTCTCTTAGCTGCCAGGGTTTAGCTCCACAGTTTACTTGATCACTTGGTTTTCTTGAGTCTAGGTTCTTTTTCTCAGATGTCTTCCTATTTGTTGGGACTAATCTCTTCCTTTAGACTGGGAGATTGCTCCAAGAGGGCAAGACTTACAGTAATAGCTAACACTTTTATAGTGCTTTCTCTGTGCTAGGCACTTTGCTGTTTACATGTATTAGTCCTCACCACAACCTATATATTAGGTACCTTAATGATCTTCATTTTACAGGTGGGGAAACCAAAGCATACAGAAGTATGCTTAGCTTACCCTTCAATAGAGGTCTTCTGCAACTTACCTTAAACATTAATGGATGAAATTAAGCTAGTTTCTGGGCTTATTTTCTTAACTTTCCTTATGGCTTTTCTTACCACAAGAATGATTAGAGAGTAATAGAAATTGAACAAAAAATGGCACTGAACTTTGTCTGAAGGAGTACAGTTTAGTTAAGTTGGTCAGATTCGGCATTTGAATAATGACTGTGCTTTGAGCCCTAACATTAAAGCCCTGTAGTCTTCCTTCAGGCTTGGGTTTGAGAATGAATAATGCTGCAGAAACGCCCACATAGTCTTCGCTCATTATTTTACCAGTTTCTTCCAGTCCCTTGCCCACTGCAACAGCTGTTTAGCCTGGCCCATGCCTTCTGGGTTAATAGTATTTCTGACACAGTGTGAGTTTTCAAGTTGCTATGTATAATTTCTGCCAGAGTTTTTACTGCCGCCAGGCCTCAGGGTTGGAGGTTGCAACTGATTTGTGGGGGAGGGAGTTTGGTGCTTGTCACTGACGCAGGAACAAGGTGCTTTCTGTAGCTCTGATTTGTTGCTGGCTGAGTGTGAATGATGTCAGGCAGATCAGAGGACAGCTGATTCATTTGGGATCTGGAACTTGTCACTGTCCCACTGCTGCCTCGTGGGCTCTTAGGTCTTTTGTGGGGGGATGGGAGGGGTGTTCTGAAGATCATGTTTTTGAAGAAAAGTACTTTAATTTTTGCCGTAAGTTTGGGAAGCTTTTATAATTTCCTTTGGCTGACAGAACTGCATACCCCTTGTGTGAGAGAACTTCCTACCAAGACTCCAGTGTGAGGGCAAAACTTGAGTAGCCAGGAGAATGATGAAACGGAGGCAAGAGAGACTGGGAGCACCATGTCTGCGGATTCAGTAAGGAGGTTGGGGTCTCTATGGAAACTGGCAGATGTCAGGAAAAAAAACTAATGCCAACTAACACAGCTTCGTTCATTTGGATGAAGACTGTTTTGGAGATGCCTGTCAGGAAGAGGGCTGAGCTGGCTTGATTAATTCAAGGTCAAAACAGTGGTCCTTGGCAGGGGCATATGAGGTTTCCAATTCCAGAAACTGAATTAGATGTCATTTTAGGGGTTCCTGAATACTTGGAGAACTGGGTAAAAAAATGAAGACAATTATTTTCTTCCCTTGAAAGCAAATGTTTATTTAAAGTTAGTGTCAAGGCTGCAAATACAAACCCCGTGAATGTGAGAAACCAATGGAAACAAAAAGTACCTCCTCCTTTGACTAGAGAGGGTATTGTATTTCTGCCCATGGCCTGTCAGCTCAGGACCTCAGATCTGCCCTTGCAGATTCAAGCATGGGTCCTTTAGGGTGTGACCTCTATTTTATTTCTATATTGGCCAATATAGAAATAAACTTTATTAGGTGAGAATATCAAAGCTGGGAGTGGAAGAAGGCTTCCTCTTCAGGGTGACTTTTCCAAGAGCAGCTCAGGCTTATTTAATGAAGAAGTGCCAAGTGAATTCATCAGTAAATTAGAGAACCAGTGAAAGAAGAGACCTAGAATTCATTTCACCTCAATTATCTGTCTTGAACTGCCTTTGTTTAACCCACAGGGCTAAGGGAGTGTACTTCAGATTTTCTTCCTGAGTCAAACTGCTTGCCCTGAGACAGACAGGCTTCTTCAGTGGGCTTCCTTTGTGATGTTGCCCTTCAGTGTCTGTGGATGCTTATTGATTGAATTAATGATTCTATTAGACCTTAAGAAACAGGATTTGTTTGAAGTATATAGTTGTAGTATTGACACACTTTAAAAAAAACCTTTTATTACCATACTGACACAGAAGTAAAAGACCATTTAAAAACAGACTTCATCAACTAATGTGTTATTTAAAGTAAAGGTCACTTGTTAACAAAATTAAAAATTTTTAAATGGAGTTTGTAGCTTAAGAAAACTTAAATGGTCAAAAATCATGGTTCTGTTTTTGTTTTTGAGAGTGTCTTACTTTATGGCCCAGGCGGGAGGGCAGTGGTGCTATCACAGCTCACTAAACCTTGACCTCCTGGGCCCAAGGGATCCTTCCACCTCAGCAGCTGGGACCACAGGCATGCACCACCAAGCCTGGCTAATTTTTTAATTTTTTTGTAGAAATAAGGTCTCTCTATGTTGCTCAGGCTGGTCTGGAACTCCTGAGCTCAAGTGATCCTCTTGCCTCAGCCTCTTAGAGTGCTGAGATTACCATACCTGGCAAATCATGCTCTTCAAATGTGGGTACACTGCTGTTGGTAATCATTTTCTCTGTTTTACTGACTTTGAGTTAGAAAAATACCCCCTGAGGAGCTAATAAGTAGTTTGTATATCACCTTTTCCTGTTTCAAACAATCCTTTTTAGACTCTAGACCCATTGTATAACCAGTTTGCAGAGTAGTAATTAGGGGCAAAAAGAAAATGAAATTTGCCGGCCAGGCGCGGTGGCTTACGCCAGTAATCCCAGCACTTTGGGAGGCCGAGGCGGGCGGATCACGAGGTCAGGAGATCGAGACCATCCTGGCTAACACGGTGAAACTCTGTCTCTACTGAAAATACAAAAAATTAGCCGGACGTGGTGGCGGGCGCCTGTAATCCCAGCTACTCGGGAGGCTGAGGCAGGAGAATGGCGTGAACCTGGGAGGCGGAACTTGCAGTGAGCCGAGATGGCGCCACTGTACTCCAGCCTGGGTGACAGAGTGAGACTCTGTCTCAAAAAAAAAAAAAAAGGAAAGAAAATGAAGTTTGGCTTTCATAGATTTTTATAATTTCAATTATATATTGAACAAAATGTCTAAACCTCATTTTATGTGATAAGACTTAAGGCTTCAAAATTTTGTACAAGCATATTATTCAGGTTAACAAGTAAGTGCTGTCTAATGTTCTAATTAGTTCTAACATATATATGAAGGAGCTTAACTTTGAAATAGTTCTTTGGAAGAGTGAAAATTCTTTTTGAAAATGAGAAATTAACTTAAAATTAACATTTTTACTTCTTTTAACTTTAAAAAAATGTTGAGTTTGTGGAAATGTGGGCATAACTGTAATTTTAAATAGTTGTGTGCCCTCCTATTTTCTATCCTGTTACTACCCCATATTGTGTACCCACCTGAGAAGTAAACTGAAGACCACTAGAGTGATAATGACTAGGAAAGTGAAGATTTCCTTTGAATATATGTAAGCAAGCACAAGTAGAATGTCACTGTATCCATATTATAAACAGTCAGAAATAACAATACGAGAAACTAACAATGTTATCATTTTGAATTAGATCAGGTACTTATGTGATACTTAAGTAATTTTTTTACCTTGGAAATTAAATAATGGTGTGTGTATAGAAAGCCATGCCAATAAGGTAGCAAATTAAATATTATGAATATTATTTTTATCATGTGTCGTTTCTACTAATGGTAGCAAATTAGAAATCTATTTATTACCTGTTTTCAATCTAATGATCTTATTTATTTAATAATCTTCGATAGGACTTAACATATCAAAATGGCTAGATTGTTTTTATGGGAAAAAATAACCTGGGAATCTAAAATTTAAGTAGAAGCAAAATACATAGTTAACTGACATTATATGATACATTCATTAGAGAAATGTTAGCTAAACAAATTGGTATTATTGTTGATATAATCAATAATTTATAAACTATTCAGAATGTTTTACTCTTAGGGACATATACATTTCTTTAGGAAGTTTTAGTCATTGAATATTAAATATTAACTGTTGCCTGCTAATTGATGTAGTAAATTTGCAGTGTTTGGTTTGCCCAGAAACCAATTCTAAATACTTCAGGCTGGGCACGGTGGCTTACATCTGTAATCCCAGCACTTTTAGGAGGCCGAGGCGGGTGGATCACTCGAGGTCAGGAGTTCGAGACCAGACTGACCAACATGATGAAACCCTGTTTGTACTAAAAATACAAAATTAGCTGGGTGTGGTGGTGCATGCCTGTAATCCCAGCTACTTGGGAGGCTGAGGCAGGAGAATCGCTTGAACCCAGGAGGCAGAGGTTGCAGTGAGCCAAGATCGTGCCATTGCACTCTAGCCTGGGCAACAAGAGCAAAACTCTGTCTCAAAAAATAAAAATAAAAATAAATAACAAATATGTTGAATAGCCAAATCTTAAATGTTGTATTTTAATTTTATGGATTAAGTTTTTGTCTCTGTTGTCATCCTGTACCAACATTGGTACTGAAGTATGATATTGGAGAATGATTTTTGACCACTTACTTTTCTTGAGCTTTTTGCCTAAACCAAGCCACTTTGAATATGTTTCTTTTTGGTTGAAAAGTTATCACTGACCTTGTTTTTTTCCTATTGTGGTACCTTGTCAGAATCTCTACCCTTTGCCGAGGAGCTGAAGTAAACCAGCACATGTTTTCACCCACATCTGCTCCAGCCCTCTTCCTCACTAAAGTCCCATTTAGTGCTGATTGTGCTTTGGCTACTTCTCCTCTTGCCATTTTC